>NC_000011.10:72267817-72570847 GCF_000001405.40 Homo sapiens
TTCACTATTGGCACATGCAGATTCATCTTGTTCTCTTTTATTGGCTACATCATACCATATTGTAATGGACGTGCTGGTTTTGAAACAATATCTTGAGAGCGCTGGGAAAACTGCAGTTTAAAAGATTCCCTTTAGTAAATTCTTTTTGTAGAACAAATAATTATTTGGGGGTAATGAATACTTACTCATTAGTTTTTCAGGTTTGGACGCTTGTATTTTAATACATCAAGCTTTCTTAAAGTGATCCCATCTATAAATGACAGATGACTACATATATAATTACATGGGTGTTAGGTGAGATTCTCAGTGAGGAAGTGAGAGGAACTTGAGAATCTTTTAGTTTCAAGAAACAGAAGCTGTACCTGAAGGGATATTCCAGCTAAAGGAAAAAGAAAAGTTAATTTTAGGGATACTCTGTTGTTTTGCAGGCCCTAACAGCAGATAGGTTTTAGGGAAAACCGGGACCAGGGACCCAGACACCAATGGTATTCTCTGATGTTGCTATAAACATTCATGTACAGGTTTTTGTGTGGACATAAGTTTTCAACATATTTGAGTAAAACACCAAGGAGCAGAACTGAAGGATCATACAGTAAAAAGTATGTTTAGTTTTGTAAACAACCACTAACTGTCTTCCAAAGCTGCTGCATTATTTTACTTTATTATATTATATTTATAATATAATAATACTTATATAAGTATTATATATAATATATAATAATATAATATAAATATAATATTTATATTTCAATATTATAATATAAATATAATATTTATATTTAAATATTATCATATAAATATAAATATAATATATTATAATTATTATAATATAAATATAATATATTATAATTATTATAATATAAATATAATATATTATAATTATTATAATATAAATATAATATATATTATAAATATTATAATATAAATATATTATAAATATTATAATATAAATATATTATAAATATTATAATATAAATATATTATAAATATTATAATATAAATATATTATAAATATTATAATATAAATATATTATAAATATTATAATATAAATATATTATAAATATTATAATATAAATATATTATAAATATTATAATATAAATATATTATAAATATTATAATATAAATATATTATAAATATTATAATATAAATATATTATAAATATTATAATATAAATATAATATATTATAAATATAATATAAATATAATATATTATAAATATAATATAAATATAATATTTAATATTTATAATATAAATATAATATTTATATTATAATATTATAATACTTTAGCTCTGCTCCTGCCTGCACTTTGCTCCACTGGACTCTGCTCTTTTTCCCCTAGCAGGTAAGTTTCCTCCACTATTCTGACCCTTGGAGTAGACAACTTGGTTATGGACAGCTCCAGACCTGTACATCCTAGTTAGGCACTCTAAACAGAGATTTGTGGTGTATTCTCTGTTCTAGTTTTAAAATTTCTGGAGGAGAGGGAAGTCTGATTTGCTCTGGTGGGTCAGGTTGTCACATCAGAACCAGTGAAATGTATCTAGATGTATCCAGGGAGCAGTGTCATAGCTACTAACATGACAGAAGCTCTGATAGGTCTTTGGGTGGTGGGAATGGGTTGGGAGAGAGTGTTGCAATAAGAAGGGGAGTGTTAAGCACACTGTCACTTAGGAGTGCACACTGCGGTTACAGAATCTTCTAATTCTTTGGTGGAAGCTTCCTGGAAGGGGAAGTTTCAGTGGTGCTATCATTCAAAGAAAATTCAAGGCTGGGCGCGGTGGCTCACGCCTGTAATCCCAGCACTTTGGGAGGCCAAGGTGGGCGGATTACCTGAGGTCAGGAGTTCAAGACCAGCCTGACTCACTTCGTGGTGAAACCCCATCTCTACTAAAAATACAAACATTAGCCAAGCATGGTGGCACACACCTGTAATCCCAGCTACTCGGGAGGGTGAGACAGGAGAATTGCTTGAGCCTGGGAGACAGAGGTTGCAGTGAGCCGAGATAGTGCCACTGCACTCCTGCCTGGCTGACAGAGAGAGACTGTCTCAAAAAAAAAAGAAAAAAGAAAAAAGAAAATTCAAGCCCTTTGTGAAGGTTTTATAATGACCCTGACAAGGGTTCCTTGGGTCACGGAGAAGAGACCCTACCCAAATGAAGATGCCTTTACAAGTTTGGAGCGCTCACCCCTCTCTCTAGGCTTCCAAAGCTAAGTGATCCTTCCAAGCAAAATTGGAAAGCAGTCGGCTTGCAGGCAGGTGGTGGTGGCTTAGAGCTTCCTTTTAACCATTTATGGAGTAGGTCTTCATTTCTTGATGTAAATCCAAGCATCCCTCTGGTATCACATTCCATCTTCCTGAAGAACTTCTTTAACATTTCTTGTAATGCAGGTCTGATGAATTCTGTCACCTTCAGTTTGTCTGAAAAAGTATTTCACTTTCATTTTTGAAATATTTTCATTGGGTATGGTATTCTGATGAGTTTTTTCTTTTTAGCACTTAAAGTACGACCTTCTATTCTCTTCTAGCTTGCATAATTTCTGGTGAGAAGTGTGCTTTGTTCTTCTCAATGTAATATGTCTTTTCTCGTTTTCAAGACATTCTCTTAATCTTTGAGTTTTGGAAGTTTGAGTCTGATGTGTCTAGACATGTGTGGTGGTTTTAAAATATGCATGCATATTTTTAATGTATACTGCTATCTCTATATCCTTTAAAAGGTGAAGCTTAAAGGCTGGGCACGGTGGCTCACGCCTGTAATCCCAGCACTTTGGGAGGCTGAGGTGGGTGGAACACCTAGGTCAGGAGTTTGAAACCAGCCTGACTAACATGGAGAAACCTCATCTCTACTAAAAATACGAAATTAGCTGGACATGGAGGTGCATGCCTGTAATCCCAGCTACTTGGGAGGCTGAGGCAGGAGAATCGCTTGAACCCAGGAGACGGAGATTGCAGTGAGCCAAGATCACGCCACTGCACTCCAGCCTGGGCACAAGAGCAAAACTCCGTCTAGAAAAAAACAAAAACAAAAAAGTGAAGCTTAATTCTCCTTCCCTTGCATTTTTGGGACTTCTATTGTAATGAATGCAATATGGTGGGAATGGTGGTGTTCTGCTTCTGACGCTTAGGGCATGTAAGACATTGTGGCTTCTGCCTGCCTCTCCCTTAGATTGCTCTGGGGTACAAATTGTCATGTTGTAAGGACTTTAAGCTGATATGTTTTAGTCATCAGGAAATTATACTTATTTTATATAATTAATTGCCTAAGAAATGCTAAATGGATGAAGCGATACTGCAATGGGAAGAAACAAAGATAAAAACCCAAATCATGAGATTATGCCGTGGAGTCTTACTGATTTGTTCTTCCTGCAAACACTCGGTAAGCATCTATTGTGTGTATGAGTATGTCCAGGTAAGCTACAGAAATCAGGTAGAGGAAGGAAGACCCTAAAACAGTTTTCAACTTTAACCTGTTAAAATATGAGCCATAACTTTTTGGATACAGCTCTATTCCCCTCCCCCCCATTTTAAAAAGAAACTCTATTAGAATGTGGTTCATTTAACTTTTAAAAGTTAATCGACAATTTTTTTAGAGCAGCTTTAGGTTCACAGCAAAACGGAGTGGAAAGTATACAGCATTCCCATACCCCCCTCTCCTGCCCTAGTACCAACCCCCCCCAACAAAGCCTTCATTATCGATATTAGCATCAGATTGGAATATTTGGTACAATCAATGCACCAATATTGACACATACATCATAATTGACCAAAGTCCATAGTTAAAGTTCACTGTATTTACATTCTGTAGATTTTGACAAATGTATAATAACGTATGCCCACACTTGTAATATCATACAGAATAATTTCACTGCCCTAAAAATCCCCTGTGCTCCACCTATTGATCTCTCTCCACTTAAGTCCCTAGAAATCACTTCTGTTTTTACTGTCTCTATAGTTCTGTCTTTTCCATGATGCCATATAGTTGGAATCATACAGTATATAGGCTTTTCAGAATGACTTCTTTCACTTAGTGATAAGAATGTAAAGTTTCTCTATGTGTTTTTATGGCTTAATAGCTCATTTCTTTTTAGCATTAAATAATATTCCACTGTCTGGATGTACCAGAGTTTCTTTATCCACTTACCTATTGAAGGACATTTTAATTTCTTTCAAATTTTGACAATTATGAATAAAGCTGCTACAAACATTCATGTGTAGGTTTTTGGGTGTACGTAAGTTGTCAACATAGTTGAGTAAACACAAAGGAGCTCAGTTGTAGGATCATATGGTAAAAGTATGTTTGGTTTTGTAAACAACTGCTGTCTTCCAAAGTGACTGTATCCTTTTGCATTCCCTCCAGCAATGAATGAGAGTTCCTATTGCTCCACCTCCTTGCCAGTATTTGGTATGGTCAGAGTTTTGAATTTTAGCCATTCTAAAGTATAGTGGTATCTCATTGTTTTAATTTGCAATTCCCTAATGACATAGGATGTGGAGGATCTTTTCATATGCTTATTTGTCATCTGTATATCTTCTTTGGTGATGTGTCTTTTCAGATAGTTTGCCCGTTGTTTAATCTGGTTTTCTTATTGTTCAGTTGTAAGCATATATTTTGAATATTCCTGTATCACATATGTCTTTTGTAAATATTTTCTCCCAGTCTGTGACTTCTTTTCTCATTCTCTTGACATTTAACTTTGATATATTAAAACATTTTTTTGAAAGCATGTATTTCCTTATTTTTAAAACTGAGGCATAATTTTTGAGATATAAAACTTTGAGATATAATTCACATCATAAAATTCACTCTTTAGGCGGGGCACAGTGGCTCATGTCTGTAATCCCAGCACTTTGGGAGGCCGAGGCGGGTGGATCACTTGAAGTCAGGAGTTCCAGACCAGCCTGGCCAACATGGTGAAACCCTGTCTCTACTAAAAATACAAAAATTAGTAAGCTGTGGTGGCGCCTGCCTGTAATCCCAGCTACTCGGGAGGTTGAGGCAGGAGAATTGCTTGAACCCAGAAGGCAGAGGTTACAGTGAGCCAAGATCGCACCACTGCACTCCAGCCTGGGCAACACAGCGAGACTCTGTCTCAAAAAAATAAAAATAAAAAAGGCCAGGCGCTGTGGCTCACACCTATAATCCCAGCACTTTGGGAGGCCCAGGCGGGCGGATCACGAGGTCAGGAGATCCAGATCATCCTGGCTAACACGGTGAAACCCCGTCTCTACTAAAAATACAAAAAATTAGCCGGGCGTGGTGGTGGGTGCCTGTAGTCCCAGCTACTCGGGAGGCGGAGGCAGAAGAATGGCGTGAACCCGGCAGGCAGAGCTTGCAGTGAGCTGAGATCACGCCACTGCACTCCAGACTGGGTGACAGAGCAAGACTCTGTTTCAAGAAGAAAAAAAAAAAAATTCACCCTTTGAAGTGTACAATACAAGGATTGCACAAAGTTGTGCAACCACCACCACTATGTAATTCTAGAACATTTCATCACTCCAAAAAGAAACCCCCAAGTTCATTATCAGTCATTTCGATTCCCCTTTCCCATTACCTGGCAACCACTAATCTACTTTCGGTCTCTGTGAATTTGCCTATCTGGACATTTTCATATAAATAGAATCATCTACTATGTGGTATTTTGTAACTGGATTCTTTCATTTTGCATATTTCAAGGTTCATGTTGTAGTGTAAATCAATACTTCATTCTTTTCATGTCTGAATAATATTCTGTGTATATGTATAGATACACCATATTTTATCCATCCATTCATCAGTTTGATGAACATTTGGGTTGTTTCCACTTTTTAATTATTATGAAAAATGTTGCTATGTACATTGTGTGTAAGTTTTTGTGTGGCTGTATGTTTTCCTGTCTCTTAGGTATAAGCTAGGAGTAGAATTGCTGGGTTAGATGGAAACTCTATGTTTAACTTTTTGAGTGACTGTTAGGCTCTTTTCCAAAGTGGCTGCCTCACTTTACATTCCTACCAGTAGTGTATGAGAGTTCAATTTCTCCAAATCCTCACCAACACTTGTTATTGCCTATCTTTTTTATTATAGTCATTTTGGCGGGTATGTATAGTGGATTTGATTTGCATTTCCCTGATAGCTAATGACACCGAACATCTTTCATGTGCTTTTTAACCTTTTATGTATCTTCTTTGGATAAATGTCTATTTAGATCCTTTGCCTGTTTTAAAATTGGGTTAATTTGCTTTTTATGGTTGTGTTTTAAGAGTTCTTTATATACTCTGTATACTAGACTCTTATCAAATCTGAGTTTCAAAGATTTTCTCCCATTCTATAGGTTGTCTTTTCACTTTCTTTTTCTTTTTTTTTGAGATGGAGTTTCGCTCTTGCCCAGGCTGGAGTGCAATGGCACAATCTTGGCTCACTGCAATCTCTGTCTCCTGGGTACAAGCGATTCTCCTGTCTCAGCCTCCCAAGTAGCTGGGATTACAGGCACACGCCACCACTCCCAGCTATTTTTTTTTTTTTTTTTGTATTTAGTAGAGACAGGGTTTCACCATGTTGGCCAGGCTGGTCTCAAACTCCTGGCCTAAGGTGATCTGCCCACCTCAGCCTCCCAAAGTGCTGGGATTACAGGCGTGAGCCAGCACGCCCAGCCAAAACTTTTCAATTTGGATGAAGTTGCATTTATTTTTTCTTGTTGTTTGGTTTTAGTGTCATATCTAAGAAACCATTGCCTAATCCTAAAAAAAAACTGTGGTAAAACATACAAAATATAAAACGTCACAATTTTGACCATTTTAAAGTTTATAATTCAAAGGCATTTAGTATACTGACAATGTTATGCAACTATCACCACTATCGGGTTCCAGAACGTTTCATCACCCGAAAGAAAATCCTACACCAGTTAAGCAATTACTCCATTCCTCCCTTTCCCTATCCTGGCAACCACTCATCTACTTTTTGTCGCTCTATATATGCATATTCTGGACATTTCATATATAGGAAATAATACAATATGTGGCCTTTTATGTCTGGCTTATTTTACTTAGTATAATGTTTTCAAGGTTCATCCATGTCGTAGCATGTATCAGTACTTCATCCTTTCTATGGCTGAATAATATTAATGATATGGATACACCACATTTTGTTTATCCATTCATCAGTTGATGCATATTAGGGTTGTTTCTATCTTTGGGCTATTGTGAATAGCAAAAGAAAAAAGAAAAAACATGCAGAACTTTTTGTTTGAACATCTGCATGTCTCTTAGGTATAACCTAGGAGTAGAATTGTTGGGTCATATAGAAACTCTGTTTAAGCTTTTCAGTGACCGGTAGACTCTTTTCCAAAGTGGCGGCATCATTTTACATTCCTACCAGCAATAAATGAGGGTTCACATTTTTCCACATCCTTGCCAACAGTTATTTCATTACTTTGTTTTTGTTTTACCTTATAGTCATCCTAGTGGGTGAGAGTAGTATCGCGTCATTTTGATTTGTATTTCTCTAATGACTAATGATATTGATGATACTGAGTATCTTTTCATGTACTCATTGGCCTTTTGTACATCTTTTTTTGAAGAGATTACAACTATATCTTCTTCTAAGAGTTTTATCATTGTTTTAACTCTTGTGCTTAGGTCTTTGATCCCGTGTAAGTTAATTTTTGTGTATGGTGTGGGGTAGGGGTCCAGTTTATTTTTTTGTATGTGGATATTCAGTTGTCCCAACATCATTTACTATTCTTTCCACATTATGTTTCATAATTTTTTCATTGAATGTTGGACATCACGTGTAGAACAGAAGAGACTGTAATAAATAGTATTTATGCCTAGAAATGAGCATGCCTCTCCTTTTCATAGGCTGTTTGTGTGGGTAATTGAGGTAATTTAGTCCAGATTTGATCTGGGTTTAGGTTTTATTGTTACTATGGTTACCTTCAGTGTACTATCAGATTTTTTTTTTTTTCTCTGTTGCCCAGACTCTGGAGTGCAGTGGCGTGATCTCGGCTCACTGCAAGCTCCACCTCCTGGGTTCACACCATTCTCCTGCCTCAGCCTCCCGAGTAGCTGGGACTATAGGCACCCGCCACCACGCCTGGCTAATTTTTTGTATTTTTAGTAGACACGGGGTTTCACCATGTTAGCCAGGATGGTCTCGATATCCTGACCTCGTGATGAACCCGCCTCGGCCTCCCAAAGTGCTGGGATTACAGGCGTGAGCCACCGCACCCGGCCTGCTATCAGCTTTGAATTCCTCTAGCATTACCTTATGGTTAGGGTGGAGGCTGGGTTGGTACAACTTTATCAATTTTTTTATGTTTCAAAATTGATTAATTTTCCTCATCTCTTGACTCTTTCTATTCTTTTTGTCCTCATGGGTAATTACTTTTTTTCCACATTTAAAAATTGTGAAAAAATATACATAATGTAAAATTTGCCATCGTAACCATTTATACATGTATAGTACAGCAGTATTAAATACACTTTAAGGCCGGGCATGGTGGCTCATGCCTGTAATCCCAGCACTTTGGGAGGCTGAGGCGGGCAGATCACCTGAGGTCGGGAGTTCGAGACCAGCCTGACCAACATGGAGAAACCCCGCCTCTGCTGAAAATACAAAATTAGCCAGGCGTAGTGGCACATGCCTGTAATCCCAGCTACTAGGGAGGCTGAGGCAGGAGAATTGCTTGAACCTGGGAGGCGGAGGTTGTGGTGAGTTGAGATCGCGCCATTGCACTCCAGCCTGGACAACAAGAGCAAAACTCCATCTCCAAAAATAAATAAATACACTTCATATTTTGTGCAACCATCACCACCGTCCATCTTCATAATTCTTTTCATCTTGAAAAACAGAAATTCTATACCCATGAAACAGTAGCTTCCTATTCCTTCGTCTCCACAGACTCTGGAAACCACCATTCTACCTTCTGTCTCTGTGATCTTAACAATTCTGTGTACTTCATATAAGTAGAATCATACAATATTTGTCTTTTTTGTTAATTTGTATGTGTGTGTGTGTGAGGCAGAGTTTCACTCTGTTGCATGAGCTGGAGTGCAGTGGTGTGATCATGGCTCGCTGCAACTTCAACCTCCCAGGCTTAAGTGACCCTTCTACCTCAGCCTCCCCGGTAGCTGGCATCACACGCAAGTGCTACCATACCCAGCTAATTTTTTTCATGTTTTTGTAGAGAAGGGGTCTTGCTATATTGCCCAGGCTGATCTTGAATTTCTGAGCCCCAGCAATGCTTTCACCTTAGCCTCCCAAAGTGCTGAGATTACAGATGTGAGCCACTATGCCTGGCCAACTTTGTCTTTTTGTGACTGGCTTATTTCACTTTGCATAATGTCCTTAAGGTTCATCCATATTGTAGCATATGTTAGAATTTCCTTCTTTTTTATGACTGAATAATATTCTATTGTATGTATATACTACATTTTGCTTATCTGTTATCTGTTGATGGATACTTGTGTTGCTTCCATGTTTTAGCTATTGTGAATAACGCTGCTCTATGGAATATGGGTATACAATATCTCTTTGGGACTCTGCTTTCAATTCTTTTGGTTATATACCCAGAAATGAAATTGCTGGATTATATGATAATTACATATGTAATTGTTTTAAGAACCTCCATATTGTTTTCGACAGTGGCTGTGTCATTTTACATTCCCGCCAACAGTGCAAAAGGGTTCCAACTTCTCCAAACCCTCATCAACACTTGTTATTTTCTGATTTTTAAAAATTGCAAACATCCTAATGGTCTGAGGTGGTGTCTCATTGTAGTTTTGATTCACATTTCCCTAATGATTACTGATGTTGAGTATGTGTTTTTGTGCTTATTGGCCATTTGTATATATTCTTTGGAAAAATATTTATTCAAATCCTTTGCCCATTTTAAATTATTTTTTATTGAAAAAATTGATACAGGGTCTTACTGTGTCAACCGGGAGGGAGTGTGGTGGCATGATCTCTGTTCACTGCAACCTCCATCTCCCGGGCTCAAGCAATCCTTCCACCACAACCTCTCAAGGAGCTGGGACCACAGGCATGCCCCACCACGCCCAGCTAATTTTTTTGTATTTTTGGTAGAGGTGGGGTTTTGCTATATTGTCCAACCTGGTCTCAAAACTCCTGGTCCCAAGCAATCTGATTACCTCCACCTCTCAAAGTGCTGGGCTTACAGGCGTGAACCATTGCGCCCAGCTCTTTGCCATTTTTTTTTTTTTTTTTTTTTGAGACAGAGTTCCGCTCTGTTGCCCAGGCTGGAGTGTAGTGGCGCGATCTCGGCTCACCACAACCTCCGCCTCCCAGGTTCAAGCAATTCTCCTGTCCAGGCCTCCTGAGTTGTTGGAACTACAGGCGCATGCCACCACGCCCAGCTAATTTTTTTGTATTTTTATTAGAGACGGGGTTTCACCATATTGGTCAGGCTGGTCTCCAATTCCTGACCTCAGGTGATCCACCCACCTCAGCCGCCCAAAGTGTTGGGATTACAGGCATGAGCCACCATGCCTGGCTCCATTTTTAAATCATGTTGTTTTGTTTTTTCACTGTTGAGATTTATGAGTTCTCTATATAGTGTGGATATTAATCTCTTATCATATGTGTAATTTGCAAATATTTTCTCCAATTCTGTGGGTTGCCTTTTTACTCTCTAGATAGTGTCTTTCATTGCACAGATTTTTAAAATTTTTATGAGCCCCAATTTATTTATTTTTTGTTGCCTGTGCCTTTGGTGTCATTTCCAAGAAATCACTGTCAAATTCACAGTTGTAAAGATTAGCCCTATATTTTCTTTTAGAATTTTATACTTTTAGGTCTTACATTTAGGTCTTTGTTCCATTTTGAGTTGATTTTTGTATATGGTTAGATAAGGGTCCAAATTTATCCTTTTGCATGTGGATATCCATATTTCCCAGCACCGATTGTTAAAAGACTGTTTTTTTCCCCATTGAATAATCTTGGCACCCATATAAAAAATCATTTGTTCATATATGCAAGCATTTACTTCTAGGCTGTGTATTCTATTCAATTGGTTTATATGTCTGTCTTTATGCCAGTATCATACTATTTGATTACTACAGCTTGTAATAAGTTTTCCAGTCAGGAAGTATGAGTCTTCCAGCTTTGTTCTTCTTTTTTTAAGATGATTCAGGGTCCCTTGAAGTTCCATATGAATTTTAGGATGGGTTTTTCTATTTCTGCTAAAAGCATCATTGGGATTTTGATAGGGATTGCACTGACTCTGTAGATTACTATGGAAACATTGATAAATTCTTGTATGTTGAATCATCCTTGCATTCCAGGAATAGATCCTACTTGGTCATGGTGTATAATCCTTTTAATATGCTGCTAAATGTGGTTTGCTAGTGTTTTGTTGAGTATTTTTGCATCAGTGCTCATAAAGGATATTGGCTTGTAGTTTTCTTTTCTTGTAGTGTCTTTGTGTGGCTTTGGTATCAGGGCCCCATAGAATGAGTTAGAAAGTGTTATCTCCTTTTTTTTTTAGGTTTGAGAAGGATTGGTGTTAGTTCTTTAAATGTTGGGTAGAATTCAGCAGTGCATCAGTTCCAGAGCTTTCATTTCTCAGGAGACTTTTTATTACTCATTCAATCTCCTTGCTAGTTATAGGTTTATTCAGATTTTCTATTTCTTTGTGATTTAGCTGTGATAGGTTTTGTGTTTGTAAAAATTTATCAGTTTCATCCAGGTTATCCAATTTGTTGGCATGTAATCGTTCATAGCACTCTCTTATAATCCTTTTTATTTCTGTAGAGTCACTAATAATGCCCTTGCTTTCATTTCTGATCTTAGTAATTTGACTCTTCTCCCTCTTTTGCTTAGTCCCTCTAGCTAAAGGTTTGTCAATTTATTGATCTTTTTAAAGAATCGATTTCTAGTTTCATTGATTTTCTCTGTTGTTTTCCTGTTCTTATGTTATTTCTCTTCTCATCTTTATTATGTCCTTCCTTCTGTTGGCTTTGAGTTTAGTTTGTTTTTGTTTTTCTAGTTCCTTAAATTGCAGGTTGTTGTTTGAGATCTTTTTTTTTAATGTAAGCATTTATAGCTATAAATTTCCTCCTTAGCACTGCTTTCACTGCATTCCATAAGTTTTGGTGTGGTGCATAAAGTTACAGGTCATTATCATGTATCTGTAAGTATTTTCTAATGTCTCTTGTGATTTCTTCAATTCATTGTTTGATTTTCATAATTTTATGAATTTTTGCCATTTTACTACTGTTACTGATTTCTAATTTATCTTGCTCTGTCAGAGAAAATGCTTTGATATCTATGTTTTAAATTCTAGGGCTGCGTTGGCAGCAGTGTCGGCGGTGGTGATGGCGGGTGGTGGGTGGGAAATGGCGGAGTATCTGGCTTCCATCTTCGGCACTGGGAAAGACAAAGTCAGCTGTTCATTTTATTTCAGAATTGGAGCATGTTGTCATGGAGACAGGTGCTCTCGGTTGCACAATAAACGGACGTTTAGACAGACCATTGCCCTCTTGAACATTTACGGTAACCCTCAAAACTCTTCCCTGTCTGCTGATGGTTTGCGCTGTGCCATGAGCGATGTTGAGATGCAGGAACACTATGATGAATTTTTTGAGGAGTTGTTGTTGTTGTTGTTGTTGTTTGAGATGGAGTTTTGCTTTGTTGCCCAGGCTGGAGTGCAGTGGCGCTATCTCGGCTCACTGCAAGCTCCGCCTCCTGGGTTCACGCCGTTCTCCTGCCTCAGCCTCCCGAGTAGCTGGGACTACAGGCGCCCGCCACCACGCCCGGCTAATTTTTTGTATTTTTAGTAGAAACAGGGTTTCACCGTGTTAGCCAGGATGGTCTCGATCTCCTGACCTCGTGATCCGCCCGCCTCGGCCTCCCAAAGTGCTAGGATTACAGGCATGAGCCACCGTGCCAGGCCTTTTGAGAGTTTTTTACAGAAATGGAGGAGAAGTATGGGGAAGTTGAAGAGATGAACGTCTGTGACAACCAGGGAGACCACCTGGTGGGGAACGTGTAGAACGTGTACGTCCTTTCGCCGTGAGGAAGATGCGGAAAAGGCTGTGATTGACTTGTATAACCGTTGGTTTAACGGACAGCCAATCCACGCCGAGCTGTCGCCTGTGACCGACTTCAGAGAAGCCTGCTGCAGTCAGTATGAGATGGGAGAATGCACACAAGGCAGCTTCTGCAACTTCATGCATTTGAAGCTCATTTCCAGAGAGCTGAGGCGGGAGCTGTATGGGTGCCATCCGAAGAAGCATAGATCAAGATCCCAGTCCCGGGAGCGTAGTTCTCGGTCTAGAGACCATGGCGGTGGCGGTGGTGGAGGCGGCGGCAGGCGGGAGCGTGACAGGAGGTGGTTGAGGGATCATGAAAGATCAGGGCAATTCTGAGCCATGCCATTTCTACCATATGTCTGCTAGAAAGTGTTGTGGTTGATTGACCAAACCAGATCATAAGGGGAATTTTTTTTTAAAACAACAACAACAAACCACAAAGTTAATTTTTTGAATAAAATTTGTTGTGATAACAGTAATAAATAAATAGATTCTATTGAGGCATTTTGTGGCCTAACATATGGTCTATCCTGAAAAATGTCCTGTGTACACTTGAGAAGAATGTATATGCTGTTGTTGTTGAGCACAGTGTTCTGTATATGCTCATTATATCTCGTTGGTTTATTGTCGTGTTTAAATCCTTTATTTCCTTACTTCTTTCTGGTTCTTCTATCTAATACTGAGAGTAGGGTATTGAAGACTCCAACTATTATTGTAGAACTTTCTATTTCTCCCTTTAGTTCTGCCAGTTTTTGTTTCATGTATTTTGATGGTCTTTTTAGGTATATAAATTTTCATAATTGTTGTATCTTATTCCTGTATTAAACCTTGTATTTATAATATTCTTGGCTGGGCCCCATGGCTCATGCCTGTAATCCCAGCAGTGTAGGAGGCCAAGGAAAGAGGATAGCTGGAGCCCAGGAATTTGAGACCAGCCTGGGCAACATAGTGATACCTCATCTCTACAAATAATTAAAAATATTTGCTGAGCATGGTGGTACATGTTTGTGGTCCTAGCTACTTGGGAGGCTGAAGTGGGAGGATCGCTTAAGCCCAGGTGGTTGAGATGGCAGTGAGCTGTGATCATGCCACTGCACTCCAGCCTAGGCCACAGAGACCTCGTCTTAAAAAATAATAATATAATGTTCTTTTCTCTTGTAAATTTTTAAAAAATGTCTTTAAAAAATTGAAGTGTATAGTGTCTGATGTTGGTATAAGCATTCCTGCTCTCTTTTGGTTACTATTTGCGTGGAATATGTTTTTTCCATCCTTTCACTTTCAATCTATTTGTCTCTTTGGAGCTAAAGTGAGACTCTGGTAGACAGCATATTGTTGGATTATGTTATTAAAATCAATTCTGACAATCTTTGCCTTTTGATTGGAGAGTTTAACCCATTAACATTTAAAGTTGACTGCGAGTGGTGGTTCATGCCTGCAATCCCAACACTTTGGGAAGTTGAGGCAGGTGGATCACCTGAGGTCATGGGTTTGAGCCCAGCCTGGCCAACATGGTGAAACCCCATCTCTACTAAAAATACAAAAATTACTAACTCTGCATCTTCTCTAAGACATTATGATTACTTTCTAAATTTCCCAGTATATGCAATTGCTTTTGAATATCCTAGTCTTAAATGTCTGGCTACCAACAGGAAGTAAAAGAGAAAAATGAAGAGGGAGGGAAGGGTGCAAGCACATTAATCCTAGACAGCACTTCAGCCAGAGGGGCTTGCTACAATGGGAGGAGGTATAAGAATAATGGTCTCTGCCTCTTTTTATGCCTGTGATCAGAAGTAGCAATCAGAGCACAGATCCTAAGTATTTGAAAGACAGGGTCCTTTTGCCCCTCCTGGCTCCTGGAAGCTGCATTCCAGCTGTTCTAGGAACACGTGCACAGCTGCCTGCCATGGGGCTGGGAGGTGGGGGATGGGTAGTTGTTACTGTGCTAAGAGTTGAAATTGAACAAAATTAACCACAATTTATCATCTAAGCCTTCCCTGGGAAGTCGCAGAACTCCAATAGACTCCAGAGCTCCAAAATAGTTACATCAGACAAATTCTGCCACTGTAATTGTCTGGGTGGGGAGACAGATTCCTGATGCTTCCTACTCTGGCATCTTCCCAGAATCCTCTGGGTATTTACCTTTTAAAAAATTATTTTACTCTTTTTTTTTGTGTGTGTGGGGGGTGTCTAAGGTGGGGAGCATACTATATAGTGCTTAATCTGCCATACTTTTTTCTCTTTTTTCCTTCCTTTTCCTCGCTTTGCCCTAGTATTTTATGTAGATTGTGTTGGTTGACTTCTCAATTTTGCCCACAGGTTAAAATATATCTAAATAGGGTTATGATAGAACCAGAGGAAGAATGCTCATCACACAGAGATCCTTGATATGGAACAAGTTGTAGCAACTGATGAGACTTTGCTATGTTTATCTTTGTAAGAGTAAATTGCTCTGTGCAAGGGATAGGTGGCATTACGTAGCGTGAAGTTTTTTTTGAAAATACAGGTTTGGGAAGATCTATATTGTTGTTGGGTTAAGTCTGAAGATTCTGAGAATATTTGGAAGAGAGAGATTATAATGATGGGCCCTGAGATTTAAGTGGACTTGGAGAAAGAGGGATCAGATGGGCAATAAGAAGGTTGGGGTTAATGGACTAGAAGTATCAATAAGGTCACAGAATTACACACAGAATGTACTCCAGTTCATATAAGTGAACTGGAAGATGAAAGATAATTGGCTAGAGAGGGATAGGGGCTTCGGAGGAAGTTTAATTACTTGTGATGAAATTTAGACTGTGACCATAACATAGGTGATTTAGGTGGGCAGGGGCAGAAAAAAGACCACTAAATGTGAGGAGAGCAGGGCTTTAGGTCATTCATGGAAGGTTGAAGCCACCAAGAATGATGGCATGTGCTGGGGAAGAGAGAAAGTGACACAGGTACTAAAATCTTCCCTGTGACACAGTGATTGGGAGATCAGTAGGCAGGACAATTAGAGAAAGGCTGGTATAGTCGAACTGATGAATTCAAAAGAGCTGAGAGGAAGGATGAGAACTAATTGAGGAGGAGCAGTGGAGGCTCACTTCTGGGTCTAACAATGAAAGCAGCCTCTGCCTAAGAGGGCTACAGGTAAGCAGTCTTAGGGGACAGCCAGAGTAAGCTGTGTCTTTAGGGGACAGTTAAGATGAAGAAGTGAAGCAAATATTCCAAATACAAGGTGCATATAGAAAAGAATCTACCGATTTTAGAAAGGAAGTGCTGGAGGACACAGTGGAAAGGCTGGAGAGGGAAGCAGTATGTGATGATGTGGTGGTAGATGACCACTGAGGTTAGGGTCAGACTTCTTGGGATTACTATAACGAATCTGTGAGGGATGGTATTAGACTTGAAGACTCTTAAGAGGATGGTGGGCTAATGGTTTCAGGATTGTGGTTGAGGCTATATTCCTTATCTCTGCAACTGATCATGACTCTGGAGGGTCACACTGGTGACTGCCCTCCCTGACCATTCCATATTCCCCTTGTCCTGTGTCACTGCCTTAGACCACTATGGTTTGTTGTCCAGTGGATGACCCAAATCTTCCTCCTTTAAGAATATGAGTCCTTATTACTCCTAGTATCTAATATCTAAGTCAATTAGGACCACAACACTAGAAAAAATTGTAGAAATGCATAAAAGACGAAAATTAATCTGAGAAAATCACTCAGAATGAAGCCTCTTTTTCAAATATACCTACTATTTTTTCTTACTGCCCTTTCTTGCTTTATGTTTTTTAGTCTTCTCTCCATGTCTGAACATTTTAAGATTTTTTTTTTTTTTTTTGAGGCGGAGTCTCGTTCTGTCACCCAGGCTGGAGTGCAGTGGTGTGATCTCAGCTCACTGCAACCTCTGCCTCCTGGTTCAAGCAATTCTCCTGCCTCAGTCTCCCCAGTAGGTGGGATTATAGGCACATGCCACCACACCCAGCTAATTTTTGTATTTTTAGTAGAGATAAGGTTTCACCATGTTGGCCAGGCTGACTTGAACTCCTGACCTCAGGTGATCTGCCTGCCTTGGCCTCCCAAAGTGCTGGGATTACAGGCATGAGCCACTGTACATGGCTGGGATTTCCCATTCTTGGTTTCAAGTCTAGTTGTGTATTAAACTTTCTTGTCTTATTACATATATTAAATATTTCTGTTTGAGGTGGAAGAGAGTTTGCCTGAAATTACTCTCTGTTGTATATTGGTCAGAAGTCATCCCAAATCATTCTACACAATGCAAACAAAGGGTCTTTTAAAACACAAATCTGGTCATTTCATTCCCTTAGCATGGCATTCAGGGCACTTTGAAATCAGGAAACTTGCCTCTCTAGCTTCATTTTCCACCAATTTCCTCTCTTCTCCACACTCATACACAGCTACTATACTCCAGCCACAGACAGTAACCCTTCTCTTTCCTTTCTCTCATAATTGTATTTAGGGTGTGTGTTAATAATAAATTTACATTTTCCCTAATTTTTGCATACTGTCAAGATGGGATTGCAAAAGTAGTAATGACTATTTCCTGAGAGGCTAGACCCAGAAAACAGTAGCTCCATGTAGCATCGCCTCTGGACATAGTAGTGCAGTATGACCTTAACATTATTTAATTAAAAGTGCTGTCAATTAGATTTGTATTAAATTATTTATTAGGTTTACATTAAGTTATATATTAAGAAATGTATATTTTAGTATTAAATCATCCTTTCTAAAACTTGATGTTTTTTCACTTGTCAGGTCTTATTTTTATGCCCTTCAATATGGTTTTCTTGTTAAATTTATTAAGTATAATTTTGAACAGGTAATACATTAATATGGTTCAAAGCTTACTAAAAAGTATTTAAAATAACATAGCAGTGTTCCCCTTCCATTGCTGTCCCTGAATTGCCCAGTTCTGCTCCCTTCCAGAAATAGGTTATGTGTAGAAGAGCAAATATATATATACCTATTTGTTGCAATTGTAAATGGAATGTTTTTCTTTTGATACTGTTTCTAGTTGATTATTGCTAGAATACAGAAAAAACAATTGATTTTTGTACAGTTATCTTTTATTCAGACACTTATCCATGCTAATAGGCTTCTACTATAGCCTTTTTTTTTTTTTTGGAGATAGGCTGGAGTGCAGTGGCACGATCTCATCTCACAGCAACCTCCACCTCCTGAGCTCCAGTTATATTCCCACCTCAGCCTCCCAAGTAGCTGAGACCACAGGTGGATGCCACCACAACCAGCTAATTTTTTGCAGAGATGGGGTTTCACCATGTTGCTCAGGCTGGTCTTGAACTCCTGGGCTCAAGCAGTCCACCTGCCTTGACCCCTCAGTGTTCTGTTGAGATTACAGGTGTGAGATACTGCACCTGTTTTTTTTTTTTTTTTTTTTTTTAAGAGATAGGGTGTCACTCTGCCACCCAGCCTGGAGTGCAGTGGCATGATCATAGCTCACTGTAACCTCATACTCCTAGACTCAAGGAATCTTCCACCTCAGCCTCGAGTAGCTGGGTATACAGGCATGCACTACCATGCCTGGCCTGAAATAACTTTATACTTAAAAGTTGCAAAAACAATACAAAGAATTCATGTACATCATTCCCTCAGATTTCCCAAATGTTAACATCTTTTTTTTGTTTGTTTTTGAGACAGTCTCACTCTGTCATCCAGGCTGGAGTGCAGTGGTGTGATGTAGGCTCACTACAACCTCTGCCTCCAGGTTCAAGGGATTCCTGTGCCTCAGCCTCCCAAATAGCTGGAATTACCGGCATGTGCCACTATGTCCGGCTAATTTTTGTACTTTAATAAAGAGGGGTTTCACCATGTTGTCCAGGCTGGTCTCGAACTCCAGACCTAGGTGATCCACCTGCCTGGGCCTCCCAAAGTGTTGGAATTACAGGTGTGAGCCACCATGCCTTGCCAACACCTTACTTTTTGCTTTATCATTCCGTGTGTGTGTGTGTGTGTGTGTGTGTGTGTGTAGTTATCTGAAATACTGGCAAACCAAATTAGAGGTTTACCTTTAACCTCTAAATACTTACATTTTCTGAAAACAAGGACGTTCTCTTCTGTAATCATAGTATAATTATCAAAATGAGAAAATTTAACAACACTAGCACTCTCTAGACATTTAAATAACATTTAAGTTCTTGATGTAATAAATTAATAAATTTCCTGACACTGAGCCTTGCATTGCTAAAATAAACCTTATGTAATCAGAGTGTGCAATTCAACTTGATTTTATTTGGGATTTTTGCATCTATGGCCATAGGTGAGATTAGGCTATAGCATTCTTTCTGGCACTTTATCAGGTTTGAGTACAATAATAGTTAAAACTCATCTATTTTGGGGGTTGAGTGATGGCTATAGGAGTGTGTTTACTTTGTAATCATTCACTGAGCTGCATACTTGTGATTTGTACAATTTCCCATATATTTTTCAATTAAAAAGTTTAATTAAAAACAATTTTTTATTTTTGGGACATGGTCTCGCTCTGTCACCCAGGCTGGAGTGCAGCAGCACAGTCTTGGCTCACTGCAACCTCTGCCTCCTGGGCTTAAACCATCTTCCCCACCTCAGCCTCCCAAGTAGCTGTTGACTACAGGCAAGCACCATCATGCCTGGCTAATTTTGGTATTTTTAGTAGAGGTGGGGTCTTGCCATGTTGCCCAGGCTGGTCTCAGACTCCGGGGCTCAAGTGATCTGCCTGCCTTGGCCTTCCAAAGTGCTAGGATTACAGGTGTGGGCCACCACCATGCCTGGCCATCAATCTTTTACAAGGATAAAATTTTATTTATTTTTCACCATCTTATGGTGCTCAAAAAGGATAAAATTTTAACCACCTTTCCAGTTTCTTCTTGGGTAACCAACTGGCCTATTCAAACTATTTCTAGGATCAGTGTTTGCTGGGAAATTATCCATTTCCTCTGATTTCAAATTTGTTGCCATAGAGTTCTATTCTTCTTCTCAATTCCTCAATATATATGGTTATGTCTAATTTCTCATGCCTAATTTTGTTAATTTTTTTGGCTCCTTTCCCCTTTTATCAGGCTCAGGAGGTTTTATCTATTTTATTGGTGCTTTCAAAGAATTTTTTAATTTATTCTTTTTCTTTTTCCTACCTTGTTAAGTTTAGCTTTTATCTTTATTGGTCCATTTTCTATTTTTTATGGTTTAAGTGTGTTTCTTTCCTAAATTTCTTTCTTGTTTTTCTTCTTTCACTATATTGAGGAATTTCCCTAAATTTTAAAATCACTACACACCTTTGAGTTTTTCTTTTTGAACAATAAACATGTTACACTTTCATTTCCAAGTCTGGTCTCATGTATTCTAGGATCCTCAATAAGGAATTTGGGGCCGGGTACAGTCGTTGACGCTTGTAATCTCAGCACTCTGGGAGGCCAAGGTGGGTGGATCACTTGAGACCAGGAGTTTGAGACTAGCCTGGCAAACATGGTGAAACCCCGTCTTTACTAAAAATACAAAAAAAATTAGCTGGGTATGGTGGCATATGCCTGTAGTCCCAGCTACTGAGGAGGCTGAGGCATGAGACCTGCTTGAACTGGAGGTGGAGGTTGCAGTGAGCCAAGATTGCACCACCGCACTCCAGCCTGGGCGACAGAGCAAGACTCTGTCTCAAAAAACAAAACAAAACAAAAGAAATCTGGGTCTCACCTTGCTGCATTGTCTCAGAGCTCAAATCCTGGCCACAGCAACATGGGACAAATAAAAATATGCTGAGCAAACAAACAATACTTTTCTGTTCCAGAGCCCACTGAGAAGATCTGCACTTGCTGCAGGTCCCATCCACTCACCCAAGTATAATAATAAAGGAACATCTGTCATATGCCTGCACTGTGCCAGGTTCTGTGAATGGCTGAACAGCTTGGCATCTGCCCTCTTAGAACTTACATTCTAGTGATGAAGACACAGAACAAGTAGGACAAGTGAGCTGAGCCTGGGATGCTATGGAAGTAAAAGATATGGGTCCAACACCACCTAGGAGTTCTGGCAGAGAATCTCTGGAAGAAGTAATTCTTTTTTTGTTTGTTTTTGTTGGAGACGGAGGCTGGCTCTGTCACCAGGCTGGAGTGCAGTGGCACAATTTCGGCTCACTGCAACCTCCACCTCCCGGGTTCAAGCGATTCTCCTGCCTCAGCCTCCCGAGTAGCTGAGACTACAGGCGCCCGCCACCACGCCTGGCTAATTTTTGTATTTTTAGTAGAGATGGGGTTTCACCATGTTGGTCAGGATGGTCTCAATCTCTTGATCTCGTGATCTGCCCCTACATGGCCTCCAGAGTGTTGGGATTACAGGCATGAGCCACCACGCCCGGCCAGAAGTGATTCTTAATTAGGTTCCTTAGAATCTAAGGTTCTACCCCTGTCTCCTTATCCTATTCTCAGGAAGGTGGCCATTGGCTTTTCTTGTATAAAAGTTATCTGATTTTAAGTTATATGCCTAGTATTCCTGGCCACAGTTAACTGAACCAACGGACTGACAGCCGGGCATAAGACCTCTATCTAGTAGGAATACTGCACACAGGCTGGTTACTAGCTGACTTAACTAGAGCCTCTATGGGAAGTCTAAACATCAAATAGAAAGGAGCAGAAACAGAGATAGCAGGAGAAAAAGCAGAAAAAGAATAGTAAGGTTATAAAAATGGCAGTCGCAAACCCTATGGTATTGAATTAAAACCGTATCTAAACTCATGATTTTTATTTATTTTTAAAAATATGAAACGGAGTCTTGCTCTGTCACTCAGGCTGCAGTGCAGTGGTACAATCACAGTTCACTACAGCCTCAACCTTCTGAACTCAAGCGATCCTCCTGCCTCAGCCTCCTACGTAGCTAGGATTACAGGAATGCACCACCATGCCTGGCTAATTTTTTATTTTTTAAACGTTTGGAGGATGAGGTCTTGCTATGATGCGCAGGCTG
The DNA here is from genome assembly GCF_000001405.40 of Homo sapiens. Lineage (NCBI taxonomy): Eukaryota > Metazoa > Chordata > Mammalia > Primates > Hominidae > Homo > Homo sapiens. The sequence goes on from NC_000011.10 coordinate 72,289,792, forward strand.
GTCTTGAACTCCTGGGCTCAAGTGATCCTCCCACTTTGGCCTCCCAAAGTCCTGGGATACAGGCACGAGCCACCATACCTGGCTCACGGTTTTTAATAACATACAGATGGATAGAATAATAAATTCAGGTGCTTGTATTTGCATGTTTTAACATATATACATATATGTTTTCTAGCTCTGTCTGCTGAGCAGGCCTACAAGCAATGACACTCCGCCAATGATACTCTAGCCAGGAGTATATATTCTGTCCAGATCTTGGTTTCCAGTGGCATCAAGAAACAACTTGGTTTCTAAGTTCCTTTTTTCTGGAATAAAAGGAACTGGGAGCTTCTTAGAGAATGACTGATGCCAGGGCTGAGATAGGGAAAATGTGAGGAAGCCTGAAACATCTTGTGGTGCCAGAAAATGCTTAAAAAGTGACAGGGGCAATGTCGAAACAACACAGTGCCAACTTCAATGAGTTCTCACTGGCCAAATCTGAGCCAATTTGAGCAACCAAATAAACTGTTAGCATTAGATTGTAGCCTGTAGAATAAAACAGATATCCACTCATTCATACTGATATAAATTATCAAATAAATAAATGGGGAAAAGGGACAGCTCTTCCTTATAGTAGAATACCAATTAATAAATACAGGTAAAATAATGAAACAAAGTCACCATTAGGCAAGCATAACATTAATACCTGTTATAAGCAAGAATCATTGATGATGGAAATGAAAATCAGTAGGCAAAATTTTAAGAATAAGACATTCACATAGCTTCAAAGTGGAAGATTCTTGTTAATTTCAAAGGGAAAATTCCTAATTTTACAGTGGAGAAACCTGGCACACACCACCTTAGCCATGTGATCAAAGTTACCACCACCTAGTCTAGGTGTGGTGGCTCATGCCTGTAATCTCAGCACTTTGGGAGGCCGAGGTGGGTGGATCACCTGAGGTCAGGAGTTCAAGACCAGCCTGGCCAACATGGCGAAAACCTGTCTCTACTAAAAATACAAAAATTAGCTGGGTGTGGTGGTGGGCACCTGCAATCCCAGCTACTCAGGAGGCTGAGGCAGGAGAATCACTTTGAACCCAGGAGGCAGAGGTTGCAGTGAGCCGAGATTGCGCCACTGCACTCCATCCTGGGTGACAGAGCGGGACTCCGTCTCAAAAAAAAAAAAAAAACCAAAACAAAAAGTTACCACCACCCTCCGCTAGGAGGCACTAAGAATAGCACAGTATCACTTCTGTGGTTGTCTTGGCAAAAATGCAGATCCTCAATCATATCATGTAAAAACATTAAACAAACTAAAACTGGGGAATATTCTATAAAATAACTGGCCTGGACTCTTCCAAAGTGTCAAGGTCATGAAAGATAAAGACCAAGAAACTGTCACAGGCTGACAGAGATGAAGGAAACACCACAACAAAATGCAATATGGGACCCTGGACCAGACAAAGGACATCATCGGGAAAACTGGCAAAATTTGAATGTCCGTAGATTAGTTAGTAGTAGTTTATCAATGTTAACTTCCTGGTTTTCTTTTTTTGAGACGGAGTCTCACTCTGTCGCCCAGGCTGGAGTGCAGTGGCGTGATTTCAGCTCACTGCAACCTCCGCCTCCTGGGCTCAAGTGATTCTCCTGCCTCAGCCTCCCAAGTAGCTGGGATTACAGGTGGGCACCAGCGGGCCTGGCTAATTTTTGTATTTTTAGTACAGACAGGGTTTCACCATGTTGGCCAGGCTGGTCTCGAACTCCTGACCTCAGGTAATCTGCCTGCCTCAGCCTCCCAAAGTGCTGGAATTACAGGCATGAGCCACCACACCCGGCAATTTCCTGGTTTTGATAAACTACAGTATGGCTTTGTAGGATGTAATCATTGGGAGATGCTAGATGAAAGATACATGGGAATTTTCTACTATTTCTGCAACTTTCTCTAAGTCTAAAATTATTTCAAAACAAAAAGTAAAAAACAATGAAAAGCAGGCCGGGTCCAGTGGCTCATGCCTGTAATCCCAGCACTTTGGGAGGCCGAGGCAGGCAGATCACAAGGTCAGGAGATTGAGACCATCCTGGCTAACATGGTGAAACCCTGTCTCTACTAAAAATACAAAAAGGTAGCCGGGCGTGGTGGTGGGCACCTGTAGTCCCAGCTACTCGGGAGGCTGAGGCAGGAGAATGGCGTGAACCTGGGAGGCAGGGCTTGCAGTGAGCCGAGATCGCGCCACTGCACTCCAGCTTGGGGGACAGAGTGAGACTCTGTCTCAAAAAAAAAAAAAAAAAAAAAAAGGCAGTCAGTGAGGTAGGGAGCAGCAGCCCCTGAGGGGTAGACAGTGATCCAAGCATCTGCTGGAGCTCACACCCTGGATTCTGACTGCCTCATACCCACCATACTGTTAGGACATGCTTCCATTACCCAAGGGACTTTGATTCCTGGCCCCATTCTCTGCTTCCTGAAAGACTAGCTAACACTACGCGAGGGTTCCATGAAGGGCCTGTGGGGGAAGGTGGGTGGACTGCTTATCAGCAGTGGCTACTGTAGATGGTGCCCAAGGATGCACCAGGCCTTACTGTGCCTGGCTAAGGTGGGCTTGAAACATTGGCTGGTCTGTGAAATGCCCTTGGGGGACGGTGTCCAGACCCTCTGCTTTGTGACTAACATGCAGACTGAATAAACTGCATGTTTATTCCAGGCTCGTTTAGCTGGACGAGCAGTACAGACAGGGCTGAGGCTGACTCCATGGCCATGTGGGCAGAGGTCAAACCCATGATCTCTCTTCCTACAGCTTCCTAATGTCTGCGATGTTGGTCTTTTGAAGGAGGCCCCCACAGAGCTGAGCTTGCTTGGTTATCTGGGACTGCTGCTCAGTCTGAGTAGGGGAGGGTAATGAACCAGTCAGGCCTCCTCCTGGAGGTGCCCAACACTGGCCTAGTCCCCAAGGCTGACGAAACATGGTCTGGCCTGACCCCAGGACGTGGGGTGAGGAGGAACACTGGGCATAATATAGTAGCGGAAACAGGCAAGCCTCTATGGGTCCCTTCCCCTTAGAATTTTAGGGTAGGGAACGAGGAGGCTACAGACTAAATTGCAGAACTATCTGCACCTGGGCCTCTGAGCTCTTCCTCCACTCCCAGTGGAGCCATTCTGGGGACTGAGTTGCATGAGGACTAGCAGAGGGTGGCAGTTCAGTCTGGTCCCTGTCTTCTTCCAGCCAGCTGTGTTCTTAGCTGCCATACTTCTGAGCTTCCTGGGAACATGAGAAAGTCTGGCGACTATGGGGGATGGGGATCATTCTGAAGGAAATAAGGGACCTCCATCCCTCCTTGCCTTGAAGGGGGTGGAAAGGCAGCTCCTCTCCTGAAGGCTTGTTAGCAGGTTATGGGCCCACAACAAAGGGGCCAGAGTAGGGCGAAATTCCTCCTTCAGGTTTTGGGGCTGAGAAGGGGTCTTCATGGGCTGTGAGGAGGTAAGCAGGCCTGAGACTGGGTAGAGATGGGAGCGGCATGAGGGGAAGGTAAGTCAGTTGCCATGCCACAGCCAAGGGGCCTTTATTGGATGGTGAGGGCACATAGGAGCAGGCAGGTGGCTGCTAGATGGTGTTGCACACCTTCTCAGGGTGCAGTGGTGCCCGGATGTCCAGTCTGCGAGTCTTGCTGTCCTTGTCGATGATCTCCAGACGCAGCTTGGGGAGGCGCTTCTCAGCCTGGGGTGAGGGCAGTTCTGGGCTTTTGAGTAGCTGCTTGTCTGAGTCCTCCACCGTGATGCGCAAAGTACAGCCCCCTGGCAGCAGGTCCTGCTCATAGGCTGCTGCCAGCTGGTTCACCACACGGCGTTCTACCTGTCGGTGGGGAGGTGAAGTGGTCACTCCCTCGGCCTGGACCCAGCTTGGAGGTCGGCCTCCATCACTTACTGCTAGGGCAACTCAGAGACCTCCTTTGAGCCTGAGCCTCAGCTTTCTCATTTGCCAATTGGGGCTAATAACAGCTAGCTCGCAGGACTGCGCTCAAGTTTCTGAGGCTCCCAGCCCAGTTCCCTGGTCCTAGTGGGGTTCATACTGGGCTACCCTCCAGCAGGGGTTTTACTTGGTGATCATGTGTTTATGGTTCTGAATGGGCATCCACTCTGGGTGTGAATATCCAGCAACCAAGCTATAGGGAGGCAGGCTGAGAGCTCAGGGACTGGGTCTGGGGGGCCCTGGGGAGGGAGGTGTGGAGGCGCCTCATTTCTCAGGCTCCTGTGCTCACCTCATGTTTGATGGAGCGGGCGCCATAGTGCACATTGTAGCCGTCGACCAGCACATCTGCCACCTCGCGGTCCCAGAGCAGCGTGATGTTGTGCCTTTGCTTGGCCTGAGATGGGTCAGATAGAAGCATGCCTGCATGTGGCCCACTGCTTTCCATCTCTTGCCACTCTGGCCTGAGGCCAGGGCCACTGGCCCCACACCACTGTGCTCCACCTTTTATGTGTGTGGGGGTGCCCCCAGTCCAGTGTTCCAGATTTCCAGTGGCTGGCTATCCCGCCCCCACCCATGGGCAGTTCCCTCTTACTCTCTTGGCCCAGAAGTTTAGTTCCTTGTTGACGAGTTGGATGAGCTCCGAGTGGCAGAAGGGGAGGAAGTAGACGATCTCATTGATCCGTCCCAGAAACTCATCCCTCCGGAAGTGAGCCTGAAGGGCCAGGTTAGGGGTGGGATGAGCTCAGTGACCCAGAGCGGGTTAGGGAAATTACCAGACACCAGGGGAAGACTGGGGAAATTATGGGGCTTCCAGATCTTTAGGATGGCTAAGATCACCCTCCCCCAACCTTAGGCTCCAGCAGGAAGTGCCAAGAAAGACCTCTTACTTTCAGGATAGGGCGAATCACATTCTCCTTGAAGTTCTTTGAGATGGTGATCTTGTCACTTATCTGGACATCCCCTGTGGAGAAGAATCATAAACTGCTTATTCCCCACATTCAGGGAACTTTGGGGGCTGTGCCTGCCCCTTGGCCTGCCCATGGAAAGAGCCCTGGTCCTGTCCATCTGTGTGGTCCTGGTCAAGGTCTAAGGCTCTCTGGGCTTCAGCCTGGTCTCCTCCTCTGACCAGGCACTTTCGGAGGCCTTTCCAGCTCTCAAGTGTATGAAGTCTGCGATTCCTCAGGGTGGGAGTTGTGTGAGGGAGGGAGAGGAGAGGAAACGTCAGGATTAAGACTTGAGTCCTGACTTGGAGGAAGGGGGCTGCAGGGCTCGATCTTGAATGGAAAAGGTGACAGACACAGCTTCCTGCCGGATGTGCTCCTTTTTTTCAGCACTCTCCATGGCCCACCTACGCAGGAAGCTGCCCTGGGTGAACAAGGCTGTGTCCACTGCCATAGAGTTTTCGATCTGCTGTCCCCTTCTTGCACCAAAGCATCTGTGTCTCTTGCATGTGCATCTCCTCAGTCCCCTAAGACACTGAGCAGCTTCTGGCCCCCCACCCTGGTGTAGCTCTGTCCATTCCTGCCTGGAGCCCTCTTATCACCCAACAGACTTGAGGCTTTCTTGAAGTGGGGTCTCTGTCTCTTTTGTCTCAACCCCCACTACTTGGTATGGTGTCTGATATCTGCTCAGTGTCAGCTAGGGACAGAGCTGCCCACTAGAACCTTCACCTGGGCCCAGGGCCCCAATCCCATCCTTCCCCAGGAGATAGGCTGGTGGCTTGGTCACTGGACCAGACTGCTCAGGTCAGCCGCCATACCCAGGTTTTCGGCAATACGGTTACGGCTCATCTCCAAAGCTTCCTGCCTCAGCTGCAGCGCGTGCTGTGCGATCTCGTCGCTGGCCACATTGGAGGTCATGATGAAGATGGCGTCCTTGCAATCAATGGTCTTCCCTTTTCCATCTGTCAGCCGGCCCTGGGAAGGGAAGGAAGGGAGTGTACAGTCAGGGAGCTATGTGCCTGGGCAGGCCTTAGCACTCTCAGTTCTCACCTCCTTCAGGAGGCCTCCCCAGAGCCCTGTGTCTCCCTCCAGCCCCAGCAGCCAGCTGCTTCCTCCTCTGGGTTCTCCGAGCACTAGACTTGCACCTTGGCTGCTGTGCTCACCGCCCTGCGCTGCAACTGCTCTCCCTACTGAGTGCCTCCAGGTGAGGCTGCAGTTGCTCTCTGGCATCTCTTGGGGCACCCAACTATCCCTGGCATGCAGAAGTCAGTCACAGTTAGCCATTCATTTGTGCAACCAACACATTTTTTGGAGGCCCGCTGTGGGCCAGGATCTGTGGTGGGGTACTGGGGTCCCACTGAGCCTACAACATGCTCCCAGTATAGAGAAGCAGTGAGATACAGGAAACAAGCACTGACCATCCAATATGTTACGTATGATAATAAAGGGAAGCCCAGCATGCTGCAGGAATTCAGAGGAGGGTACTTTACATGGCTACTGTCAGGACTAGATGTGGTTATCTGGTGAAAATTCTTAGTAAACCATGCTGTTCAAATGTTCAGAGCTATTATTACTGTAGTAGGTGATATATAATGAAACAGGACAACCTCTTTTATCTTTGGAGCTGCCGCCTGGCCTAACAGGGATAAAAAATGAGATTGCTTCTTTAACCACCTTGGGAAGTTTCCTTGGAATCTTCAGCTCTTTCTAGAAGGGACAAAGGAGGCATCTATACTGGAGAAAGATGCACCAAAGAAGGAGAAAAGGAGCAAACAGTATAGGGCAGAGACAGAAGAATGATAAAAGTACAGTGTTCTGGGACCAATCAGTTGAAGGGTACAGAGCCCCGCTCACTCAGCGAACCTCAAGGGCATGACCGTACAACAGCACTTTATGTCATTTATAACAAAAGCAATGATCAGGGACTCCTTGAGAGCAAGCAATAGAGTGACAATGCCGAACACGGACAGGGACTTCTACTTTCATCACAGATGCTCTGCTTAGTGCTTTTTGTGTACAACCCCACTCCTTCTACTAGGAAAGTGGCTCCTTGACAACAGAGGCTGGGTCTTGTTCATCACTGTGTCCCAGAACAGCGTCCGGTACAGAGTAGGTGTTTGACACCTGCTTGCTGGAGGCTGGAATCTTCACATCCACCCTTGGAGGTAGGTGCAGTTAGGACCCCTACAAAGAAACTGAGGCTCAGAGAGGATCATAACTTGTTCGAGGTTTCACAGCTAGGATACAGTAGAGGCGAGACTTGAACTATCTGACCTCAGAGCCCATGCCCTTCCTCTGCACCAGGCTACAGAGGTCAGACCAATGGTGCTGGATGAATGAGGCCTCGTGCTATTTTCTTTCCTTCGACAGAATTTTCTCAGAATTCTGCCAAATTCAGTTTGATCCTCACTGGAGAGATGCAACTGGGACAGGTGCTAGGGAGGAGATCTACCTGAGATTTCTTTTGGGAAGCAGAGAAAGCACAGCTCCCGCCAAGCCAGAAACCGTGGCTCTGGGGATATACATCACTGACCTCAGCCTGTTGGCTCCTGCCTGAGCCAGGGATGCTGGGCCCTGCCCGAGCTTCAGGGTTAGCCCTTGCTTCTAAAGCCAGTGTAATGGTAAACCCAGTCCTACTCCTTAGGAGCAAAGGAGAAAGGACTGTGCATCAACCGAGCTAGCTTACTGCATGCTGGGTGTAGTTTCCAGCCTTGCTTTCCACTGGACCTTGGCAGAGGCCTTTGAGAAACTGTTAATTCCCAAAGGGTCTATACACAAGGGGCCTGGTAATCCACATCCTGGAGCTGGTCACTCTGCTGTCCCTGCCTTGGGGCAGGAAAAGGGAAGCAAGGGTGCAAGCAGATGTCCTTGAGCTTTTACCAGCAGCTTTTCACTCTTACCCCACTGCTTATGGGTTCTAATCTAACAGATCCACTGAGGGCAGTTCTAGTTTTGGGGACCAGGTGTGTGTGTGTGTGTGTGTGTGTGTGTGTGTGTGTGTGTGTGTGTGTGTGTGTGTGTGTGTGTGTGACATGTCCAAGCATGTGCATATGACTGTGTGTGTGTTCCATACTCACTTTGCAGAGCTCATCCCTAAGGACTGGGTTCACACACTGCTATACTGGCCAGAGCAATAACCTAGCAGCAATTTCATTCTCAGAGATCAAAGCTCTGCTCATAACTGGGCCTGAGGATGGGTCCCAGGTGGGTGAGGGGAGCAGGTGCAGTGCATGACTGACCCAAAGGGTGACTTTCAGTGCTCATGTCTCCTCCTCAGTTTCCTTAGCAATAAAGATGTGTCTCAAACAGGAAGCTGTCCGTGCCTCACCTCCCTCTAACAACCAGAGCGTGCACATCTTGGGTGGGGCTTGAATGCTCACCCCAGGGTTATGGGGCTGCTTTCCCACTGTCTCACGTATGACTCCTTGGTGGGAGGAGTGGGGGCTGGGCTCTCTGGGGACTAGTCTCTTTCTGGGACTTCTGCCCTGGGGTCACCTGTGAGTGGCCAGCAGTAGACCTGCTTGGTGCTTTGATGAGAGCAATAGGGTTCTTACTTTTCTGGGCCCAGGCTTGGGAGAACTAGACTGGGTAGGGGTGAGGCTGCTTCCCTCACACCTCCAGCCTGGATTAGGTGCCCCTACAACTCCTGGCACTTGCTGCTTGTCCCTAGCGCAGCACCGACCACAGTGGACTGAACTACTTTTTAGCTGCCTGTCTCCGCACTCATTGGTCACGCCAAGGCCAGGGCTGCATCTGTTTTGTCAGTGTCCCCTCTACCCCACACAGCGCCTCATGAATAAATGAATGAGCCACATTCTTTTGGTTGGCTCTTTTTTGTTTTTGAGACAGGGTCTGGCTCTGTTGCCCAGGTTGGAGCGCAGTGGTGCAATCTCTGCTCACTGCAACCTCAGCCTCTGAGGCTCAAGCCATCCTCCCACCTCAGCCTCCTGAGTAGTGAGGACTACAGGCACATGTCACTATGCCCAGCTGATTTTTGTATTTTTTGTAGAGACAAGGTTTTGCCATGTTGCCCAAGCTGGTCTCGAACCCCTGAATTCAAGTGATCTGCCCACCTCGGCCTTCCAAAGTGCTGGGATTACAGGTGTGACCCATCATGCCTGGCCTGGTTTTGCCTCCTACTTCTCTGGCGAGTCTGTCTTGACTTCCCTGATAGGTCCCAAGGCTCTGTGTATAGCCCTCTTTTCTCTGCACATTATACACTCCCTGGGTTACAGACCTCATCCATTCCTGTGGCTTCCGTTAACCTCTCTGGGCTGAAGGATTCCTGAACTGCTATTTTCAGTCAGACCTTTCCTAAACTCCTGACCCATAAAACTGATGAACGGCCCCTTGGCCATCTCCATCTGGATGTCCCTCAGGTATCTCACCTTCAACATTTCCACACCTCAGTGCCTCACCTTCCTCTTCAATCTGCGGCTTCCCACTGTGTTCGCCGCCTTAGCTGATGGCCAACTGGCAGCAGCCAACTGGCCACCCTTGGCTCCTCCTCCTCTCCTCAGTCAACCTTCTAGTAGTTTCTCCAGCCCATGGCCTCCCCAGCTGTAGCTTGGGCTCCCCAGCAGTCTCCTTGTTAATGACCCTCTCCCTTCTCATCCATTCTTTACACAGCTGCCCACGGCATCTTTGTAAAGTGAAAATTTGACTGTTTCTTTCTTGCTTAAAGTCTTTAAAAGGCTCCTTACTCTCTACCAGAGAAATGCAAACTTCTGTGCCTGGCATTTTAACTGGGCCCTGTTTACCTTACCTACCTTGTCTCTAGCACTCTGTCCTTGTTTTCCCTCTGCAATCGAGCAGTACTGACCAGCTGCAGTTCCCTGAGCATGCCAGCCTGTTTCATGCCCTGTACTTTTATACATTAGGTTTCTACTGCCAGCCCCGCCACTCTGTTCACCTAGCACTTACTAACCCTTTGAAGGTTTGCTAACTACTGTTGAATTAAAACTACTGTTGAATTAAATTAGTCAATACAACATTTCCCCTGACTTTGTGGGCTCTGGGAATGGTTCAAGTGAACATGACAAGGGCCCATCCTCAAAGAGCCTAAATCGAGTAAACCTGGATGGCAGCTTTGGTCAATGGAACCAAGAGCATCAGAAACTATAGTAGGCTGGGGCTGGGGGAAGGGGCGACAACAGCTGCAGGAAGGAATTCCTATCAACCCCTAAAAGGCAGTCAGTGGAGTGAAGTGACGGAGGAGGGGGAGACAGGGCTTCCATGTATGGCTGATTGTACTTCAGTCAGCAGTTGCCTTCTGTTTTTTGGGCCAAGAATGCCATCAGAGGTGCCTCTCCAGGGAGACCAGAGATCAAACAGGCCGCGATGCTCACCCTCCCTCAGCGGCATGGTCCCGTCCCTTGCGTGCTTCACTGAGACGGACCTCGCTCTTTTGGCCCTAGCTGCGTGGCAGTCATTCAAGCTGCAGGATCTAGAACTGGGCTGCCTGGGTTTGAATCCTTGATTCTCTCTCCCCAGCTGCATGACCACAGGTAAATGACTTAATCTTACTTTGCTTCAGTTTCCACATCTGTTCAATGGAGGCCGTAATAATAGCTAGCTTTGGAGGGTTGTTGAAAGGGTTAAATTGATACACATAAGCCTCTGAAGACAGCGAATGGCACACAAAATGCAAAATGCCAGCTACTACCATGTCTCCTTTCCACCTGTCTACCAGGCAGAGAGCTCCAAGAGGGCACATTCGGGTCTGGTCATAGCTGTGCACTTGAATCCCATCAAGAGGCTGGAATGGAGTAGAGGCCTCAGTGTACACGTGAGTAACTGAGTATGTGACCTCTGAAGGACTGGTCTCTTCTTCCTCAGCAGAGGTTCAGGGGCAGGGAGCAGCTGAAGGGCTAGGAAGATACAACGGAACGGGCAGGGGCAAGGAGGCTGGGCCAGGTGGGGAAGGCAGTGAGCAGCTGGTAGGAGATCTGGATCTGGATCTTCCTGGCTTGGTACCTGATGTGCTGTTCGGTCTGGAGGAGTCCCCTCCCTGTGGCCTCCTATGACATGGGAAGCAAACCACCTTTTTGTTTTCCTAGGGCTGCAGGAGACTAGGTAGAAAGGTGAGCTGGACTCATGGCCAGGTGCTAGCTAATATAGCCCCTGCATGAGAGAAGAGAGGCCTCATCCCCGGTTCAGTCCTTGGCTCCTCACGCTCTCTTGATGGAGCAGGGCCCCTGAAAAGGTGGAAGTCATCTTCTTCCGTGATCGTAAGCAATCCCTCGCCTGGTTCAAGGTAAACAGTGGTATGGGGGGAGAATTGGGGCTCTGGGATCAGACATATCTGCAGCCCAATCTTGGCTCTTTACACAGCAGCTGTGGCCTTAGGCATGTCTTTTATAACCTCTCTGAACCTCAGTTTCTTCATCTGTAAAAAATGAGCTAATTTCTCCCTTGCCTGTTAGGAATTTTTCTACCTACCTTGTGAGGATTAGTGATAATGGCTGTAACGTCTTTAGTACAGGTCTAGTACACAGAAGGTACTGGATAGAAGTAAGCTCTTCTCTCCATTTAGAACTTACCCCTACGAGCAGGGGAACTGGACAGTCTGTGAGAACCCTCAGATTCTCAGAAGAGAAAGGCTCCATGAATCAGAGTATCAGCATCTCACCATTAGCAGCAACAATATTAGCATTTTAAAGAACTGCAGGAGACAATGTTTGGCACACAGGGAGGAACAAGAGCTGTCTGAGGCAGAAGGATTTTTGGGGCTTCTCTGATTCAGCCTCCTCGTTTGTCACATGAGATCTCTGATGCCTAGAGATGGGCAGTGACTTGCCAAGGCCACAAAGCCAGTCAGGAGCAGAGCTGGAACTAAAAATTCATGTCTCGCTCTCATGGCACCTCTGCCATACCATGTCTCTCTAGAAGGTGGGCTGAGCAGCCACACAATTTCAACTCTTAGGCAGGGCTGGTCTTCGCTTGAGTGCCCCACCCAGGCCCTAGTGCAGAGGGGCTAAGTTGCACCTACTGGATGAATGAATGTACACATGCGGGAGCAGGAAGCCGAGGAATGACCAGCTAGCCTCTGGGCCCTTGCTTTCTGCTGTTCACAGTCCCCCTTATCTCCAGGTGTCCCCCCGCTCCATCCTGGCCCAAGGTGACTCACCTCATCAAACAGCTGCAGCATGATGGTGAGCACATCTGGATGGGCCTTGTCTACTTCATCAAAGAGCACCACAGCATTGGGGCACTGCTTCAACTTCTTGGTCAGCTGGCCACCCTCCTCATGGCCAACGTAGCCTGGTGGAGACCCAATAAACTTGGCCACCTGGTAGAAGGAAGGAAACATGCTAGGAAGGCCTTTCTGTGCTTTTAGTTTCCAACATGGGGCATGCATGGGAAGATGACTTTATACGCTATTAAGGTTGCCTCTCTCAACAGAGATGATTGGCTGTCCATCTCCTGGTGTGGCAGATAGATCTTCTCTATGTTTATTCTTCAGAGCAAATCCTATGTGAAACAAATCAGTGACCCTGCTGCACACCTGTGCTCCCAACGACAAATCCCAAGGCTGCTGGAATTATCTGAGGCCCAAATGACAAGACCCCGGCAGTCATGCTGACAAGCCCTCCAAACCATGCTTCAATCAAGGACTGTCATCACTCACCTCGTGTCGCTCCTGGAACTCGGACATGTCCAGCCTGATGAAGCCCTGTGTGGAAACAAGCAAGTACCAACTCCGTTTGGAGGCAGGAAAGTGAAGAGAAGGGTTAGGGAGGAGAGCACCTCAACTATCCCCAAGGCTTTCACACCACACCAACATAAGATCTTCTATCTCACGCTCAAGATGTTTTTTTCTGACTTCCTGTCTCCTTTTCTGTGCACTCATTTCCTACGAGTCCCTCATTCTCTTCCTTAAAAGACCCAAATCATGTACCTGACCTTCTAAATCTGACTTGGGGTGTCTTCTTTCAGGGAGGCCTCTCCTGTTCTGATCACCACATCATCCACCCACCCATCCATCCATTCCACGTTTCCTGAGGGCATCCTGTGTGTGCTGGACACCGGAGTTACAACAGGGAACAAGTCTTGGTCTCTGTCCTTAAGAAGCACCCCATCGAATGGTGCAGACATGGACAAAGTCAGTCACGATCAGTGTGGACTGTGGTGCGAGGGAGGAGAGAAACACTCAGATGGCTCCAGAATGCCTCTCAACTCTGCAAGTCTGTGTGATGCCCGTGTCCCTTTGATTTACTTTTCTTCAAAATGAATATATTTTAAAATGTATTTACATTTCTTCATTTCATTAAAAAAGATATCCATAACATAGCTTTACAGCCCTTTTCTCTCCACCACAGGGTGTAGGGGTGATTTCCGAGGAAGTGGCCCCATGGGTGAGGGCCATGGTTAGCCCTTGGGGAAGAGAACAGCTTGCATTATGTGATCTGAAGAGTTAACACAGGCAGAGTGCCCACTGGTTTTCAAGAAGCATTACCTGATTAGGGAGCTGTAAAGGCATCCACAGGTGCCCTGTCTAGCCACAGCCAGGACCACAGTTCCCCACAGTCCCCCGGGCTCCTCTCCTACTGGCACATGCCTCCATCTAAGAGACAGCATTCACTGAATCCTGCTTCTCCTGAGAGCCGGTGATGATGGGGGTGCCAAGATTCTCAGCGGGAGGTAGCTATGTCTGAAATCCAGGGCTATATTCTAGCTTGGCCACTGGTCAGAAATTCACGCCATGATGTACTTTTAGTTCTTTCTCTGTCCTGTCATTCTACAGCTGAGACACAGGGTGGCAAGAAGAACCCTGGGCTGGGAGCCAGGGGGCTCGGGTTCCAGTCCTAGTTCTGCCTGCCTGTGGAGCCTTGGACATGCTGCCTCCCCTTTTTGAGCTGCAGTTTTGTCCTGTGTTACAGAAGGCTCTTGGCTCCTCTCCCTGCCTCACCAGGGGTCTGAGGATCTAATCCAAGAGGTGGGACAGGGCTTAGAGAAGTTATTAAGGCCACATGGGGGAAAGCACTGCTATCAGCACATGGGGCATAAGCCAGAAAGCATTTCCAGAGGGTCCCTAGGCTGCTCAGTCAAGAGATCTGCAGGTTTCAGGATTTACTGGGTATTTACTATGTGCCTGGCAATGTTTTAGGCAAGCTATAAAGGGCTTAGAACATGTACAAGTCTCTGAGGTAAGCACTACTATCATCTCCACTTTACAGATGAGAAAACTAAGTCACAGATTAAAGTAACTTGCTCAAGGTCACCTGCGCTTGGCAATTCAGCTCCAAGTCTGTGCTCTTAGCCATCATGCTACACTGCCTCATAGCTTCCTCTCTGCCAATCAGCTGGGCTCTTGACAGTCTTCACCTTGAAGGGTGCTGAGCTTTGTGTCCAGATGCCAATGAATGTCGGACGACAGATGGACTATAGACTCTCGTGCTTACTTATGTCAAGTGACCTGGGTTCTCACCCTAGTTCTTCTAATGATTTGCTATGTAATTTTGAACAAGTTTTTGGGCTTGACTTTCTTGGCCGGAATCATCATTTTGATTTCACATGATCTTAGTGAGGCAAGAACAATAAGAGTAACATCCAACATGTACTGATTGCTTACCACATGCCAAGAACGGCGTTTAACATTTTACATCACTATCTCATTTAACCTTCCGAACAATCCAGTGAGACTGGCACCATTATGGAGCCTACTTTACAGATGAGAAAGCTGATGTAAACAGAGGTCCTGGCCAACTCCACCTAGTAGAGTACAGTTGGGATTTGAACCCAAGCAGCTGGACTCAGATAGTTGTTCTTTATCCCTTATCATATTGCTACTATAACTAAGTCTTTTGGGCTCCACCACCCTACCTTATGATGATATCACAGAACACCATTAAGGTTCCTTCCCAAGGCTTATTAGCTCTAGTAAGGAAAGTTAACAGAGCCACTCAATTTGGAAGAAATAGTATACAGGCTAATGAGAGAAAAAAATAAGTTCACAGATCTGATAAAGAAATCATATAAATGTACAAAGAATGCTTCTGAAGCAGCAAGATCTGGAGGTGTCAGTGTCTCTTTACAAATGAAGAAACTAGGGATCAGAGAGCCAGAACTAGAATTCACATCATCAGACTCCAGGCCAGTGCTCATTTCATTTCGTCAGCTGTCTTGGGAGGCAAATTAAAGGGAGCTTCTGTTTGGTAAAAGTCTATTTTACACTGGGCTCTGAGAATGACACTTTCCATACATCACTCTTTGGGTCCCAGGTACACTGGCTACGTAGCTTAAAGTCCAGGGCTCTCTTGGATTTTGAAGGCAGGTCTCAAACATGCCTGTCATGTGGCTATAAAGTGTCTACGCAAAACACAGATTCTATAATGAGTTGACCCACAGGGCTAGCACAGGCAGGAGTTTCATAGAAGCACCACCTATGATTTAAAAATAAAATACATGGTTGTTTTTATGGAGCTTCTCATGCCTCTCATCTCCCAATGTGAAATGGGGACACACTGGCAAGTTTCCAATCCAGCTTCCTAGAGCAGCTGAGAACAACGGTATCACAGTGAGGAGTTGAGAGACTGGATTGATTCTGGTTTTATTTCTTCCCCTAATAGGTGACCTTAGATAAGCCTAAGAATGCTGTAGGGCCTCAGTTTTCTCATCTGAAAAGTGGGTCTAATTTAGCATCCATGCTATCTTCCCCATAGGATCAAATGGGAGAGTAGATGGGGCACTGCTATGGTAAGTAGGAAGTGACGAATAAATACAAGTCAAGGAATAGGCACTTGCTGTGTGCTCACCATGATGTGATGACATAAGTGATGAGCACACAGCATCGTCACTTGATGCTCACCATAACCTAAGATATGGGTTGGAGGGCTTTCACCTTGAGGCAAGAGAGCTGAAACTTCAAGGGGTAAAGTTTACCTGCCTA
Source organism: Homo sapiens (assembly GCF_000001405.40). Classification (NCBI taxonomy): domain Eukaryota; kingdom Metazoa; phylum Chordata; class Mammalia; order Primates; family Hominidae; genus Homo; species Homo sapiens. The sequence continues at coordinate 72,305,565 of NC_000011.10, forward strand.
GGGCCAGTAGAAAGTAGAAGCACCGGAACCTGAAGCAAAGAATGGTTGCTCCAGAGCTCTGTCCACCACAGTGCACTGCCTCCGAGGGTGGTGGTGTTACTTCCTTCTGAGTGAGGCATGCACTGAAGGATGCCAACATCATCCTGCACTGGGGTGAATTTGTCTCCCATTCAGTTGTGCCAACTAAAAAATTACTTGCATTATTAGTCTTTTAACAAGCCCCCTCTCCTTTCTACATCAGCAAGTCAGTAGATACTTTCCTTCTACTTCTACTGTGTATGAAGACATATGAAGACAGCTTGGATAAGGAGATTATAATTTGTAATTAAATATTAACCTTTCTGACAGTATTAAAATTAAACCACTCAGAATTCTTCATCCCTAATCAGGTGGTTCCTGCCCATAACTACATCTTCCCTAATAGTCCTGCTAGTTTATGGCCCTTTCCAGAGTGCTAATTGTTTCAATCGCTGCCAACCTGATGAATTGACTTAAAAATGCTATCTCGGTCGGAGCGCATTAGCATGCTATGCGCTGCTTCTTGCTTGCCTGCTTGTCAAGTGGGTCTGCTCCAGGTTTGGTGGAGGCAGAGCACAGCTACTGGCAGAGCTAGGGGGAGTTTAAGAGCCTTCAGCCATTTATGAAGCAGAAGGGGGCTCAGGAGGACACAATCTGAGCTACCTTGTTTCTGTGGCTGCCAGTGGGGCAGGCAAGCCAGAAAGAGAACAGGAGTCCAAGACTCTGTGCTGCTGGGGCCACTTGGCTGGCAGAGGCCCAAGAAACTCCTCATTGCCTTGGCCAGGGAGGCTTTCCTTAGAAAGGCAAGAGCATCTGGGGTCTCGGGCGACCTCCTGCCCTGGATGCTGGGAAGGCTGGTAGGAGAATGTTTGGCTTTCAGTGAAATGTTTTTGCACTCTCTCCGAGGACTGCTGTCTCTGCACAAAAGCATTTCCTTTCTCCCTAAAAAGTTAAACTGAGCAGGCCTTGGAAAGCCTGAGTGTGAACAAACAGGGGATGGGGATGGCCCTCTCCTGTGGAGAATCCAGGGCTCTGAGCCATGGAGGAAGGGGGACTATAAGTATCCCAGGCTCAAGACATAAGAAACCATGTTTAAAAGCTCATGCAGGATAGTGAGAGGCAACAAGGCATCCTCTTATTCCCACTTGTTTTCTCCTACAGCCCCCAAGACTCCCATTAGCACAGCCATGACTGCACTGAACAGTAATGTTGTCTTTCTGAAGCTGTTTCCCCCTCCAACCTGAGCTCCTTGGAGCAGGGGGAGTGTCTTAATAAATGCTGTATTAGCAGCATCTAGTACAACACCTGGCATGGCACAGATGCTTGAAAATGTTGTATGGTAGATCTCACTTTGTTTCCTCAAGAGTCAGGCAGGGCAAGGATTATTATTCCTATTTTACAGATGAAGAAACTGAGGCACAAAGAGGTGGGATAACTTGCCCAAATCTCTGGAGCAACTGGTGGCCAAGTTGGGGCCAGAGCTGAGGTCTGCTTCCTGGGTCAGGGCCCATCTTTTTGATTGCCTATTACTGAATTCAGAGGGTCAGATTTTTTGGGATAGCAGGAATGGTGAGGTCTCCACGATCTGCAGATCAGACCTAGGTCCCAGTTCTTACCTTTTTAGCATCTTTGTGCATATATTTGGCTGTCTGCTTGGCCAGCTCTGTTTTTCCTAGTAAGAAAGAAGGGGGAGGTGTTGGGTTAGAACCAGGTGACTAACCGCTGGAATGAAAGAATACTAGAAATGCACGGACACTAGAAAGAATATATTCTATGGATGAGAATGTTGAGGCGCAGAAAGGATCAGCGACTCTCCCACAGTCACCTAGGGAGTTAATGGTGAAGCTGGGACCAAAATCAAAGTCTGCACCTGCATCTTAATTTTTCTGGGATTGGGATTGAGGCCTTTTCTCTGTAGCACCATCCTAAGAGTGACAGGCTGACTTTATAATCCAGAACCAACTTGCTTTTTAAAGCCCAGTACAAACCTCACCTCTTCTAGGAGTCCCCAGGCCTCCTGGCTCACTGCCCTGCATCCCTCTCAATACCCACAGTCCTGCCATTTAGCCAGGCCCTGGAACCACATGGCAGATAGAGGGTGGGAGGGGCTGAAGAGTACCTCTCACTGTGGCTTCACGGTCCTTCTTTGTAACACAGAGAAGGAATGACAATACTGAAGTGGGGGCTCTGAAGGGCCATTTGGTGGATGGTAACCTTTGGAAGTCCCTGACTAGTATAAAAGTCAAGTTCTGTAGCATCATGGTCAGGTGGTGGTATCCTTTTGGGGGCCTACATCTGAGGGAGAGGCCCATGAAGATGCTGGGAGGGGAAGAGGAGGAAACTAAACCATGAAATTTCCCATCAGGTTCCCTTCAGGTTCCAGTGCTTCTGGTGGGAGGTGGTAGTGAAGGAATGGGGGGGTTCTGTCAGGGCAGAGAATGAAGGGGTAAGAATGCCTCGGATAATCCAGCCCAACTGGCTAGAAAAATACTCAACCCATCTTACTGCAACCAATTTTGCTATCCACCTGGCACCATGGTGGTCATTAGGGGCCTTCTTTAGCATTTACAGCTAGGCTGTACTGAACATGGTTGATGTGCTGGGCAGAGGAGGTGGTTCAACTGTTCCCGAAGGGGAGGCTCTGCGCATGCAGAGTGGCTGGACCAGGGTTAATGGGCCCTGAAGGGCCTGGTCCTCCATGTGAATCAGTCTTAGCACCACAACTTCCAGAGGGAGGGGCATATTGCAGCTCTTCATAACATGACAGATGGTAACAGAGTCCTCTTTCTTGGTGGCTCTGTAATCTGGAGGCCGTTGCTTTTAGAGCTCAAGTTGACCTAGAGCTGGACCTGCTGACCCTGGCCCGCAGCAGCTGGGGCTGTCAGACTTGGGCCGGGCACTACCCTAGCTCTCTGTCCCCACTGGCTGATCTGCTCCCAATTACCTATTCCAGATGATCCCAAGAAGAGGAAGACCAGAGGGTGTTCTTCATCGTACCAGCCATTCTCCTTCCTCCGGATCGCTACGGCCAAACACACAAGATCAGGGGACAGGGAGGGAGGCAGATAAATCAATGACACAAAAGGCAGGATAATTATCACTAAGTATACAATATGTTTTACTGCTCTGCGCCCACTCAAAGTCCTCACTACCATTAGTGCTGCCTAATCTGATTAGCTGGCAAGGCCCCTAGAGACACGTAATCAGGTTAGCATGGATTTGGAAAGCTGCCCAGAGCAGATTTCGGATAAAGTTTTCCAGGATGAGCACTCAGCGTTGCTAGGGAAACTGAAAGGCGGGTGGATGGTGAATGGAGGTGAAGGGGGTGGGGGACTGGTGAAGGAGAATTCGAGAGGAACTTCTGCTCTCACTGGTTACTCATCTACTCATCGCTAGTGGGACTACGGGCCGCCTCCTATGCAAATACAAGAGGCAGAAGCCCATGGCAGGCCCTTGGGGATGTGGGGTGTGAGCCCTGGACTCTTTCCTGTCTGGGGAAGCTAAGGTCTGGTCCACTGTCTGGGTCAGAAAGTGGAAACACAGCCAAATGCATTTTCTGGAAGTCAATCAAAGGCAATGTGGAGCTCAGGGCATGGAAGGGGTAAGCCACATGGTTACCAGAGATGCTGACCATAGCCTCCAGTGGTGGAGGGAGTGGGGAGCACGGGGAGTGGGACAGATAGGTACCAGGTTCCTTGGAGGCTCAACTCTGCTAGAGCAAGACCTGACCTCCTCTTCAAGAGGACGTATGTAATTAAGGGCTATGCATTCAATCTGAGAAAACTAAGTGCTTAATTATGGAGTAGGAGAATCAGGCTCAGAAACATTCTCAAGTATACGAGTGGGGGTGGAGTGAGGCAGAACTGCAAGAAGAATCATGCACTGAACATGCTGTATGCTAAGCACAATGGGAAAATTCACCAACAACGTATCTATTCAAGACCCACACAAATACCCGGAGAGGAAAGTAGTATTCTCAACTCCATTATACTGAACACGAAACTGAGGCAACAGATAGAGACTTGCCCAAGTCACACAACTAGTAGATGGCAGAGTTGCTTCTCTCTCTAAACCTGTCGTCTTTTTTTAAAAAAGTAACATATGGCTGCTCAAAAAAGTATGAATTTTGGTTGCACTAATGGAAACACGGCAGTCAGGAGCAGGAAAGAGAGTACTGTGTAATGTCAAGGTCAGTCTGCAAATGGAACAGCATGTCTGATCTGGTCCCCAGGGTGTCAGGGGAAAATTAGCTAAGGGATAGATGTCAGAGAACAAGGCCTGGAACACTAGTCAATGGGGAAAGATTTGACAGTGTTTGGGATGTGTCTGCCCATCTTGAGTTGCCAAGATCCTAACTACTATACTGTGTGGTTGGATTTCAAAGAAACGACTGCAGAGGTCTGGGAAGGTTCTCTGGAAGAGGCAGGACTGGTGATGGATCATGGAGGATGGGCAGGATTTGAAGAGGCAAAGGTGGCCAGCATGTCAGAGGTGGAGAGACAGGAATGATCATGAGGAGTGGTGGGGTGGGACCAGACTGTGAAGGTCTGGAATACTGTTTTAGGAGTTCAGCCTCAAGCCAGTGGTCTTTCTCATCTCGATCTCTAATGTTCCTGCCTAAAATACGACTTTCTCTCTACTTCTGGCCTCAGTAGAAACAGATGGAAGCTGTGCAAATTCATGGACATCAGACTAGCCACTTCTGCCTGCCCAGAAAATGCTCCCTGAGAATCCTGAAAGAGGCCTGAGAAAAAGCTCAGTATAACCTCTCTCCTGGGCAAGAATCCAGATTTTGTCTAAACTAACTGGCCCAGGATCTCTGGAAAGGCTGGCTATAAGGGGAACCCACAGACCTCATAGGTACCTGAATGCTGGGGATGAAGAGGGAAAAGTGCAAGCTTGGCTAAGCGGGGAGTCCCTGGTGTCCAACAGAAACAGGGAGCTGAGAGTGTGGGTATCTGAGGAAGTGAAGATATTGAAACGGCAAAGGCTAGACTTGTGAATACTGTGTGGACATGTGTGTACGTGTTAGGGCAGGGGTGACAGCAGTGACGTGAAAGGAGCCGTGTTCTTCTAAAAGTTGGCTAAATTAAGAGTCTAGGTTGGAAACAAGTTGAGCATGAACTGAGTTCAAGCTTCATGGGGTATTTGGGGAGGGAGATGTACCCAGACATCCCCCTACGTGGGTTCTGCAGGGTATCATGTACCTGGGGTTCTGATCCTGCCTTTTCTTTTAAGGTAGCATCCCAGCCCACAGAGAGCTGCACACTGCTGGGCTGTGCAGTACAAAAACACCATGGAGAATGAGGAATTGAATTATGCCTGGGGCCACTGTTCCCCGCTTCTTTTCTAAGAATGCACCTGGGAGAGAGCTCTTTATAATGCCAGGCAGACTTCACTGCACAGCTGTCCCTGGTCAATTCTGCCCGACCTAGGGCATGAGTCCGGGGTGGGCTTGATGTGGGTCCCCTGTGAAACAGGTGAAATGCCAACCATTAAGCAATTCCAACTCTGGATATTTCTAATAATATCTGAAGAGAAAAACAGCCAAGCAGATGGAGTCTGACAGAATGAAAAATGGTGGCAGCTAGGAAGGACTGGAGAAGGCGGGCCCTAGTGTTTGTGGTTGGCAGGGTGGCCGAGGACCAAGGCTATGGGCCTTGAGGATCCCGTCAGGCCAGAGTAGAGGCTGGGACAGAGACCTGCATGGGCCCACGTGGGAGGTGGCCATAGTTGTTGTTGCTCTCACTGTGGCCAGCAAATGTATTTACAACTGACTCACTTCAACATTTCATTGTTGTCTATAAAGAACTTCTGTAGACATAATTTCATTTCAGCCTTGTGAGGTAAGCAGAACAGGGGACTTGATTTCCATTTTATAGGTGAGGAAACATGCACGCAGAAGTTAGGTGACCTGCTTAAGGTTACAGGGGGAAGAAACAAAGACCCTGGGCTTTACCCTCAGTTCTGGCTTAGCCTGAGCCTGCGCTGTACTATGGGAGCTTAGAGGAAGGTCAGCTCTCCTCCTCTGACTCTCCGCTGCCACAGCACCTCCTCACACCCTGACTCCTTGGAAAACGTTCTCTGTAGTCTTCCAATCTGGCCTGCTCAGCCATTCAGCACATGGCCTCAGGAGCCCCTGTCCCCTAACCCTGTCTTGGTCACTGCTCTTGGGCTAGAGATGGTGTCAGGGCCCTCTGCACAGGCAGCCTGGCTCCCTTCTCTGGCCAGTCCCATCGCCACAAGCTCCAGGCAGGCTGCTCTGCCTCCCAGCAGGTAGTGCCGGGTGCCCACCTGGCTTGTGTTCTGCTTTCTCCTGGCCATGCTTGTCACTACTGGACCATCTGAAAACTCACCTGCAACAGCTCTTTTTGATTCACTCCACCACACCACATCTAGCCATTAACTTGCAGGTCTGTATTCTCTGGCATGCATTCATCTACCGGGTGGTATAGTGGAGAGGGCAGGAGTTACAGGATCTAGCATGGAGTCCCGCCTCTGTCACTTACCAGCTGACTGACTTTAAATAAAACACTTATTCCTTTAGAGCCTCCGTTTCTTCCTCTATAAAATGGGAACAGTCACATATACTGTGTCAGCCCCACATGCAGATTAAACAAGTTAATGGTGATGAAAGCAATTTGTAAGTGGCGAGGAGTGGGATAACAATAAGAGTAAAAATAATGGTAGTCATAGCAGCAGCAATGGTAGTTACCATTAGCTTTGGTATTTTACAGTAACTCTTTCATCCTCCTAATAATCCTGATAAGTAGGTGTTATCTCCATTTTACACAGGATACCGAGGCTCAGAGACGGGCAGTGTAAGGTGTTTCATCTACCTGTGCCCTTGTGTCTGGCAGGGAGGGTGTGCCCCCAATCTGACCATATTCCATGGGAGCAGGTGCTGGGTGTCCTGGGTGCCCTATTTTCTGAGGACCCCTGAGACTAGCCCAACACTGGTTTAATACTTGCTGACTAAATGAATTATTGGTCTTTCTCAAATTGCAAGGGAGAAAGAACAGGTACTTCAACTCATTTTACAGAGAAGAGGAGAAGAGTAAGGCCTAGACTTGAGTCTCTTAGTGCCCCAGGTAGTTACTACCACTCTTGCATGAAGAAGGCTTCCACTTTCTTCTAAATCCTTCTCCAGGAAGCCTTATGTATTTGTTTAGCAAAAAAGCTCTGTGCTAGGTGCGGCGGCTCTCACAAAGAGGCCTCAAAAAAGGTGCGTGCCATAGAGGTAAAGGCTGCTATGAAAACTGTGGGCTCCAAACGGGATGGGTGCACAGAGGGAAGTATGGGAAGAGCCATTTGTGCTGGCCTGACATTTGTGCTTGAAGGGTGAGAGGGAGATTGCCAGCCACTTGCAGGTATGATGGGACATTCCAGGAAGAAGGCCCCAGTGTGTGTACAACCAAAAAGGCAAGAGCGGCCTCCTCCTTCCACCCCAGGCCTTTGTTTCTGTCCAGCTCAAGGTTCTAGGGCAGTCTGGGTGGGCTGACTTACCTTTCTTGATAGGTGCCAGGGATATAGTGTGGGAGGTTTTTTATAACCTAATCTGGAACATGTTTGTCACATGTCTGTGGCATCTCCTAGTGGGAACCAGTCCTTCAGAGGGACTCTCATGGTTGAGAGTCATACAAATGTTTATCAGCAATTGCCTGACAACTGCTTGTAGGTTCAAGGAACATGGTAAGTACTCGACAGGTGCCTACTGAGTGGATACTGATGCCTTGGGTTTGGTGGATCATGAAAGAGCTCTCTTCTTAGTCCTTAGTAAGGATTATTCTTTCTGCAGGCAAACTATTGCTGCCAAGTGGTTAACAACTTAAAAATGCAAGTAGTAGCTTCTTACAAGACCTAACATTGTGCGTGAGCTCAGGCTTCATTCACTGAGTTCAACAACTTTTTATACACCTGTGTGCCCAACCTTACAGAAAAAGAGCTGGTGTGCAGTAGCTCTGGACTTTTGGAGGGAGAAAGACATACAAACATAGTAGATAACATGTGATAAAGGTATTCCTAGGAATCCCAGGGAACGAGCCCTGAATCCAGGAGGACTGAGGAGGGCAACCTGCAGAAGGCCTAGGTCTCTTCTTTTTTAAATGGGTATTTGTGGGGTACATGAGATATTTCGATATAGGCATACAATCCATAATAATTACATCAAGGTAAATGAGGCATCCTTCACCTCAAGCATTTATTATTTCTTTGTGTTACAAACATTCCAATTATACTCTTTCAGTTGCTTTAAATGTATAGTAAAGGGCCTAGGTCTTGAATGTCTCAGCAGACAACGTGGAAGGGCAGGGCAGTCCAGCAACGAGAAAGCACAGCAAATGACTTCAGAAGTAACATGATGTGGGGTGGAACTGCAAGCAGTTTTGTAAGTTAATCACTACAACTCCACAACCCAGGGATGACCTAGATGTATTTCTCAGATGAGGATTCAAAGGGAGAGTCCAGAAGGGTGCAAAGCTTGGGAAGATTATGTTTTTGGGCTGGTCAAAGAGGGAAGTGAAGCATGAGATCTGGTGGTGTGCCGTGGTGGCCATACGCAATCCTTCTGTAATATGGAATATGCGTCATACTCTGGCAGAGCCGAACACATGAGGTGGCAGAGCTTCCCCAGGGGAGCATGTGGCTTCAGAGGGTCAACCGGGACTAGGTGGACGGAAGCTCGGGACAGGTTCCTGGTCAGAAGGAGCTCCGAGAAAGCTGCCGGGTATGTGCAGGCTGACCTGCTGCCCAGGAGAGGCTTCTTAGAGCAGGTCTGGGGAATAGCCTGCCCACCCCAGGGGTCAAAGGTCAAGGAGTATGGCTGTAATAAGCTATTCTATAGTTGTATTCCCAGTATGCTGTGGGCTACTAGAGAGCAGGTGTTGCAGCTTCTCTGTTTTACCTCAGGGTACATCCTAGAGCCCATGAGGGCCTGGGCTCTGGGGCCATTCCCTAGAGATGGACAAGGGGCCAGACCAAATTCTTTAATTTAACAAACTGCACTAAGCATCTACTTTGAGCAGGGTGCTGTGCCAGGAATTGGGAGCACAAAAACGATTAAGTCATGTTATCTCCCCTCAAGCAGCCTGCAGTCAATTGCTCCTGAACTGAGTTAGGCTAAGTAAAAACCAGCCAGTGTGTCGGCAATGGGCTGGGGTGGGGTGGGGGAAGGGCCAGAAGGGAAGGATTGCAAGCAGAGAGGGTGGCAGACAAATGCAGGCAGGAAATCGACAGAGTATGTGCAGAGAGGCAGAGGCAGGCCATTGTGGCTGGTGCATGCAGCACAAAGCAGGGAGCAGCAGGAGCAGGCCTGCATGCCAGGTTAGGGCAGCAAGGAACATGCAAAGGTTTTAAACAGGAGTGGTACTGTTAGATACGTGTTTTGCAAAGATCACTCCAACTGGTGAGAACTGATTCTAGGGGAAGGAAGGGAGGCAGGGACACCAGTGAAGGAGCTGCCTGGTTCAGATAGGAGACGTGGACACCCTGAGTTAGGGCAGTGGTATTAGGAAGAGAGTGGAAAGGCCAGGTGTTTGATCCTTCATTGGCTGTAAGGGGTGAGGGGGAGGGAGGGGCCAAGGAAGCATCTGAGTTTCTATTTAAGAGACCAGTGAATGTGGTCTCTACACAGATCAGAACACAGGAGATGAGCAGGCTGGGGAGGGGGAGGAGTCTGGTTCTGTATGTGCTGAATAGATAGCTGGTTGCCTTTCTGAGGAGCATGGTGGGGCTTAGAGGTGCTGAGCTCCCAGGAAGTCTGCCCAACAGGGCAGGCAGCCTCCCTTCCTCAGGATCGAGAGCAGCTCTGGATTCTGGAAGGAGAGCCTCACTTTCAATGCCAAGGCTCTGGCTTGCAGGTTGTCCTGGTTTGGCTCCAGTGGCCCTAGACCAGAGAGGCCATGGGGGCCTGAGCTGTGAGGCTGACGCTTTATCTCCTCCGTTTGTAAGGTGGTAACTGTGCGCCAGCCTTGCTAGAGGCCCTGCAGCTGGGGATCACACTGATAAATTCACTGTATTACTTTGCACAAATCAATATCCCAGCACTTACCAGGGGTTGATGTGACCGAAATTGGTTTCAGCCAATTCGTGAGGGTAATAAATGGCCATTTATCAAATCAATTCATTCTGCGGCACTTCTCTGGCTGCCCATCCTCATGGTACCCATGGGGTGCCAGGCTCCATCCAGCCAGTCCCTACCACACATGTGACACTAGCTTGGAGAACTCAGGGAGGCCTGGCCTAGCCTCTAGATCTGCCTCACTCTCCTGGACCTGCTTCAGTTTGAGGTCCCGAGGTGTTGGGTGCTGCTTGCCTACCATAAGTTCTGACCCAGAGAGTGCTTCATGCTTCAGCTGGGCTGGCAGTTGCAACCACCGGGCTGCCTTATTCCCTCATGCTTGGGTTTAGAAGCCTCTGGGAGCTAGTCACAAGGACTGGGCATGGCTCTGAACATTATCATTGTGATCCCCAGCTGCAGGGCTTCTCAGCAAGGTGGATGCAGTAACTTCCTTACAAATGGAGGTTAAAAAGCACCAACCCCTCAATCCAGGCATACCACACGACCAGGTAGGGCCTTCCTGGGGCAGTGGTATTTTAAACTTCAGCTGAGTGTCAGAATCACCTGAAGGGCCTGTTAACATACAGATCCCAGAATTTTTGATTCCACAGGTATGGAATAAGCCTGAGATCTGATTTTTAACAGGTTCCCAGAAGATAGTGATGCCGCTGGTCCAGAGACCATGCTTTGAGAACCACTGTGTTGGGGGATACACCTTTGTCTTGGCCTGGCCTGGGGTTCCTCTTCCCTTGCCTCATCTATCTGAAATCAAGCCCAAGGAGTGGTGCTCCAGAGTCGGAGAACAAAGATGAGGCCACTGTATTCAGCAGAACCTTAGTTTTAATTATCTGCTCGTTGGGTCTGCACAGGCAGGAGGGCCATTACATTAGGGATTACACCAGAGGGCAGTCTGGCTCCCAGGGATCAAAGTATGGAAATAAGAGCTTCATGGGTGGAGAAGACACTCAAAAGTTGCTCAGGATATTTTCTATAAAATTAGGCCAGCTGCTGACAAACTATCTGGAAGTGACAGAAGAGTCCCAAGTTGACAGATGGGGACATAAGTTCTGGCTCAGCTGCTACATTGCTAGTGACAGACAAGCTCCCATCCCTCTCTGGGTCTCAATTCTCCCACTTGAAAAATGGAGTTGAGGGTAGCGGACCAGATGACGGTCAGAGTTAAATTCTATGCATAGGAAAGCAGCCTCGAGCAAGTGATTTAGGTATTCTGTGTCTTGGCTTCCTCAGCAGTAAAATGGGATTTAGCAGTACCAACCTCAGAGGATTGCCATGAGGATTAAATGACACATGACATGCAGAGAGCTTATAACAATGTCTGGCATGTAGATAGTACTCAACAAATGCTAATTTTTAATATTATTAACAGCGCCTATCCAGTTTGGTGACGACAGGATGTACCCCTCAAAGGGCACCACTCTGCCCTTTCTGGTGTCCCACACACTCACCAGCACCCACTGTGGCGATGGCGCTCTCCTGGCCAATGATGTGCTCCTTTAGTCGCTGCTCCAGGGGGAAGCGGCGCCGCTCCTCAGCCTCACGCTTCCGCTGCTTCTCTTGGTACTGTGGGGAGAGAGGGCAAATGGTTGAGGGCTGCCGGGCCCATAGCACCATAGCTTCACTCTATCCCCCAACTCGGGGAAAACACAGGTCTGGGTATCCAGGGGTCCTGCTTCATAGCTGTGGTTCATGGTCACTGGAGGCTGGTCCAGCCCTTTCCACTCTCCACTCAGGTGGCTGCCGCTCAGGGGTCTCGGCTCACTCTGCTGGTAGAGTAAGTACTACTAGCAGATTAACCGTGGCTCTGGAGTCTGACAGAAGACCTGGGTCCAAGCCCAGCTTTATCACTTATGAGATGTGCTTATCACCTGGAGCAAGTTATTTCACCTCAGTTTTCTCATCAGCAAATTGGGGATTAAATATTAATATGATGATGTATGTAACAGGCCTAGCATCATGCTTGGCATGGAATAAATGCTTAATAAGTATAAATTCCTTTCTCTTTCCTCTTGAAAAACGTTTTGCTCAAAAGAGAGCTATGAACACCCTCCATTTCAATTATGCTGCATTTCAATTAAACATAATTATTCAGCAGTTCTTGCATGCCCAGCCTTGTGCATGGCCATGATGAAAGGGTGGGGCAGAGGAAGGAGGACTGTGCCCCGTTGCCTGGGAGGTTCTAGTTGATGCTGAGGGTCTGGCATGTCTGGCCCTGGGCTTCATCCACTTCACAAAAGGCAGCAGGAGAAGCCTAAGCTTGGTTGCCCGCACAGAAGAGGAGACCCGGGCTTGCCCTCAGGCAGCTCAAAGTCAGGAGATGAGGCATGGCCTGCACACAAATACTTCGCAACCATTTTCCTCAAGGGTCCAAAGCATGAATGTTTATCTCTAGCACTGTATCTTTCACTAAAAACACAAAAACCTACTTGAAAACAAGTTTGGTGAATATAAGTCTGTCCTCTAAATCAATTATGAGCTCCCCAAGGACAGGCCCTATCTTTGACTCACTGCTATTTCTAGCATGGGTCCTGGCATAGTGGGGCATCTGGTGAGTGTTTGCAAAAATGACAAAGAGGAGAGAATTAACAGCTAGATGGGGTGGTGTAGGAGTAGAGAAAGGAAAGACACATAAGTGTGGAACATCTGTTGGGGGGCTTTCTGGGGAACAGGAGGCTTGAAGAAGCTGGAGGAAGACTGGGCCAGGAGGGAGCCGTGGGACTGTCTGGAGAACAGGCAAGGAGGGGTGAGGGCAGGGACCTGATGGTAGAGTATTTGTGGAGGTTGGGAACTGGAGGGGAAGGAAGCAGATCTTGAAATGGAAAGGAATGACCAGGTCTTCAGGAGGCTCCTTTCCCCCAAGCCTGTAACACTAACATCTTTCTGGAAAGAGAGCTGTCAAAGTCAGGCCCTGTCACAAAAGTTGTGGTTGCAGATTGCTCTTGCGGGCAGAGTGGATAAAAAATACCTACTGCTTGGGCAGTGTTTTCCTGTTACAGTAGTGACCTTGACAGAAGTTAAAAAAAATAAATAGCAAACAATCCAATTTTGGCTGTTGCTATCAGTCTATAACTGAAAGCTCCCATCAGTCCTGGGGTTTCATATGGAGCAATAATTCGGCGCCAATCCCAGTGGAGTGACACTTGCCGGTTGGAATCCAGAGTGTCACTGTGCAGCTCCCTCAGGCGCCACATACATCACTTGGCTCTGCCGACTTCAGCCATAGATCTGCTTTTTCCTCCTCCCTGCCCACCCAGCCCCGCTCAGCACTTAGGTCCACTGGGCTGGAGGCTCTGATGGTGAGATGCATACATACTGGCTGGGACAGTGCTGACTTGCAGTCGGGCAGGCCATGGAAGGAGCCTGAAGGGATGGAAGCTGGCTTGCAAGGGTTTGTTGGGTCAGTTTCCTCACTTCCCTTCAGTGATGAGTTCCAGAGTATGCCTGCCTCTGGGCCTTTGCTGACACTATTACCCTACTACAAAGGTCTTCTCTCTTCCCACCAACCTCCAATGTGGTACTGTCTAGGGAGTCTGTTGTAAGGCTTTGTGCCTACCCCAGACCCTGGGACCTCTGGTACACTTAAATAACTTCCTGTTTGTCTCTCCTTCCTGGACCATGAGGTCACTGGTTACAAGACCATGTTTATTTCTCTCTATAGTTCCAGTGCCTAGCAAAGGGCCTGGCTCACAGCAGGCGTCAATTTGTGTTACTAACTGAATAAATGTGACTACCGTTTGTGGAATGGCTGCTGTATGCCAGGCACTGTACTCAGCACCTTATACACAGCATCTGCTTTAATTCTTTCAGCTGTCTCCATCTGAGGTTTGGCTCTTCTTTTGGCTCACAGTGAGGCAAGTTGTGTACAAAAATATGCTTTGCTCCAGACAGACCTGAGTTCACCCCTCAACTTCATCTACTTCCTAGCTAGCTGACCTTGGGGAAGTTAAGCTCCCAGAATCTTAGTTTTCCTCATTAAAACGCAGGATAGTATTCATAGTTTTAGCCTGTAGGATCCTTGTGGAATGCCACAAGGTGAGGATTAAATGAGATAATGCATTAATATATAAGTTCTTAGCAGAGTCTCTGGCACATAGCATTAAGAGGTAGTCTGAGTGACCAAAATGGCTACCTTCTACCTAACCCTTATTAAACCTTTGATAAATGTGACTCCTCTTCTCCTTCACTGCATTTTGATAACAGACTGTCTAATCTAGTGCCTTTTTGTTTTTGGTACTGGAATCCTTTAACTAATTTAATTGTGGGTGGAATTCCACAGATAATAAGAAGAGTTACCCTGGCTCAAGCCGAAGCCATGAGCCGAGTCCACTTGGTTGCTACCACTGCCCCAGAGGCGGCTCTCGAGGCTCCATCTCTAGGAACCCTAGGTCTGCAGGGTGCAGTCTCAACACTCACCCGGCTCTAGAGGTGCCTCCACTGCCTGAGGTGGCTCATCTTTGCTGTCAGTTTTCCTTACGTGATAGAGAATTCCACCTCTGGGTACCTTCCATCCATTGGTCTGTGGGGCCTCACATAACGTATCTTTTCCCTTTGCCACAGGCAAAGTCTAACATAACTTTTCTTTCCACTTTGTTGATTTGGGTATGACCAGTGTGGCCTCCCTGAGTCTTCTCTGGGGAAACACTTCTACTTCCTGTAACTCTTCTTCAGTGTCATGGTTTTAGGTTGTTTGGTATTCCTGTTTATTTCTTGGGCAAAGGAAAGGACTCCTTGACTTCTATGGAGGTGACAGGTGGGGTGGGGAGAGTTATACCGTGAACTGGTTAGTTTTCCAGGAGCTTTCTAGATGGTCTTGGGAAAGATTCAAACCATGGCCTAAATTTCAGTACATTCTGATTCTCCCCAGCCTGGAGTCCCAGATATCTATGCCAATTCACTAAAACCTCAGAAAATGGATCAGACTTCTTGATAAAAATGTAAAGGACACTGAGATTAAGCCAGGCAGGCAGAAGATTACTGCTTCATGCTCTTTTCACAATGCTTAGCACAGAGTTTGTGCTAAAAAACATATGAAATGAATGACTGACTTCTTTTATTTTATATATATATATTTTTTGAGACAGAGTCTCACTCTGTCGCTGAGGCTGAGTACAATGGCACTGTGTCGGCTCACTGCAACCTCCGTCTCCTGGGTTCAAGCAATTCTCCTGCCTCAGCCTCCCAAGTAGCTGGGATTATAGGCACCCACCACCACGCCCAGCTAGTTTTTATATTTTTAGTAGAGATGGGGTTTCACCATGTTGGCCAGGCTGGTCTTGAACTCCTGACCTCAGGTGATCCACTCGTCTTGGCCTCCCAAAGTGCTGGGATTACAGGCGTGAGCCACCGCTCCCGGCAATGATTGACTTGTGCCCAGCCTTGTGAAAGGCTAGCCAGTGGAGTAAACTAGAGAAGGAAAAATACTTGAGATATATATATATATTCTATTTGGAGAAGAGGAGAAAGAAGGATGGGAGGAGCTTGGTAAGGGCTCTATAAATACTATTGTTCCTGTCTTTGAGGAGATGGGGAGGAAGGCTACAAGACGAGTTCAAGGCTCTGCTCTGATAGGGATCCACTAGAGAAGAAGAGAAGGCAGGAATTCAGCCTGCAGAAGCAGAGGGCACTGAGCTGAGAGGCACCGTAAAGGAGCCACCCAGGAGAGCAGGAGTCGGGGAGTGAGCATCTTCTTAATAAAAGCCACACACAATTAGCTTCAGAAGCCCTCACCTGGAGCCATCAGCGACCAGCTTCCCATGCTGCATCTTGGCTGGGTAATTGCAGTCACTGGTTTCCATCAGTCTTGATTTAATATGGCACCCCTCCTGGCTGTGAGTGCATTTACAGGAAAGGGCTGGGAGGCCGAGGCGAAGCCTAGCTGGGCTCGCTTTGCTTAGAGGTGGGTGGCTGGGCTGAGTGGCTCTGCGGGGGAGGGTTACAGAAGGGATATGGCAGGCATCCCAACTGTTGGGCATCCCTCAGGGCAGAGGTCTGACAGTGAATCTGCCAGTGTGTTCACTGAGGGGGCAGCTGGAGTAGGCAGAACAAGACCCTGGGCAAGAATGGGAAGGTAGGTATGGAGGGGGAAGAGAAGAGAGGCCAAGCTGCAGTTTGCCTCTCAAGGGGAGGTCAGGCCTATAGAGTCCACCTGCTACTCATAGATAAACTCGGGTATGCCCCATACTCCTGAATCCCTGACTCAGATGGTGACTCATATCACAGTCGGGGCTTCTACCATGTCCTGAAATGGTATGACATAGAGGCCTGGGAAGGGAGGTCAACAAAGGGAACAAGGGGGTAACAGATGAGATGGTGGGGGTGGGGATGACGATGGAGAAAGCCTGGTGGAGGGGAATGATAAAAGAGGAGCCCAGGAGTGCCAACAAAGAAGTCTAGGGGATGCAGAGCAGATGGGAACACAAGACTGGGAGATGAGAGAGGCACACAAGGAATTTGAAAGTCTCTTAAACTAGTCCACAAAGGACACATCCCTGTAGAGGAAGGCCGAAAACAAAGCAGGTGTCAGCCCCTTCACACTTGGTAATCACTAGGTCGGCATCCCAGATTCCATTCTCCTCTCTTCCAGTCCATCCTCCTTTTGCTGCTAAAGCCAATATTTTAAACATGTAAATCTGATCATGTCACTCCTCTGCAAATAGCTAGGTGGATCAGAGACAAGACTGATGAGAGAAGGTTGAGGGGCAAAGAGTGGCTAAAGTGAGAAAATGAGTTTGTGCTCGTCTCAGGTGGAACTCCTGACCTCAGGTGATCCACCCGTCTTGGCCTCCCAAAGTGCTGGGATTACAGGTGTAAGCCACTGCGCCCGGCAATGACTGACTAAATTTTAAAGACATGAGCCATGTGCCCAGCCTTGTGAAAGGCTAGCCAGTGGAGTAAACTAGAGAAGGAAAAATACTTGATATGTATATATTCTATTTGGAGGAGAGGAGAAAGAACGATGGGAGAAGCTTGGTAAGGGCTCTATAAATACAGGCTACTACAGGCATCATATCAGAGACGTGTGATGTTGATTTATCTCATAACTGGTAGTCTTAACTTCGATCACTAGGTTAAGGTGGCGGCTGCCAGGTTTCTTCACTATTTTTTTTCCCTTTGTAATTAAAAAGTATCTTGTGGGGAGAGACTTTGACACTGTGTAAATATCCTGTTACTCCTCAAACTTCAACTCATTAATTTTAGCACTCACTGATTTGGGACTGGGTGTTTTAATCCTCATAGCCCTATGAAGTTGATAGTATCATCATCCCCATTGTACAGAGATTAAGTACATTCAAGCAAGGTTCTACTGGCAGCGAGTATAGAGACAGAACAGTAACCCTTGTAGTCTGATTCCAAAGCCTGCACCGTCCACCTGGAGATAAGGAAAGACTTGCCTTCAGGGAGTTCAGTCTGTTTAGGAAGATGAGACTTAAAACAGAAACTTTCTATCTGTTAGAAGTATTAATGCTTCTAGTAAAGGGCAACTTGATACATTTATTGAAAATAAACCCCACAGGGTGTTCTTGCCAGAAATGCATAATCTGAGTTTAATCACAATGAAACAGCAGATAAACCCAAATTGAGGGACATTTTACAAAATAACCAACCTGCACTTGTTAAAATGTCAAGGTCGGCTGGGCGTGGTGGCTCATGCCTGTAATCCCAGCACTTTGGGAGGCCGAGGCGGGCAGATCATGAGGTCAAGAGATCGAGACCATCCTAGCCAACATGGTGAAACCTCGTCTTTACTAAAAATACAAAAATTAGCTGGGCGTGGTGGTGGGTACCTGTAGTTCCAGCTACTCTGGAGGCTGAGGCAGGAGAATTGCTTGAACCCAGGAGGCGGAGGTTGCAGTGAACTGAGATCACACCACTGCACTCCAGCCTGGTGACAGAGCGAGACTCCATCTCAAAAAAAAAAAAAAAAAAGTCAAGGTCATAAAAGTCAAGGAAAGACTGAGGAACCATTCCAAATTATTATGTTTTATTTTTCTTTTTGATTTCCACATCATAACGTTTGGACCATTCCAGATTAAAGAAGGTTAAAGAGACATGACAACCGAATGCAACTTGGATTTTGAAACTGTCTTTTCTTGTAAGGAGAATTATTAGGACAACTTGTGAGATAGGAATAACATCTGTAGATTAGTTAATATCAATATTAATGCCCTGATTTTGATGATTATACTGAGGTTCTGTAAGAAAATGTCATCTTTTTTTAGGAAATACATACAAATATTTAGGGGTAAAGGAGCATCATGTGTAAACTTATTCTCAAATCATTGAGAAAAAAATTATATATATATCCTTATATGTATTATTTATGTACATAAATAATAAAGCAAGTATGATAAGATGTTAATAGTTGGGAATCTAGATGAAGGATTTATAGGAATTAATTGTACTATCTCTAAAATTATGCAAAAATAAAAGTTAAAAATATCAGGATAATGCCTACCCTTGGGGGATGAGTCTGGAAGGGAGTCTGAGGCAGGCTTTTGGGGTGCTTCTAATAGTCTGTTTCTTAATAAGGTGTGTCTTGTATGTGAAAATACAGTGATCCATACATTCCTGATATGTGTATCTTATACAAGTATATTTCAATAAAAAGCTTTTAAAAGTTAAAAAAAAGGCCAGGCATGGTGGCTCATGCCTATAATCCCAGCACTTTGGGAGGCCGAGGTGGGTGCATCACTTGAGGCCAGGAGTTTGAGACCAGCCTGGCCAACATGGTGAAACCCCGTCTCTACTAAAAATACAAAAATTAGCCAGTTGTGGTGTGGCCCCTGTAATTCCAGCTACTGGGGAGGCTGAGGCAGGAGAATCGCTTGAATCTGGAAGGCAGAGGTTGCAGTGAGCTGAGACCGTGCCCTGCACTCGAGCCTGGGCGACACAGCAAGACTTCATCTCAAAAAAAAGAAAAAAATAAAAATAAATAAAAGTTAAAAAAAGGGAAAGAGAAAGTTGGTCCCTAAAAAGCACTTAGCACTGTATCTGGCCCATACCATAGTAAGCCACAGGGCCAAGTACAGAGCCAGGCACATGGCAAGCTGGCACCTGTAATGAGAGGCAAAGCAGAGAATGGGTTGAGTGAGGCCAAGGGGAGGAAGAACATAATCCTCCTACCCTCCTGTGTGCTCCCCCTCTCTCCTCCTGTAGGGCTGCACTCAGCTCTGAGAGGAGCACCCAGGCTCTCAGCCTGGAATGCGGGCCCAGGGGAGCATCACATCCCCAGCTACCCCTGAAGCAAATGAAAAAATATAGATAGGAAATGTGCTTGTGATCCTGTCACTGGGATATGCAAATAAAATATATAGGATAGGCCTATCTGCCTAATATTCCTGCCGATGCATTCTTTGGGTGTGATTAAAATGAGCAATAAATTCCTCGTGAGTCTCGGTGCAGTGAGGATTGGGAGTGGAGATGCAGGCTGGCACGAGCACGTTCCCCTCAGCTGAATATTCATCATGGGATAGCTCCACATATTTTTGTTTTATCTGCTATCATGTCAACAGAGATATATTTCTACCTCTCCTTCATCTCTTAGTTAAGACATGAAAATGGTCCTGGCTTTAAGTATTAAACTCTCCATCTATTGAAATCCTTCAAGGTGAGATTACAGGCTACCTCCTCTTTGAAGCCTGCCCTGCTCTCTCTGCCAGGAGGTGATCCACGCTTTCTTGGAGACTCTACCAACTCTGCGAACCCTCCTAAGACAAATCAGTCTGCAGGTATCAGAGCTAAGAGTGCCTGCCTCTCCCCCAGCCAGATGGCAAACTCAGGGACAGGGGCTGGGCCTCATCACCTCTGGATATTCTCAGGGGGCCTAAGGAGGCTTCGGCGCACAGAATGCTGAGAGAACTGAGGAAGCCAACAGTGAGGGACACATCATTCAGACCACTTAAGGTGACAGAGATTCTAGGGTAAATGATGCATTTTAAAGGGCAGAATTAAATAAAAAATTAGGCTTATGGATAATTTTAAATGGAAAAATCACCAATAATATTAAGTGAATAAAAACCAAATTCCAAATATAGAATAGGATTGTAACTCCTTCAGGGCCAAGTAGGAAACAAAAGTGTCTGATAATCGAGGACATAATATAAGAGGGAATGGGGGGCCCTGTGGCTGGACAGTGCACACTCCCAATCCCCAAGGCATTACCTTCACATTTTTGGAAAACTCTGGGTGGCTATATAAAATGCGGCTGCCAGTCTGAGACTCCTGGTATATATGGTGGACTGTCAACCACATTTTTTACAAAAAAGGCCATCTATATAACTATACATAGATATGATCCAGAGAAGGCTAATACAGTATCATAAGAGGAAACCTATTGTTCAATTCCTAATAGTCACTTATAACAACTTGGTTTTCTGTAAATCATCTGCTTGCTTTCCTGCAGCTTTAGTTTTCCCATCTGAAACAGGGGTAACAAGAACTACTTCACAGATTTGCTACAGGGTTAGAAAAATATGTATTTGAGCACCTGGCACACTACCTAGATGCATTTGATAAAAACAGTATATATCATTGTTATAATTAATTAAAAATATTAATAGTGGTTATGTCTTGGTAGGAGGGCTAGAGTCTTTGAATTAAATTCAGCTCAGTTGTCATCTCTTCCAGGAAGTCTTCCTTGATAAGTCATACCACTGATGACTCAGTGGTGTCATGGTTTACTTGCCTGTCTCCCTATCAGACTATAGCTCCTTGAGTGTTTTACTCATCAGTCTTCTTCCCATCTAGCCCAGAACCTGGCACATAGATGTCATTCATAAATATGTACTATATTATTTATTTCTCTTCATTTTACTTTTCTGTATCTCTAAAACTTCTATAATGGGACATACAACTTTAATACAAGTTTTCTATGAGCATAATTTGACTACAGAGTGGTAGGTGGAGGTGGAGGAGGCTGAGCAGGGTGGCAGGGGGATGCTGAGCAGAGAGAAGGGGAGCCAGATAAGATCAGAGTGACAGCAACCCATGTCTAGACAAAGAGCCAGGAGATGGGGCCCAGGCTGGAGCTTCAGCAGCCTCCAGGCCTGAGTCATTATGTTACAGATGCAGGGCCTGAACTCAGAGGCAGCTGCTTCTTACTTACTGGCAGAGGGAGAAGAAACCAGGTCTAAAATGGTGTTCTTCCCACAAAAGCCTGCCTCACAATTTTGAAGAGGAAGCTTTTTGCAGTTTGGAGGAAAAATGCAGAACAGAATGAATGGGTGACCAAGTAGATGCTGAACAACTCAGAGAAAGCCAATGCCGTTGGCATCCAGGGAGGGCTGAGGGGTGCTTCACATAGGTAGAATCTGATGGGACAGCAAAGCAATTAGGTGGAGATGCTCAGTGGACACATTCAGAATGGAGAAAGTCCAGACTGGATGAAGGGATCAAGTGCACAGAGTGACAACGGATGAAATGATCTTCCAGCTGAGAGCTAGGGAATCCCTGGACTGGCTCCAAGTGGTCTTCTTAGCCTCTAAGGCAGCCCCTCCATGGTGGGACAGCTGTGTTAGGGGCTCTTCCCTGAAGCTGCTGCCCAATAAGCCTAGCCACTCTGGCTCTGCCATGGAATAAATCTCACTCCCTCTCACTCAGAGCTGTTTCTATGCTCTTCCTCTTCTGGCCAGATGCCCTATTACCATCAGCTTTCTCTCATGGCATAGTTCCTCCTGCCACCCTACTGCCCTTTTCTGCACAGATTCTAAGAGATCAATGTCTACTTCGAATATGGTGTCTGTAATTGCCCTCCATGCTCCAGAAGGGTCTGACTGGCACAGGGGATTGCAACTGCCATTTGTTCACTCTGGACATTAGCCCTGTAATAATGTGGCCAACTTCAAGCCACTTCCCTTGGGCAGCTAAATTTTGTGAAGGGTCCCTCAGTGGGCCTAACCCCTCCACCAGCGCTGGCACTAAGGGGCCTGTTCTCTTGCTTCAGTGGCCAGACCAGTACCTGCTCTATGTCACACAAGCTCAAAAGCTACAGGTACTCTTGGCCAAGTCTAGGGCTGGTCTCTCAGGCAAAAGCCACTGGGCTTGAAAGGGGAGCTGATGATGAGCATGCAGTCCCTAAGATTATGCACAACAGTGCTGAGGGATTTCCTTAAGGCACTTAAGGAAGTTGACCTGACCTCCTGACCTGCTCCTAGGACAGAAAAATCTGAACAAAAGGAAAGAAGCATTTGCCCTCTGAAATTTAGTAGTTCTTTCTGGTCACAAGGGCCCCCGGGGATGGGCTGTGAAAAGCTAGTCACCCTTCCTAATTCCTTCCCTTCTCCAGAAGAAACTACTGCAAAACAGTTACTAAAAATACCAGGGAGGCAAACTCTGTATGGTTCATGTTGATTACCAAATATTTCCAGCTCTCCCATTCTAGGCACATGGTAGGATCACTCTTCTTGGCCCCCCTTATGATTGGTTTGAAACATGGGATTAGTTCTGGCCAATGAATAGTGAGTGGAAGAAAAGGATCCTCCTTCTAGGCTGAGCATTTAACTGCAGATGTAAGACCCTTCAGAGCATCCTTTTCCCTCTGGCAAGCAACTAGCAACATTCCAGTGGGTGGCTGCTCTGCCTGCTGGGATCCCTAAGTGCCTAGGATGAACAGAGTCTGCCCCTCACCCACAACCACAAGGAACATGCAACATAAGGCAAAAATAAATCTTATTTTGTTTTGTTTTAAACCACTGAAATTTGGGGTTGTTACAATAGCATAATCTAGCTTATCCTGACTGATCCATAGACAATCATATGTTGCCTAGAACATTAGAAACCATTTAGTACAATGTTTTCATATCACAGAAGACTGAGCTTTAATGAGGGGATGTGGTAGCCCAAGGTCACATGGGCAGTGAGTGGTGAAGCTAGGATCAGAACCCACATCTCTTCAGTCTCAGTCCAGGGAGCTAAGTGCTTGGACTCAAGACAGAGAATATTTGCCACTAGGTGGGACCTGCCACACTGAATCATCTCAAGGTACTTCAGCCAATTTGTGGATAACAGACTCCATGAGGCTGGAAAGGGCACAAAAGTCAAAAACCAGGTCTTCCAGTCCCCGTCCTGCCACTGAACCTACCACATGACCTGTAGTCAAGCCTATTATGTTCAGTTTTGATGCTAACTCACTCTGGGACCAAAGGCAAGCCACATCACAGCCCTGGGCTCCAGTTTCTCCAGGAGTAAAATAAGTCAGCTGATTTAGGTTTCAGAGATTGAAACTTGTGGCAACAGCAGAGTCCCCTCAGAGGCTGAGTGAAGGGCAGGAGTGAAGGGCAGGCCACGTGGGCAGTGCTCTAGTCCATCTCTCTCCTTCAACTCGAACAACTCAATTTTCCTCTGATTTATTGGCTTATGTTTTTGTAAGATTTCCCATCACTGGACTTGATTTCTAAGGTCCTTGCCAGCTCTCAGATTTGTGATTCTAGTTCTTGGATTCTGTCCAGTAGTTCCTGAGTTACAGCTCTGTGGCTGGGAGAGGTGGAAGACTTAGCCCTGTTTTCAGGAGTTCAAAAGTTTGGTTGGGAAAACAGAATTAGAATGGAGGGTTTTTTGGCTCAGATTCTATACTAGGCTTTCTGGAGTGTGTGTGGAGGGGAGGGGTGAAGGAATAGTTCTAGAAAGAATGATGATAAGAAAAGATTGTTTGATGAGACTGTAGAATACATGAGGCCTAGGAAAAATATGACCAAAATCTTTGCTTGGGCTAAGGATTTTGTCTGGCTAGAACCCCCTCCTCTGAAAAGGACCTGGGAGATCCATCACTTCATAAACCAAATTTAAAGGTAATGCTCAGAAGCCAGAAGTGGCCAAGGCCGCTCCCTGGTCATGATAGGGGCAGCTTCCTATTCTTGATGAGACTGGGGGCTGGATTTGTATTTAAACAGATAATAATCAACAGATAATAATACAGATAATATCTGTATTTAAACAGATAATAATCACCTAAGGAGAAGTGGCCTTTGGTGTAAAGCCTGACATAATTTAATGAGTGAAGGATTAAATGATGCATGGAGTACCCACAGGCCTCCTCCCTTCCCTGAGACTTACCTTGGCTTCAGAAGTCCTCAGAAGCTTCATCACTTCCCCTTCTCGGGCATAATCCAAGGGTGTGTGTCCCATTTCATTCCTCTGCAGGGGGTTGGCTCCTGGCAAGAGAAGAAGGATAAACAGAGGCTCTATGAACGATCAGTGGGACCTCAGCCTTCCCTTGGAGGTGGCTTAAGGCTCTGATTTCTATGTTGGGAATGTCCATGGACACCTACAAATGGTGGAAAAACATGGTACTGGGGCTCCTACATGTGCATGCACACATGTTCGATAACATACTACACACACGTAGATGTGTTATACATACACAAACACACACAGTTGAACATGCTAAGAAAGTATGCCAAACAAATACACAGGTTAATATACCGCAGCACAAATACATGTAAACATACAATTTCATACATGTATTCATTAAAATGTCCATATTTTCCAACATATCAGCATACAGATAAACATTCATTCATGAAGCCATATAAAGGGTTCCTTTCTAAGGCAGAGAATATCCCAAATAACAATTAAATGGTTCCCCTTCTTTGTTTTCTGCTACTCTCCTTTTATGCTCTCTGACCTCTGGGCATTTCCTGTCTGTCTGAGTCAGCTGAGTCCCCTGGAAGGGCATGGGCACCACCAGCAACCTGTCTATGCCACTCTGGCTGTTGGTGGGTGAGTGCATGTGGCTGGGTATTTCCTCCAATCATTAGTTCCTGTGACTTAAGGACAAAGACTTTGAGTATGACAAGAAGAAGGGGTTAGCTTGGGGCCATGTATCTACCTTCTCTCTAAGTACTGGCAGCTGACAAGCCTGTATCAAGTGTCTACTTTGTGCCAGCCTTGGCAGTTATGGAGGAAAGGTCACTCTGACTCTGTGCTGTCACAGCCTTCCCAAAGCCCATGTGTAAGCACCTCACTCTCTTCTTCGAAAACCATCCATTCCATTCAAGTCGGCAGACCCTGAATGAATGGGGCCTGAGGATGCAGAAGAATCAGATCTGGCCCTGCCCTTTAGGGAAGGGCAGGAAGACAGAAACATAATTAGAAAGCTGCTTTGTACACAGCAGATGCTTAATAAATGTGTGTTACACAGAACATTAAGGTAATAATTATCTAGTATTTTTTGAGCTTCTCTCTTGCTCAGGAAGTACTGTCTGAAGTAAAGAAGGTTAAGACTCAGTCCCTGCCATAGGATAGAATGGGCTGGCTGGGAAACCAATTAGCACAGGGCATGGCTCAGGGTAGGTGTCCAGCCACTGTTGATGTACAGTAAAAACCAGTATTTCTCAATCCAGTATGTGAAAACATTTATATCATGATACAGAAGTATTCCTATTGCAAGTCTCTACTTTAAAAATTTTTTTATTAAAATTTTAATTAAAAATTTTTAATAAAACTTTTTTAATCAAAAAAATTTTTTTTGGCCAGGTGTGGTGGCTCACGCCTGTAATCTCAGCACTTTGGGAGGCCAAGGCAGGTGATCACGAGGTCAGGAGATTGAGACCATCCTGGCTAACATGGTGAAACGCCATCTCTCCTAAAAAATACAAAACATTAGCCGGGCGTGGTGGTAGGTACCTGTAGTCCCAGCTACTCAGGAGGCCGAGGCAGGAAAATAGTGTGAACCCGGGAGGCGGAGCTTGCAGTGAGCAGAGATCGCGCCACTGCACTCTAGCCTGGGCGACAGAGCGAGACTCTGTCTCAAAAAAAAAAAAAAATTTTAAGAGACAGGGTCTCACTATGTTGCCCAGGCTGGTCTTGAATTCCTGGGCTCAAGCAATCCTCCTGCCTTGACCTCCCAAACTGCTGGGATTACAGGCGTGGGCCACTGTGCCCAGCCACAAGTCTCTACTTCTTCTTTTCTTTTCTGTTTTTTTTTTTTTTTTTTTTTTGAGACAGGGTCTCACTCTGTTGCCCAGGCTGGAGTGCAGTGGCGTGATATCTGTTCACTGCAACCTCCACCTCCTGGGATCAAGCTATTCTCCACCTCAGCCTCCTGAATAGCTAGGATCACAGGCATGTGCCACCATGCCTGGCTAATTTTTGTATTTTTAGTAGAGATGGGGTTTCATCATGTTGGCCAGGCTGGTCTCAAACTCCTGACCTCAGGTGATCCTCCAACCTTGGTCTCCCAAAGTGCTGGGATTATAGGTGTGAGCCACCATGCCCAGCCACAGTCTCTACTTCTTAAAAGACCCTATCAACTTATGAACAACAGTAACCATTTATTAAGCATTTACATGTGGCTGTCTGCCTGAGAGGCAGAGGAAGTGGCTAAAGCTCTATAGCGATGTGGGAGGTGGAGGGGGAAGGGGCAGGCCATAGGAAATACAATCCAGGTGAAGGAAACTTTTATTATCAGTAAGAAAAAACTAAGTTTTTTTTACACAGTACTATCTTCTAACAGGAATTTAGTGCAGAATATTGATAAATATATTTTTTTTTATTAAGATACAATTCACACACCATAAAATTAAACCTTTCAAAGTATATAATTCAAGGCCGGGCACAGTGGTTCATGCCTGTAGTCCCAGCAATTTGGGAGGCTGAGGTGGGCGGATCACTTGAGGCCAGGAGTTCGAGACCAGCCTGGCCAACATGGTGAAACCCCATCTCTACTAAAAAAAAAAAAAAAAAAATTAGCCAGGCATGGGGGCACATGCCCGTAATCCCAGCTACTCGGAAGGCTGAAGCACAAGAATTGCATGAACCCAGGAGGCAGGGGCTGCAGTGAGCTGGGATCACGCCACTGCACTCCAGTCTGGGCAACAGAGCAAGGCCTTGTCTAAAAAATGGAAAGGAAAGGAAAAAGGAAAGAAAAAAGGAAAGGAAAAAGGAAAGCAAAGGAGGTATACAATTCAGTGGTTTAAAATATACCATTCCAGAACATTTTCACCCTCCTCCAAAAGAAATTCCCTATCTATTATCAGACACTCCCCCTACCCCCAGCCCCAGCAACCATTAGTTTACTTTCTGTCTATGGATTTGCCTATTCTGGATACTTCCTATGAATGGAGTTGTATAATATGTGGCCTTTTGTGTCTGACTTTTTCAGGCTTACCAGAATGTTTTCAAGGTTCATCCATGTGGTAGCATGGCTGAATAATACTCCATTCTGTGGATATACTACATTTTGTTTTTCTATCAGGTGATGATCGACATTTAAGCTATTTCCCCTTTTTGGCTATTATATAAACAGTGCCATGAACATTCACACACAAGTCTTTGTGTAGATGTATGTTTTCATGTCTCCTGGGCAGATAATTGGAGTCATGATGTAATAATAGTAACACTGGTATTTATTGAGCACTTACTCTGTGCCAGGCACTGTGCTCGGTACTTTCTGAGGGATGGGAATTAAAATCCCCAAGCTACAGGCTCAGAAAAGTGAAATAACTAGCCCAAGGCCACAAAGCTAGCTTTATTTGCTTGAACTAGGAGTAAAAACCACCCCCAGGTTTTCCTAACTCCAATTCTCTACTCTCATGAGGGCAGCCACAATATACCCCTGATGAAAAAGCCTTCAGTTGGCCTTTGCTTTCAGGACAAAGTGCAACCTCCCTAGGAAGGAGTGTGTCTGTGGTCTTCCTAACTACTGGGCAAGTCCTTAGAGGCTCAGCCAGAGCCTCATCCTTTCTTTCCATTCTGTTGGCACTTACTGGGCACTTTATATCTGCAAGCCTCTGTGTGCAGGATGATGAAGGATTGGCAGAGCCAATGAATAGTTTCCCTCTTTATATTTCACGACTGTTCTGTAGCAACTGATACCTTGGCCACTCTCTCCTTTGAGTTCTATAAAACCACTTTTCAGGTTTTCTTCCCACTCTTGTGACCATTTCTTCTGTTTCTTTTGCAGACTCCTCTTCCTGTCTTTAAGATTATTAGGTGCTACCTAGAGTTCGAGTCCAGCACAATTCCACCTCTCCAGGAGCTCATGGAGACAGGAGGTCACAGACTGAGTGTCATCAGTGTGCTGAAGGAGGGACAGGCGGCACTGGGGGGCTCAGGAAGGAACAAAGTGCTCAGGGACTTGTTCGCCTAGCCTAGCCTTCCTGGCCCAGCCCCACTGAGTTGCTTTCTCTGGCGCTCAGCACTGAGCGGCTCTGCAAGGGCTGAGGAGCCAGTGGCAGACAGCATCCTCCCCTCCCCGCAGAGCTAAACCACAACGGAGGCAGAAAGGGAGCTGCAAAGAAGCAGTGGAAAGGTCTGTCCTTTCTTAGCCTCAAGGGGAGCTCTGTCACTAGATATGAGCTGCAGTGGAAGGGAGGGTTAGGGAGAGACCTCTGGAAGGGGAAGAATGGCAAAGAGAAGAGCTTCTGCTTTGGATAGGAAGAAAGAAATGGGAGAGAGAAGAGGAGGGGCAAGAGGAGAGAAGGTGACAGAGGAAGACAGTGGAAGAACGAACAGAGTGAGATTAGCCTCTTCAAACAAGTGCTGTCAGTGATCTATATTTGCTTACAGAATGAAAAATGTGTGCCATAAACATTGGCCACTGAGTAATTTCTAGTAGGAGTCGTGTCACTTCTCATAAAGGATGGGATGGGGACAGGTAGGACATCTCTGCACCTGGGCCAGCCAGCACAGGGGCTCCTTTTAAAGCAGTACGGCGCCTGTCTCCAGCCCAGGAGGCTCTCAGGTCAGGCTCCACCTGACCATTCACGGAGAAGGCTCCCCAAGGTTCTGGAGCCTCAGGGCAGCATGTCTGCCCCCACTTTAGGAAGGCTGAGGCAGGGGTACCATGGATAGTGTCCATCTAATATTAGTACCCCAGCCCTGCACCCTCGCTCTGACTTGACTAATTGCTGTAATAATTGATAGAACCTGACTTCTACCACTGATCGATTTCACCTCCACGACCAACGGCCACAAACCATTACAGTCCAATAAATAACCACGTTGGGCCTCACCCGCCTGCCCTCTCCAGGGGCATCAGGATGGCCCGTGCCCTGGCCTGACCTCCCCTTGCCTCCCACCCAGGGCCCCTTCGGGCCAAGCAGCTGGTCTAGAGGGCCAGGCCTCTGGGAGCAAGTGAAAGGGCTGGATGGAGGTGGGGAATGCTAATCGCAGGTCATCCGTCACCTCCCACTGGCTGTCTGGGGCTGGGGCAAACACCTGGAGCACCCCAGGCAGTGTGGTACAGGACCCCTCCCCTCCTCTCCCTCTCCAGATTAGTGTGTCCCAGCTTATAATATTTGATAAATAGCAGACTGGCTTCCTGGCAGCACTGCTGCGGCTGCGCCTGCCCGCTACAGCTGTGGAAGGTCACTCATTGGGGAAATATGTTTCTGTCAGTGGTATTGAAAAAAGTTTAGTGGAGTGACAGGCCTCAATTTTTCAAATTTTATTAACTCCATCCTCTTAACCATTTGTCTTGAATTCCTTCAGATTCTGGGGGATCTGTCAATAGGGCCTAGGCCAGGAAAGTAGTGTGGGGGGGTGGGTGGTCGTGGGGCTGATGCTGATTGGTGCCACTATGGCTGGTTTGGACCTCATCACCCAGGGCAAGGTAAAGCAGTGGCAATGGTGTTGGTGGGAGTGAAGGCCTGGCTCACTGGTGCTGAGGGAGCCCACTCCTCTTCTCTGGTTCAGTACCTGCTTTTGATTTGACGCAATTATTGACTCTCCAAGTGGAAAAATGGTGAGTTCTTCCAATTCCCTAAGAAGATACTCCCTTCTACTACATCTCAAACGGGTGGTCACTCGGGCTCCTCTGAATGTCCCCAGTACCCAGCCCCAAGCTCATGGCTCTCCCAGGGGTGTCCCCCATTTAACTGAGGGCAGATTTTTCATATATGAGTCCCAGATTCTCTCACCAACCCCACTTCCATCTTGGTTCTGAAAACACCTGTTCATCTTTTAAGACTCAGTCCTAGCTTCTCCTCCAGGAAGGTTTCCTTGTTTCCCTTCCACCCCAGGTTGGGTACCATCCTCTCTGCTCCCATAGGTCTTTCGGCTTCCATCTTACTGCATTGGCCACCCTGCATTAAAGTCTGTCTCATCTAAGACTGAGAGTTCTTAGAAGCCAGACACTGTGTTTGATACACTGCTATATATCCTTGCATGGGATGGGAGCTCAATAATATTTGCCAGATGATTGAACCGTATTCTCTCCAGGTGCCATCTTCTGAGGCCACACAGAACATGGCTGTTCTTTCTGCCCCAGGAGAACCTTTATGATAGCAATACAAAACCATGTACCTTTTTCCTATAGACCAAAGTCCCCAGTTTCTTTGCTGGTCCCAGAAGCCTCTCTGCCTGGTTGGCAGAAGAGGTCAGGTCAGGCCCCGGTACCCTCTATGCTCTGTAGGTGCGAAGTGGGGAAGAAGTGGTTGGAGAGAGAGGCCCACCTGCCTTTCCTAGGGAGAGTGCTGAATCCCACCTAGGGAGGTGGGATTCAGATCTTCTCTGTGCTGGTGGGAAAAGCTCATAAGCTGAGGGGGTGGGAGGAGGCTTGTCACTCCCTCCTCCCTTGACACTACTCTGTCCTGGCCCTTGCCTACCTCAAATAAGATAATGTGTATAAGAGGGCTTAACAACAACAACAATAACAACAACAGTAAATGCCCTATATAAATGTGTCGGCCTATTATGATTAACATTGACATTCATGCCCCTCCCCACCCCCGGTTCTGTCAGCACACTGATCTTCTAGTGATACGATTCCACTACAGTTCCCATGACTCAGCCCTTCCCTCTGAGAGCACTGGGCTGGGGAGCCAGTGAGGGGCCGCCTCTCCCAGCTGTGTGATCCAGGGCACTTGCTCTACTTCTCTGGTGATAATGACTGCTGCCCTACCTACCACCTACCACTAAGGGCTTTGTGAGGACTAATTAGATTAACAAGTTCAAAAATGATTGGAAAGAAGGATTAGACAGGTGTACAATGTTCTTTGTAATAACTTTTACATTCACTCTTGCTTTCCATATTTATTGCTAGTGGCTTTACCACCTTCATCCTCATTGTCACTATTTCAGCAGTCTGTTGACTATCTCAAATTAGAAGTTTTGGTTGAAACTTCTGATTATGGGAAATCCTTCCCATGATCAGAGACATGTCAATGTGGACTGATCCATTCTTTTCCGTTATGAGCTCCCCATCAAGGAAACATTGAGAGAGAGAGTGGCAGGATGACCACATATGAGCAGCCATGCACCTTCCCTGTGTCCACGCTCAGCTCCACTCTGTCCCCACCTGTGGTCTCTCCGATTACCCAGATCCTGCCCATTCTTCAAGGCCCAGTTCTCTCCTCCTCCAGTGATCAGTGCTCTCCCTTCTGGGCTCCTAGTGTCCTCCCTACTTACTCCTTTTCCTGGCCCTCAGCCTCAGGGTCCTGGCCTGCCACTTTCATATCTTGGTTTAGTCTTCACATCCAGTATGTATGGGGCTACTCAAGTCAGAGCCAATTCTCCTCTACTTTCCCAGAGGCTGAAGGTGAGAGAGAAGAGACTTGTTGAGAATGCTGCAGGAAGCACAGAAGAACTGGGAATAGAGCTCTGGTCTTCTGATATCTTGAGCTTTTTCTATAAACCACACCACTGAGCCCTGCTCAACATACGTATGTACACAGACATTCACACTTGCAGATATGCCCCCGCCCCCCTGCCCCTGTAATGAAAAATACTTACTGGGCACTTGTTATGTGCCATAGCCTGTGCTGACAACGGCCATGGATTTAACAATTTGGTGAAGACAGCAGGAGACATTATTATTTTTTCTAGTTTACAGATGATTTAACTGAGTCTAGCAGAAGAGCAAGGGGAAAGGTGACAGGCTAACATTTTTTGGGTATAATGCCTTTATATACAGTGTCTGAATTATTCATCAAACAAAGATTCTGAGAAAGTAGAGGCTCAGAAAAC
This sequence comes from Homo sapiens, assembly GCF_000001405.40. Lineage (NCBI taxonomy): Eukaryota > Metazoa > Chordata > Mammalia > Primates > Hominidae > Homo > Homo sapiens. The sequence continues at coordinate 72,337,561 of NC_000011.10, forward strand.
TAAAATAATTTACCCATGGTCATACAGCAGATAAATAGTAAAGCTGGGATTTAACATGGGGATTTATTATACTATTCTCTCTTTTGTACATGTTTGATATTTTACATAATAAAAAGTATTTTTTTAGGAAAGGAAGCCAGGTCTGATTTTCCACTACAAAATGCTACCTTCCAAAGGCCTGATGACTCAAAAAGAGAGAAAACTCATCTTTTTTCCTCTCTTCCAGTGTGCTCAGATGCTCCAAAGCTAAGATAGGGGCATTTCTAGAGGTAGATTTGGGATAGACAGCTTTGTAGAAAGGGGACAAGATGAGGCTCCCTTTCCTCCCATTCAGGGCTTCCCTGTCTGGGGGCCAGGGGAATGGTGACACACATTAAGTAACCTCTCAGAAGGTCATCCACAAGTCCCAACCCCCCAGTGGACATGCTCTGATATGATCCCTTGCCTTCAGGGAGGCAGATTTCTAACATTCAGGGAACAGAGAGAGTTTTAATGGAATGGATCCAGACATTCCCCATTCCACTGTATGGAATCAGACTTGTTCTTGCCCTTGAGCAGAACTCAGAGTAGTGAAAGACAGAGAGGGATAGAAATAATGTCATTATACTACAGGGGAGTGAGGAGATGAGGATGTCAGGGGAGTGAGATGAAGATGATGATTCTTCCCCCTACCCCCCTGGTACAAGGGAGCTAGGCATTGTGTAGCTGAGGAGGTGGGAAACCACAGCACCAGCTGGAGAAGAGCAGAAGATACTACACTGAGCACTAAACAAAAAAGGACTGGAGAAGTGGAGAAGCCTGGGGAAAGGAAATTAGAGCTCAAGGTCACAGAGACTATGAGTAGGAGAGTGGGAGCTAGAACCCACGCCTACTAGTCCAGGGCTCTTTCCACCTACACTGTCTCAGCCTCTGCCCACCCCATAGCTTTCACTTCCTTAGCACCCACTGGAAGGACTGGCCTATACTGGGCTACCACTGTTCTCTTCTGTGGTGCCAAACTCATCTTTGCCCATCACTCAGACTTTATGTTCTGCAGACTCGGGTTCATCTTCCCTGCCCTGAAGCTCTTCCAGGCCACTCAAGCCTACAGATCACTTCTTCCTTTGAACCGCTAGAGTTATTACCTGATCACAGACTTTCACACATAGGTCTTGTCTCCACAATCAGATGTATGACCAAGAATGCTTTGTGAATGGCTAGAAAAGGAATGATGATGATCACTAGGCATCAGGATGGGTTCGCAGAAGCCAAGTCATGCCAGACTAACCTCTCCTTTCTTTATCAGGATGACCTATTTGCTCAATCAGGTACAATTAGGCCAAATGTGGACTTCATGAGACATCTGATGGGATGTCTCAGGATAATCCTGTGGTCACAATGGAGAAATGTGGGCTGGATGCCAGTACCACATGGAATGCTAGTAAATGACTGATGGACTAACCAGACCCAAGGAGGTGGGTCACTGATGGATCAGAGGTCTGGAAGGAGTTTCCACTGGCAGCAAACACTTGGTCCTTGTTCAGCATGTTTATCTATGACATGGATATCACAGGGACATCTTCCTCATCAAATCTGCAGATGTAATTAAGGTGGGAAGGGTACCAAATACACCAGATGGAAGATTGACATTAAGAGCTAAAGCAAATATGATGCAAGTTAGTGGAAATAAATAGGAAGTCATAGGTTTGGAAGAGAAAGTGAGGATTGTTCTGGGAAATGTGATTGAGAAAGGAAAGGGTTTAGAGGGCACCTGAGAAAAATAGTTTAAGGAAGTAGAGGGTTTAGGCTGGACATTTTCAGATATTTCAAGGGCCATCATGTTAAATTGGGATTAGATTCATTCTACATGAATCCAAGGGTAATATTAAAACCCTGAGAAGCAGATTTTGGCTAAATTTCTAACCATGGGAACATCCGAAAATAGAATATGAGCAGCCTCAAGAGCAACTGAGTTCTCCAGCACTGAAAGTGTTCAAGCATTAAATGGACAACCGCTTAGGAGGTTTCCTACTTATATACTGGTTTACAGATTTTTTTTCAAGATTAATTGTTATCCATTCAAAGATATTTTTTTGAGTCTTCTATGTGTTTGGCACCATGGTAAGTGCTAGGGATACAAAAGTGAGTAAGAAGATACTGTTCTTGCTTTTCAGGAGTTCCTGATCCAGTTGAGGGGAGATGGACAAGTTTATTTCAGTAGTATCTTGTGCTTTGATTACAGACCTCAGCACATGGAAGGCTGGCTTTAGTTTAGATTAAGTCAGAGTTCCTGTGGAAATTCAAAAATGCGTTTGGTTACTAAAGGCCAGTAACAGTTTAATCAAGGCCAAATCACTTGCTTAAACTTACTACTGGCTGTGAGAATGTAAGTGTACAGTGAAACAGAATTTGTGCATTTTTGTGCATGACATTTTGCTCTTATACCTTGAGTTTTGGTCTTTGGCTGGGACTTGTTTATGAACCTACAGATTGTCTTACAAGTGGCTGTGGTGTCAGGGTGAAATGATTTAGCCAGCAGGGCTACCCAAGTCTCCATTTCTTACCCACCCTATGGGGACTGCTTCAACACAGACATAAACATGCTCCTGCCGTTACCTTATTGCACTCGTCACACGGGGAGGCTAGAAGGCTTGATTCAGGGATATGATTGGATTTTAAATCCCAGTCTCACAGGATTTTAATTACTGGTTTGGGGCAGCAGAGATAGGCGCTGGCTGCCTTTGGATGGAGGAGGTCGATACACCAGTCCACGACATATTGAGCCACAATGCCTGCAGACTCTATTGCTCTATTTAATCATCTTTTGCAAAATTTACAGTGGAACAGGAGGGATCGATACGGAATTTATCACATTCTCTTGTAAATATGAGCCAGGAAAGAGTTCCAGGCAGTTTGTTACTGAGTGGGAGGGAACATGTCTGTGTACAGCTGGGCATTAGGAGATGAGACAAAATCCATACTTCTTGGCATAAGCTACAGACATTCAGCCAGTCCCTCTTACGCCTGAAGGCAAGTTCAATGGGTAGAATGCTGATTCATTCATTCATTCAACCAAGCAACCAACCAACATTCTAGATTACCTATTTTATGCCAGACCCTACAGAGGACAGGGTGGACCCTAGAGAGCTCTGGGAACATACACTGGAATTCTGCTTATGAGATCCTAATCATAGCTATAATAACACAATGGCTCTGCCACTTAGTGGTGAACCTTGGTTGTTACTGAACTGCTTGGTGCCCTTGTTTATGCATATGGAAATGTAGATAATAAGAGTCCCTAACTTGCAGAGTTATTATTATTATTTTTTGAGCTGGAGTCTCGCTCTGTCGTCCACGCTGGAGTGCAGTGGCACGATCTCGGCTCACTGCAAGCTCCATCTCCTGGGTTCACGCCATTCTCCTGCCTCAGCCTGGCACCACGCCCGGCTAATTTTTTGTATCTTTAGTAGAGATGGGGTTTCACTGTGTTAGCCAGGATGGTCATCTCCTGACCTCGTGATCCGCCCACCTCTGCTTCCCAAAGTGCTGGGATTACAGGCGTGAGCCACCGCGCCTGGCAAGTTATTTTAAGTATTAAAAGAGAGAAAAGCCTTAGTCCAGAGCTTTTATCAAAAAATGGTAACTGTTGTTATTTTTCCTTCAATTACTATTACTAACCATTCCTTCCTACAGTGGATAGGGTGTTGAACAGGGAGCCGGCTACCCTACCTCCTTAATAGACAGAAGGGAGACTGGATGGCCTTCCCAGGTTAGAGATCTGGTCAGGGCCACCAGCAGCAGAATCAGAGGAGCAAGAGGAAGAGGGTGTGTAAGGAGGAGATTCATGTTAAGCTCTGTTTTTTGAAGCTTCAATTGCAATCTTTAAAACAATAAAATAGTCTCCTAAAATTGCTGTGGGGGAACAGAGTGAGAAGTGATTCACTTCATGTAGGCCAACCATGGAAAGTTATACATTAAAGATATAAATGAGTTGGATCTTGAAGGCTAAGTAGGAGTTTGATAGGTGGAGAAGTGGGGAAAGGATATTCCAGGCAAAGTGAATGAGGACAGGTTTGGAGGCAGGAAAAACTATGCTAGGTAGTGAACAGTTCAGTGGGCCATAGGCAGAGACAGTTCCTGTCTCCCAGGCCTACTTGGCTGCAGGCATCCTCCTGGTAGGCCCACAGGATGATCCCAATCCTGAAGCAAACCATCATCCTCATCCTCTCTTGGAAACTGGTGGCAGAAGTCACTTTAGAGTGACTGCATGCTGGGTTAAACATCTGGGCTTAATTTATAGGCAGTGGGAACTGCTGAAGGTTTTAAAGCAGGAAAGTGACATGGTTTTGTGAGATGGAGGCTGGTTTGATGGGATCCTAGAGGTAGGAAGAACAAGGCTGTTATAATAGTCCAGGTGAGAGTGATGAAGCCTGAATTAGAGAAGTGGGGACAGAGGAGAGAATGGGCTTAAGATGAAATTCTAAGAAAGACAGGGCTTGGTGGAAAGTGAGGGAGAAGTCATCAGACATAACACTTCCTAGTTTGAGCGACCAGTAGACAACCATACTATTCATCAAAGAGAACATGGAAGAAAGTGTGAGGAGGTATGGATTTGGACGCATTGAGGATGAGAGATGTCTACGGAATATTAAGCATCAACAAAGCTATGGAAGACATGAAAATGCCTGGTTTGTTCTACGGAAAATAGGTAGATCAGTGTGGTTAGAAAGAGGTGGTATAAAAACCATGGAAATGAATATTCAAACATAACAGAGTTAGACAAGGAAAACAGCAAAAGCAAAAACTCCTGCCAAGGATCTCTGGTCAATGCAAAGCTAACGTAGAGGTTTTCTAACGGTGGATAATGCTCTGAATAGCATGTGACACAGGCAAAGAAGTGAGGATCCTTAGCTCATTTTCATTTTGGACAAGTCCCAAAATGAAAATGTTCACGACTTTCCTGGAAGTCGTGGGCTTTCAAGAGGCCAGCCCTACTCCTCCTTATCCCCACAGTATAGCACAGACTCTCCTCAGAGGTGGCAGCAGGTTCTATGGCCAGAGAGCAGCTAGGAGCAACTGTCAGTGGGGAGGGAAAGGCTCTGGATAAAGCAGAGTTCAAAGTGCACTATCAGAGCCAGGGTCCTCAGGCCTCTGCAGTCTTCCCTCCTGCAAATGACAGCTGAGACCAAAGCATCCGAGCCTGGGGTCTGGGCTGAATTTAGCAGTCATAATTACACTGTTAACGTCTGGGGCACAGCCACAGTCTCCGTAGAAGGCGGCAGCTTTTGTTCATGCACTAAAAACACATCATCTTCAAACATGCTAATCCTACGTCTGCTTCCATCTAACAACATTGAAAGGAGGCTGAGGAAAGGGCACACAATGCCCACACATCTGGCTAATTCAGTTATGAGGCCAATCAATCTTGATGGGTTGTCTACGAGACCCCAACCACCCCAAAGGACTGAGCTGACCAGATGTTTAAGCTTCTGTTGACCAATCCTAGCCTAATGTGCAGGGCAGAGAAGAGGGGTTATCAAGAGATGACTTTTGCTTCCACTTACACATCTATTCCCAAAGCCAAGTAGAGCCCTCTGCTTGGATGAAAAGTATCAGCACATTAAAGTAGTGGTTGAGCCAAGCTCACTGGAATGAGGTACACTCAAATATACAGACTTTCAGTCTGAACTCAAGGAAGATAGGAAGCCTTATTTATGGCTGCCTTTGTGAACACTCACAGCAACAGAAACCAATGAAATATTTTTTGCTAATTGCACTTCCCTATATGGAGAGAATCGGAAATGTGGGGGTGGGGGAGGTAGTATCTTCAACTATAATATCAAATGTTATAGGCTACGGTTCTGGGAACAGGAACTGTTTTATCTGCTGATACCTGCTTTCATTCAAGGCTGAAGGAATTACTCATCTCCCTCATAAAACATTTGCTTTTTAAAAAAACCAGAAGCTTCTGCCAACAAGGACTCTTCCAGTTTATGCACCTTCTTTTATGCCCAACCACAGTCACCAGGCAACCATCACCAAAAATAAAAGTGGAAAGGTGGTGGGAGGCTAGGAGGAAGGGGAGAGGACAGGGATAGACTACAAACACCAGGAGGACCACTTTGACCCAGAGCTCCTTGCTGTTGCTAGTGATTCCATTTTTTTCAAGATGCTTTTCCCTCATTAATTCTGAGGATTTCACCAAGTTTGTCCCAGAATTGAGGATGCATGACAAAACAGATGAATGGTCCTGGGTAAAAGAAACTTCCAACTTATTAGAAAGTAGTGAGAGAGAAGCAAAGATTAAAAATGAGATCTTTATTGTGATACCCTGTGCCCAGAACAGTAATTGGCACTCAGTAGGAGTTTAAAAAATACCTGCTGACTGAATAATTATGGCCCCATTATGACACAGCTGAGCTGTGCTCCTTCCATTTCTGTTTGTCAGGAGAGGCCTCCTATGGTCATGGGCAATACTGCTCGACAAAACCACTGCCCACAGATCAGGAGAGTCTTCCTTCAGCCTGAATAAGCACAGATGAAGTTGTGCTGAGAGGTAGGGCTATGAATGTCATTACCACATCCAGCAACCTCTTTTTCCTCCTCTCCATGGGTGCAGTAATCTATACTGCTGACCAATCTTGCCTCCTTTTAATTCTTTTCTACCTTAAAAAAACATATTTTTTTGAGGCAGGGTCTCACTTTGTCACCCAGGCTGGAGTGCAGTGGCGCAATCTCAGCTTATTGCAACCTCCACCTCCCGGACTCAAGCAATCCTCCCCACTCAGCCTCCTGAGTAGATGGGACCACAGGCACATCACCACACCCAGCTAATTTTTGTATTTTTTTTTTTGTAGAGACAGGGTTTTGCCATGTTGTCTAGGCTGGTCTCAAACTCCCGGGCTCAAGCCATTTGTCCACCTCAGCCTCCCAAAGTGGTGGGATTGCAGGGGTAAGAGCCACCATGCCTGGCCTTCTTTTCTACCTTGATTTCCATGATATGCAATATCCATGACTTTCTCTCCTTTGCAGTTCATTCTTCTTTTCCAAGTTATTGAGTGTCACCGAAGCCCGAGTCCTCAGCCCTTATTCCTTTCTCTCTCTAGGCATTCTCCTTTAAAAAACAGCTCCGATTTGTTTAAACTGCCCTAGTGGTTCTCACTCCTGGCTATATATTAGAATCACATGGGAAGTGTTAAAACCATATCAATCCAAAGTAGGATAAAATATTTCTATATATCACAGATAAAGGGCTAATATTCTTAACATAAACAGAAATTTTAAAAATCAAGAGAAAAACAAGACCAAAAGTCCTATAGAAAAGTGGGCAAAAGACACAAATAGACAATTCACAAAAGGAGATATAAAATGACCGCCAAACATATGAATTGATGTTCAAGTTCACTTATAATAAGATAATCAAACTAAAATTACAATGAGATACTATGTCTCACCTTCATATTGGCAAAAATCCAAAAGCTTGACAATACACTCTGTTGGAGAGGCTACAAGGAAACAGACCCTCTCATACGATGCTAATGGAAGTGTAACATGGTACAACTCGTACGGAGGAGAAGCTTGGTAATATCTAACCAGAGGACGTATGCATTTACCCCCTGACCCAGCAATACCACTTCTAAGACTTTACTGTAAAGGCATACCTCCAACAAGACCAAAATATATATGCATAAGGTTATTCATTGTAGCATTATTTGTAACTGCAAAATATTGGAAATCTCAAGGTCCAAGTATAGAATACATGGAATATACATACAATGAAGTATTATGCAGCTATTAAAAATGAGGAATATCTCTATGAATTTACATGAAGTGATTTTCAAGAAATATTGTTAAGTTAAAAAAGCAAACTGCAAAGCGACATATACAGTATGCTACCTTTTGTGTAGGCAGAAAAGTGAAATAAGAGAACATACAAATATTTGCTTATACAAAGAAACACAGGGAGGATAAACCAGAAAACAACAAAGCTAATTATTTACAAGGGGTCAGGACTCACTGAGAGGGACAGAAGCAGGTTGAAAGGGATACAGGAGGGAGGTTTACTTCTCTGAGTATACCTTTTGGTACCTTTGACTTTTAGAAATGAGATAGTGCTCTACATATTCAAACAATAAAATTAAATCAATCAGGATACGTAGGGGAGAAAAATCCTAAAACTGAGAGCAAATTGAAAAATTAACCCAACTGTATTTCAAATGAAGAGCATAAACACACTGAAGGGGGAGAAAAGAACCCTAGTAACTTAGGAACCCAGTATTTGACTATATACTCTCAGCCTTGGATAGACTAGGGGTGAGAACTGCAAACAAATCCTGACCTGAACTTTTAAGGAGATTTGTTTTCTACAGTGGCATGGGTAAAGCAGTTCTGAAGCTTTTTAAGATGTATTATAGGATTGAGCAAATGAGTAAATAAATAAATGTATCAACGTTATTTGCAGCTACCATTGTCACTAAGGAAGAAGGACATATTAATATGAAATGTGTGAAGACACGAAAGAACCCGTCAGGATTAACTAGAATGTGGGGCAGATGAGGGGGCAGGCAGTATTGGTGTTCTCAGGATTACTAACAAATGTAGGTGCATAAGAATAGCTCGTGCTTACAGTCCCAGCTACACGGGAGGCTGAGGTGAGAGGATCACTTGAGGCCAGGAGTTTGAGAGCAGCCTGGACAACATAGCTAGATGCTGTTTCTTAAAAGCAAATATCATCCTTAGTGCATTCACGTTATAAACAAAAAAGTAAACAATATAGAATATCTGTGTGCATATGTATATACATGTATGTGTATATTTTAATGGATATGTATATATATGTGTATATACCTATATAAATAGTTCTTGGCTCTATCAACAGAAGGAGCAATGAGTACACTTGGTACTCAGATTTCACACTCTAGTACAATTATCAACAAAAAAATCCGAGGGCTCCTCAAGAAATAGCTGATTTCAGGGCAACAGCAAGGTAGATACGAGATGAGCCTGAGACATTTCATTATGTAGAAAAATAAGAAAATGCTATATGTTAAAAAAAAAAAAGATGGAGATATGCCACACTGGCCAAATATGAGGCAATGATAGCCCCAACATAACTAAGCCTATAATAAATTTTACAACATTAAAATGGTAAGTACCCACCGAGCGTGGTGGCTCACACCTGTAATCCCAGCACTTTGGGAGGTTGAGATGGGTGGATCACCTGAGGTCAGCAGTTCAAGATCAGTCTGGCCAACATGGTGAAACCCCGTCTCTGATAAAAATACAAAAAAATTTAGCCGGGCTTGGTGGTGGGCACCTGTAATCCCAGCTACTCAGGAGGCTAAGGCAGGGGAATCGCTTGAACCCGGGAGACGGAGGTTGCGATGAGCCGAGATCACGACATTGCACTCCAGCCTGGGTGACGAGAGCAAAATTCCATCTCAAAAATTAAAAAAAAAAAAAAAAAAAAAAGGTAAGTACCCATGAACACATTTTGACAGTATTAGAAAATAGAGGGAAAGGGGTTCTTGCTTAGAGAGAATGCCAAGTGCTAACTGGTCAATGTGGAGTACGTGCTGGAGTTAGAAAACATGGAAAATATTCATTCGGCAAGCATCACATAAAGATTGGTTCAGGCAAAAACCAGCGATGGGTGCTAATTCTAGGGTAAAATTTTGATGAGGAGCAGGATATTTTTGTGGTCTTAAAAGTATCTCCTCACAGCCTGGGCAACACAGCAAGACTCTGTCTCTACAAAATTATTTTTTTAACAACTCAGCTAGGCAAGGTGGCTCATAACTCCAGCTACTTGGGACCCTGAGGTGGGAGGATCACTTGAGCCCAGGAATTAGAGATTGGAGTGTGCTATAATTGTGCCACTGCACTCCAGCCTGGGTGGTAGAACAAGACTCTATCTCAAAAACCAAAAGCTATCTCTTCATAGAGTGCTAACTAATGTCAAGGGAAAAGATAGTAACAATACAGTGGAGAAACTGGACAATTCTTTGATTGGAGATGGGGTGAGAGTAGACTTTTCTCTGAAAATTCTTGTGAATTTTGTACTATGTACAAGTATTAACTATTCAAAAACAGGATTAAAAATAAAGCATTTATAAAATATCTCCGAGAGTGTGATACACAGAATAACCCCCCACCCTCACCCAAGATGTCCATGTTCTAACCCTGGAACCTGTGAATATGTTAGGGGAATATGAAGGTTGCAGATAGAATTGATGTTGCTAATTAGTTGACTTTGAGATTACTCTGGACTATCTGAGTGGGCCCAATATAATCACAAAGGTTTCTAGAAGTAAAAGAGGAAGGTAGAAGAGCCAGTGTCAGAATGAGGAAACGTGAAAAAGATTCAACCGGTCATTGCTGGCTTTGAGGATGGATGGCAACTGCATGGAGACATAGAATGTGGGCAGCCACTAGAAGCTGGGAAAGACAGGAAAGATTCTCTCCTGGAGTCTCCAGAAAGGAAGACAGTTCTGTCAACACCGTTTTCAGTCCAGTGAAACCCATTTCAGACTTCTTCCCTCCAGAACTATAAGATAAATTTGTGTTGTTTTAAGCCACTAAGTTTGTGATAACTTGTTACAGCAGCAATAGGGATGATACATAAGAAGAGTTAGGTGGTTGCCTCTGAGGAGGACCAGGGATGTGGAAGGGAGACTTCCTTTCCACTGCATGTCTTCTGGTACTACTCCAAATTTTTATCTTGTGCAACTTTTAAAGTAAAAATCACAATGGTCACTAAACAAACACATAAACAACAGACAGTCACTTCAGGAGCTCTCTATGGACTACAAAAATAAGTACAAGTCCTCTGTCTCTTCCCCAAGATCCTCCACACCCATCTCCCTACCCCTTTATCCAGCAGGTGGCCAGCTTCTACCAGGACTCTAAATAATACACAGTATTTCTGGCTCCTGGCTCCTGTGGACAGCTCCTGTTGCTGCCTCACCTGAAAAGCTTCCTTCCTTCTCTCTCTTTGTTTGAATTTTACCTGTCCTTCTAGGTCTGGCTCTGGTCTCACCTCCTCCATTAAGCCTTCTATAATGCCACACTGGTCTCTCCCCTCCTCATTCCCCATGACAGCTGTTAATTCTGGCCCTTGCTTATGTTTAATTGAAAGTCCTGTTATCTACTGTCCTGCACTGTTCTCAGTGTGCTTTGCATATGGGCATTTTCACCAAACTATCACTGTACAGGGTGTAGTCTCAAGGAAGTGCCTGTATCTTTTTCTCTTATTTCTTGGCATGCCTAGTACCCATTAATTCAACAAATGTTGGCTAGGCACCTATCATATGCTAAGGACAGTGCAAGGTGCTGGGAACACAGTACCTCAGATCCACATCCTATCTTCTGTGAACTCACTGTTAAGTGAAGGAGAGATATATTAATCAAATAACTATAGAACTACATGTTATGGTAAAAGTGATAAATCATACAGGATGCTTTAAGAACATGTATCAGAGGAACTGAGAATAGGGATGATGGTGGTTAGTTGTAAGAAAATAATTAATAGTTGCTGAATAAATAAATACTTAAGACAGATCAGTGAGCAAGTATTCAGAATCACAAAATATTACAGTGAAAGGAAGTCTGAGATTATAGTCCAATTATATTATTTTACGGATAAGGAAATTGAAGCTCAGTACGGGGGAAGGGCTTGCTTGACAGCAAGGCAGAGTTAGTGCCAGAACCATGTGCCAGGTCCCTTGACCCCTAGTCAGCACTTTACCACACAGGCTTCTATTACTTCAAAGGGGTCCCTGAAGGATTTCTCAAGTGGCAAGCTCCTTTTTTCTGCTACATTTAAAAAATACTCATTTCCAAAATGCAGTTCAGGAAGGAGTCTGTGGTCCAAACCTATAGAGAACATCCCTGCTGTGTTCTTCCTTGGATACTGCCTGGCTTCTGTATCTTAGGAAGACAGCACATGAATGCTAGAAGCAAACTCCTTTTGGGAAGGGACACTTGAATGCTAGGAGCAAACTCCTTTTGGGAAGGGACACTTGGTTCTGGTCATCCCCAGTCTCAGCCTTGGAAGGGGCTTTTGCTGCTACTTTACAGGCCCTGACTTTCAGATTGACATTCTCCTTTCTTAAAGCTGCAGTGTGGTCCTTTATCTGTGCATTCTGCCCAACAGCAAAAGCTGCAGTGTGGTCCTTTATCTGTGCATTCTGCCCAACAGCACATACGCTGGAGGGGGCATGAGTGGGCTGGCAAAGGGCAGCTAGAAAATCTGATTCTGACTCAGCGCTGTTTCCAGGCTCAGTGCAGGTGGAGGAGAGTGTAGGACACGGAACAGACCTGGCCCAGCCGATGCTGACCTCTCCCTCACCCAAGGGAGCCTTGGCCTCCAGCTGCCACTACTGGCGGTGATGAGGTCATGCCGGATACCGGCCAGGCTCATCTGAGGACTGCTTGGAGCCGATTAAAGCCTTGATGAAATGCGGGGGCCTGGATGGCAAGTGGCTCTGGAGAGCATGGGCTCTGGTGACCAGGCTCATCTCCAGCTCAACTATGCAGTGGCTCCTCGATGTCCACAGGAGCCAGGATACAGAAATACTTTTCCCTGCGGTGAGCAAGGACAGTTCCTCATTCTATACTGGGTAAAGGGCTGAGGGTAGGACTTAGGTCACTGAGGGCCCCTTCAAGGCCTGGTCTTCCACATGGGCTGCAGATACAATACCACAGAACTCCTCCACTCCCCAAAATTGGACTAGACTGCTGGATCCCTTTGGATGACTAATGGACATCCCTCTCCACAGGATTTTCTCAAGCTAAATGACAGGCTAACATCCACATTTTGAGTCTCAGTGTAAATGCCATATGCTCAGGGAAGACTTCCTCCATTCCCCTTCGGACTAGATTAGGTCCCATTATGCTCTTATAGTACCCTCTATTCTTCCTTAATAATACTTTTATTATTAGCTAGCAATTTAGCTAATAATTAGCTGGTAATTTTGTAATTATTTGCCTAACATCTATATTCTACCAGACTTTAAGCTTTACAAGGATGCAATACATATTTGTTAAAATAATAACAGGAAATCAATAAAAAGGAAGGGAAGAGAGAGGTTTACAAATTTTTTAATGATATTCTTTAAAAGGAAACTGTTTTATACAACAGAGGGGCTCATCTCCTCTACCACACTAGCTGTGGGGTTGATCTGGTCCTCCTGGCTTTCCAGCCTGCTTTCAGGCAATCAGTCAGACATCCAAGACAAGATTTTCTGGTTTTGAGAGGCATGGAGGATTTTTTTCTTTTCTTTTTTAATAGCTTTACTGAGATGTAATTTACATACCATAAAGTTCACCCATTTAAAGTACACAATTTAGAGGAGGTTTCTCGTATACTTAGAGAGTTGTGCAACCATCACCATAATCTAATTTTAGAATATTTTCATCATCTCCAGAAGAAACCTTGTACCCATTAGCAATCTCTCCCCATCCCTCCCCCAGATAACTGCTAACATGGAGGGACTTTAACATTTGAATCCAAACAAGAAGAAGAAACCTTTAGTATTCAATCACCTGACACAAGTTCTTCATTTTATAGAGGAAAAAAGTGATGTTAGAGAAGGGCCATGATTTTATAGAGGAAAAAAGTGATGTTAGAGAAGGGCCATGTTAGAGAAGGGTGAGATGTGGCAGAACTGGGGTGGATCACAGTCCCTGATGTCTACATCATAATGGCAGTGCTGTGACCTCTTTGCCACACAGTGTGACTATATTTGTCCCAGAATGTCTATACCACTGGACTTTAAGCTAGTTGAGGGCAGAGGCTCTATTTTGCTCATTTGTCTCCCCTTTCTGCCTGGGAGTACCAGCAAAGCAGTCATGTTTTAAATGTGGTCTGTGTACTGGTGCCAGACGGTGAACTTTGCCACCAGCTTTTGATGGGATAAATACAAACAGTAAGTGTCTGGAAACTTTTATAGCAACTAGTCAGAGTAATTTTATGTCTATAGAAATTAGTGGCACATTTGGGGCTATATTTTGCATGCCTTTAAAAATATAATTTTTCTTTTTCTTTTTGAATCGGAGTTTTGATCTTCTCGCCCAGGCTGGAGTGCAATGGCATGATCTTGGCTCACTGCAACCTCCACCTCTCAGGTTCAAGTGATTCTCCTGCCTCAGCCTCCCAAGTAGCTGGGATTACAGGCACCTGCCACCATGCCTGGCTAATTTTTGTATTTTTAGTAGAGACAGGGTTTCACCATGTTGGCCAGGCTGGTCTTGAACTCCTGACCTCAGGGATCCACCCACCTCAGCCTCCCAAAGTGCTGGGATTACAGGCAAGAGCCACCGCACCCAGCCTCCCCTCATTTTTTTTTAAAACCTGTTTCAAGTGTAACATATAAAGAAAAGCACAAAAAGTACATAAGGATACAACTCAATTTTCACAAAACGGACACACCCACATAACCAGCATCTACATAAATAACATTACAGCATCCCAGAGATCCCCTCACGGCCTCTCCCAGTCACTACCCACACTCTCGAGGTTAAGCACTACCCTGACTTCTTATGCCACTGATTAGTTTTCTCTATTTTGGAATTTAAATGCAGGCATACAGTAAGCACTCTTCTGTTTGGCTTGTGACCTGATGTAAGGTTTGTGTTGTAGCACACAGCAAGAGTTGACTCAAGCCCATTGTACATTATTCCATTGTGTGACCATCCCACAATTTATTCATCCATTCAGCTACTGATAAACATTTTAACTATCTTTCACATTATACATAAAGCCTATCCTAGTCCTCCTCTAAATCTTAATGATTTTCCATTGCAGGATAAGTCCAGTCTCCTCAGCACAGCTTACATTAGTGACCTTCAATATTAGCTCCTGCTTTCCATTCTTGCCCTCTGATACCCTCCAGCTCTTCTGAACTACCTGCAATATTCTGAGTAAAGTATGCTGCTTCATACTCCATGCCTTTGAACACGTTGCTCCCTCCGCCTTCCTACCTCATCTACCTGGTACACTTGCATTCATCCTTCAAGAGTTGGTGTGAACACCATCTCCTACATCATGCTTTCCCTGCCCTCTTCAAGATTTAAAAGGTCTTTTCTTTGTGATCTCACAGCACCTTCTACAGATCTCCATTAATACACCAGATAGCAATTCTTGGTTAAAATGTCTGGTTTTCTCATAGAACTGTGAGTTACTTAAGTGCAAAAATCATGTCTGGATCATCTTTATTTCCTTGGTGCCTAGGGCAGGGCTTGTGGCAGCAGAGATGATCAGTAAGAATCTGGTAAGTGAAAGAATGCTGGAGCTGGAAGGGGTCCTTGGGATCTGCTATCCTAACTTCTTTATTTTACTGAGGAGGAGAGAGGATATGCCTAAAGGTGAAAGGATTTGTTGGTGGCAGAGCCAGAACATCTGATCCTTCACCCAGTGCTCATTCCCCTTCTCTGTACTGCTGGCGTGAATCAGAGTGTGGAGCTTCAACAGAGGACAGACAGCCTGAGGCACAGCTGATTCTCTCCACATCAGGCAGTGCCGCCAGATGGACAGACGGTGAAGTGTAACAAGAAGCGAACTCTTAAGTTTTGGGTCCTGACAACAAGCCAAGAGGCTGTTAAAGGGGATGGCACCACTGGAAAGGATCTTTGCCTCAGGCAGGGATGGTGGGGAATTTAAGGACTCATTTGATGATGGCTAGTTAACACTGATAACTCAGTGCAGACTTGGAGATGGGGCAAGGAGGATTCACTAAAGTAGGTGGGAAGGAGGCTGAGAGAGGCCCCAGGGAAAGTATTAAGTTTCGTTAAAGCCCAAGTGTTTCTGAAGTGAGAGCACCAGTGACTGAAAAGGAAGTGGCATTATGACTGTAAGGAGAAGGAAGGTAGCCAGGCAGAGGTGGCTCATAAGTGAAGCTCTAAAAAGTCAGACACATTAGGAAATTAAGAGTCGGGGAAGGGGATCAGCAAAGAGTAGACCAAAAAGTAAAGACACCACATCTCCCAAAAGAAAACCTACAGTGGTTTTGGAGATTTATCAGTGCATCCAATTCAAAAACATACTAAATCATGTGCAGAGCATTGCAGCAAAGGAGATGGAGACAAAAAAAGACACAGGCCTGGCCTTCATCCACCTTGGTCTAGTAAGTGAGACTGGACCCAAATCCAGAGAACAGGAAAGACTTCAGAAGGAAGGTGGCATGAGGCTGGTGACTGACTGGTAAAAGGAACTCCACCAGCATGCAAAATGGTCTTAAAGGGGACAGAGAGGCCGAACAAACTGCGAGAATAAAGGCACCAAGGTGGGAACACAGTGTAGCTGGAGTATTAGGGCTCCAGTAGGGGAAAAGGTAGGTGAGGGTCAGACTAGAACAACTCTAAAACCAGTTAAAAGCATTAGTATGGTTAGAATTTTTTTTTAAACGAGTGAGCACTGAGTGTTTCTGAAGTTAATAATAACAGAGACTATATATAAAGTACCTACTCTGGAGAAGTACATATGTCCTAATCCTTACAAATCCTTAGGAGGTAGGTGGCGCCACCCCCATTTCCAGATGAGGAGAAAGAACTTCAGAACAGTCAGTAATTTGCCCTGGATCACATAGCTATTAAATGGCAGGGCTGGTACCAAGATCCTGACTCCAATATTCATGCTCTTCCCTTGCAACCTCTCTTAGCTGGGGGTTCTCCTTTGAAGCACATACAAAAAAAAATTGACTAGTGATTTTCTCAATGCTTCCAAAGATGTGTGTGTGTGTATATATATATATATATATATAGCTAGTACCATTTTAGATTCCTGGGAGAGAAGTTAATTCCTGTGTACGATGGATGCCTTGGAGAATGAGGGCTCAATTCTCTGGAGGAACCTTGGTCAAGAAAAACGGCCATGATTAGAGATATGTTTTAGGAAGATGGATCTGCCGGTGGGATCACATCCCTGAGAGGACCTGGTTGCCAAAGCAACTTAACAGTCCTGGAAATATCAAGATGAGTCATCTTCAGGCACTTGAAGTATGAGGCTCCAGCCACCTTCCCTGATCACTCCTCTTTCTAGTCCTACTGCCTCTTCCCCACCTTCCTCCCTCCCTCCCACCACACCTGCATTCAAGTGCTGAAGCAGAGCCTTCCTGCTGATAAGCCATCAACACAGGCAAAAGCAGCATCTTCCAAGGTAAAAAACATGAGGGTCTCTGTACTTTTCTGTGGCGGTTGGGAGTAGAAGACTGGCACTAGTTAATTCAAAACCCTTCTGGAGAACTCTGGCAAACTCCCATCATCCTTCCTGATAAGGCCTAAGCACCCCCTCCTCTGGGAAGCCTTCTGTAACTGATTCTACCTCTCTGATCACCAGGCAGAAGACATCATTTCCCCCTGTTCGTCCCCAGAGCCCCTTGTCCAGGCGCCTGCCAGAGCACCTACCCCATTATCATGGTCTGTTTCCACATCTATCTCCTCTGACAGTGTGAGAGCCTCTCAGGGTCAGTGACAGTTTGCCTGATCTGTCTTAGGATTCCCTGAGGCCCATGGTCTCAGAGATGGCAAGTGGCTTGCCCAGGGTCACTTGACAAGGCTGAGATTTAAACCCAGGTCTGACTTCAAAGCTTGTTTCTTTTTCACTATGCTACAGGGTCTCCCGAAAATGAGACGACGTTAAGCAGTCTGTGCTAAGCTGTACAATGCTGTACAAGTTTGGAGGAGGAAGTATCGGAGTAGACCAGACGACGAAGAAAGGCTTCTTAAGAGAGAGAGGCCTTGAAGAGTCTGAGGATTCAGATAAGAAAACAGGGAACATGATGGCACTTTAGGCAGGATGGGAATATCGTAGGTAAAGACAGAATTAAGAGGCCTTAAGGTAGGAGTAAAGGTTCTATATTGGGGAGGAATGGAATTACAGCTGCCAGAATGAGAGTTTGATTTCTTTATACATGTCACAATGATAAGTACTTATAACAGGGAACCTACCATGTGCCTGCCAGGGGCTTTCATAAAAAATACCACCAATCCTCATGCTATCCTTGTGAAACAGGTGTTATTTTAGATGTACGAAAACTGAGGCTTAGAGAATTAAGGAAACATGCCCAAGGCAACACAGCTAATAGGTGGGTAAACTGGGATTCAAACCTAGGTTGGCCTGATTCTGAAGCCTGAGGTTCCCTTTCTATTACTCCATGCCACCTCCTAATGGGCCAGAGAGCTTTCCACATTATCAGCCTGATGCTTCTGTCTGAATCTCCTCCCAGCTCAAATGGGGACTTTTGGTCAGACAGCAAGAGCAGCTGACTTTTCTAGCTCTAACCCTCTAAGGTCTGGGGACCCTAAATCCCTGAGGACTAAGTAATTTCAAGGAAACTGTTCTGTGTGGGCCCTGTGAGCACAGGCTGGCCTCTGTATTTAGGCCTGCTTTGGATCTCACAGAATCTCCCTTTAGTTACTGCAGCAAAGCTGGTGGCAAGTACAGCCTAAGAAAACCGGATGGGGCTGGGCGCGGTAGCTCATGCCTGTAATCCCAGCACTTTGGGAGGCCGAGGCGGGCGGATCACCTGAGATCGGGAGTTTGAGACTAGCCTGACCAACATGGAGAAACCCTACCTCTACTAAAAAAAATACAAATTTAGCTGGGTGTGGTGGCACACGCCTGTGATCCTAGCTACTTGGGAGGCTGAAGGTAGGAGAATCGCTTGAAGGCGGAGGTTGTGGCAAGCCGAGATCGCGCCATTGCACTCCAGCCTGGGCAATAAGAGCGAAAATCTGTCTCAATTAAAAAAAAAAAAAAAAGCCAGCCAGATGGGCAGGAAGGTAGGCTCCCTTGCCTTTCCTGAAACCCTTTGGAGAGGGTCAGCTGAGGTCAAAAGACTCTGGAAATATTACTGGCAACAGCCCCTAGAATGATAGAGCAGGATCCTGCCTCTCGGTTGGCTGGTCACACACACAGGCAGACCAAGGGAGGTCAAGGGGGAAGGGAGGTCAGAAGTTGGCAGCCTGCAGGCCCTGAGTGACGGCAACTTGTTCAGGGTTGGGAGGGAGAAATAGTGGGTTAATGGTTTTGGCCCTTGAGGCTGGGAGGCTAGGGCAAGGGGTGTAAATGTATGCTGGCTAAAAAGGCAGGTGGGAGAAATGTAAAGGTGGGGGCTAAGGGCATCTGTTCCAAGTCAACAGGCAGGAACCATGCCCCTGGAACGGCTCAAAGGGCCAGCCTTGGCCTGGGGGTGAGGATAGAGGGAGTTTCATAAAAGGCCCTCGTCTTTTCATTTCAAAGGTGTTCGATCTAGAAGGCTAGGAAGAGGGGCTCCTTATAAAGTGAATTCTCTTGTCTGGGGGTTGGGGGAAGCAGAGAATGTAAACTACTGGACAATAGCTGGGAGTATTGATTGATTTTAAGGCACGGCAGAGATAATGTCCTTGGTGAACACTCCAATTCTTAGCTACAAATGTCTTGCCACAGAGTTTTCCAACGGACAAAGGAAGAAGCTTTCTGCTTGGGGATGTTTTCTAAGTCTCTGCTTCTGAGAACAGCAAGTTCTCGCTCCAGAAGCATCAGTCATCCCAAGAACTGCTGCCACATCCACAAGTAGTCCTGCCCTTCAGTGGCTGTGCCCTAGAACAAAGCATATTCTGGCTGCTCTGGGGCAGGTCCCTTGTAGGCTTGGGGATACAGGCCAGGCCTGGGTTTTAAGCTAGCATGGCTGTGGCTGACAGAAAGTGGCAAGATTACGTGCGTGTTCCTGGGAAGTTCCCAGAGGCCAATGAGAAGATGATCTGGGGATGCTGGGCCTGTGGAGGCAAAGGCTCTGGGACTGAAAGAACTTTCTTTGAAGACTGGTATTTGGAAAAGTGACTAGGTAGCAAAAGACAGTTGGCATAAGTTATAGAGAAGACCACAGCTCATTAAAAAGATGTTTCAACCATGCCGGGCGCAGTGGCCCAGCACTTAGGGAGGCTGAGGCGGGTGGATCACCTGAGGTTGAGAGTTCGAGACCAGCCTGACCAACATGGAGAAACCCTGTCTCTACTAAAAATACAATATTAGCCAGATGTGGTGGAACATGCCTGTAATCCCAGCTACTCGGGAGGCTGAGGTAGGAGAATTGCTTGAACCCGGGAGGCAGAGGTCACGGTAAGCCAAGATTGTGCCATTGCACTCCAGCCTGGGCAACAAAAGCAAAACTCCGTGTCCCAGAAAAAAAAAAAAAAAAAAAAAAAAAGGTTTCAACCAGTCTCCCTGGGGAAGAAGGAGGTTCCTTCTGTCTCTGAAAAATGTCAGCTAGCCAGCTGTTGGAGAGGGTTCTGCTGGAAGAGAGGCAGGCAATCATCAGAGTGGCCCAGAGACCTTTGAGGACCTTTCCAGTGCTCAGGTTCTATGAAGAATGATCCCAACAAGGAAGACCCTGGGGTCTAGCCCCAAGAGAGGATCCCTGGCCCTCAAAAAGCACCAGAGGAGGCATGAACAGGCAGTCATGTGCCATGTACTCACTCAGGGGTCTGTGCTCCACACATCCTGGCCAGATGCTTCCCACACTCTCCCAAGGAGAGGCAGGAGTGGGATATGGGGAAGTGGGAAAGAAAGTGACTGGGATGTGTCTGGCAGGTAGCACTACCAGACTTGGACAGGACTTGCCCAGCCTGAGTCTGGGGATGGCATGTTTTGTCTCTCCAATTAACTGATGTTCTCCAAAGGGAGGGTATTCATTATTCATTGATTTATTGAGTGCTTACTAAGTGCCAAGTACTATAGTAGATGCTGGGGACACTTGAACCAGTCAGCCATGGTTCTTGCCTTTTAGAAGCTCAGAGACAAGTTAGGGAGAAGGCTATTGAACAAATAAAAACAATTTCAGGTTGTGACAAGTGTAATGACGGAAAAGAATAGGGTGCCATGACCCAGAGTAATGAAAGGGGCCTGAGACGGGGGTGGGACCAAAGAGGATGTCTTTGTGACCTGGGTTAGGAGGGATTTAAAGAGCCTGTGTCCTTTGTTTCATTAGCTCTGCTTTGGAGGTCACGGGGGAGAAGAGAGAACACTTTTAGGGATAGCAAGAGTCCAGAAAACTCTCACAGCATACACAGACAGGCAGGATGACATGGTGTATCACACCACATATAGGCAGAGAACACACATCAGCCACAGGAGGGCAAACCACATGTGTGCACTGCCACTGTCAGCAGGCAAAGCTGCTCTCGAGGCATCTCTAGCTCTAGGAGGATAACAGGGCTCTGGGGAAGTATGTTATTTCCAGAATAGTGAGGCTGCCAAGTACTCTCTCCCCCTGCCAAGCCCCATCCCACCCCTCCTCCACCCCCCCCACCCCACCCCTCTTCCACTTCCCCCACCCCACCCCTCCTCCACCTCTGCTCTCACCTCCATCAAGCAGCTCCTTGACAGTGCGGTAGTCATCAGCAAGAACAGCATAGTGCAAGGCCGTGCAGCCCTTGAAACTGGCGCGGTTGTTCAGCCTGTTGTTGAAGTCATCCTCTCGGGTGATCAGGACTGGGGAGACAGCAACACAAACCCTTCCATTAGCAACGACAGCATGAGCCACCAATCTCACCTGTTTTCTAGTGGCATTTTAATTCACTCACTCATCTACCTACTTACTAAGCATAAAATGGCACCTACTATGTTCCTGGCCATCTGTGCTGGGTAAGAAGAGGCAAAACAGAGGCCAGTTAGTTCCACAATGTTTACTGACATCTGTTATGTGTTAGGATTCATCCTGGGGACATGAAATAGATCAGATAAGGTCCCTGACCTAACTGACAAGGGAGGCAGACAATAACCAGATGTTTATAGAACTGTTTGAGATAAATGCTCTGTTAGAGGTATAATAGGAGAATATACCAGAACGCCAGAAGAGAGTTTAGCTCAACTTGGGCATGAAGAGAGGATCCCAGAAGACAGGAGTCTTAAAGGATGAAGAGAAGTTATGCAGGTAAAGAAAGCAGGTTGGGGTAGGATAAGGAAAGAGTGGGGCAGGAGACAGAGGCTGTTTTAGCAGATTAATATACCTCTCTGCTCTGAAAATGTTTACATTCTAGTAAGTAAGTGGTTTTAATTTTTTAAAGCTTAAAAAATTTATAAAAGCAATTAAATTTTTAAAATCACAGAAAAGTACAACAAAGAAAAGGAACCAATATCTCAGTGACTTGAGAAACTATGTGTCAGATTTTGATATATGTTCTTCCAAATTTCATGTGTGTGTGTATCCCCTATAAAATTGGAATTTACTGTAAATGCAATTTTGTAATCTGCATTTTTACCCTTATTACCTGTAAACATTTTTTGAAAGAAGAACAAGCATTTCATGTGGTCAAAGAACCAAAATCCCCCAGGCTCACTCTAGTGCTAATATTTGTGATTTTCTCACTCTGATTTGATATAAAATAACATAAAACCAGTCCATCATTTTTCCAGGACTCTCTGGGTTGGGTGACTCCACACACCCTGTTTACCCAGGGTGGTCCTGGTTTTCTTCTGCTGTTATAGACAGTTCCAGTTTGGACAATAAATTAGAATGTTACCCCACCTCTGGGGCCCTCCCTTGGGAAATGAGACCCCTCAGAGCACTCTCTCCCCTGCTCAGGCAATGGAGCTTCTTTCTAGCCCCCATGTGAAAGTTATCCAGGCAACTGTCTTACATTCCCTCCTGAGCTGAGTTTGTAGGGGTAGAATTTGGGTCCTGACTACCTATACTCCTCCCTGAGTCCACAGCACAGGATCTGCAGAGGACAGGTTCCTCTTACCTCTCACTGGATAAAGGGGTACACTCAGTCAAGAGGCGATCTTACCTATGTAGTCAAAAGCACCAGACAATTCCTAAACCATTCTTTTTCAAGTGGTCTTGGAATGGAGTCTATGCAATACTAAATGTCCTATATAAAGTTCCAAAAGCCAGAAGACTGCCATGCCTCTTCCAAATACTAATAGATTTTTTTTTTTTGGAAATGGAGTTTTGATCTGTCACCCAGGCTGGAGGGCAGTGGCGCGATCTGGCTCAATGCAGCCTCTACCTCGGTTCAAGCGTTTCTCTGCCTTAGCCTCCCGAGTAGCTGGGATTACAGGTGCCCGCCACCACAGCCGGCTAATTTTTGTATTTTTAGTAGAGATGGGGTTTCACCATGTTGGCCAGGCTGGTCTCAAACTCCCGACCTCAGGTGATCCACCCGCCTCAGCCTCCCAAAGTGCTGGGATTACAGGCGTGAGCCACCGCGCCCAGCCATACTAATAGATTTCACTTACTGACCTTCTATACTATGCCTGACATGGTCACTTCACACAATCTTACTTAATTCTCATAATTACCTTACATAGTAGGTAATTATTATTCCCATTTTATAGATGAGGAAACTGAGGCTCAGAGGTCACATAGCTAATAAGTGATTGTCCCCACTGTTTCTCACATATCATAATGTCACCCTCAATTTCCAAATGAGGAAATCAGACACCAAGAAAGAAGTAGAGCCCAGATGTCCTGGTCCCAGCCTTGGCTCTTATTCCATCCTGTTTTCCTGTTTGGGTGAAGGTGCAAACTCACTCTCTGCAGAATTTGCCCTTAACAGAAAATGGCCTGAGGTTTGTAGCTAGCACTCAGATAACCTAATGTGGATGGAAGCATTTCAAATGTTTGGCCAAAATAAAGTTGGTGGAGTGTGCAGCTGGAGAACAGACAACAGTTTCTTAGTTTCTTGTGGTTTATAGAATCAATGGTCAATGAGCCTTCTACTCCTGACATGGCCTCTCCAGACTGATGAACCCCCTGCTCCTGCCCCAGGAGTGTTATCTGACCTTTCCTGGAGCAGGAAGAACAGGAAGTTAAAAGGCCTCTAACATACAAGTCCCATGTGCAATGGCATCTACACTTTTCCCATAAGAGAGCCGTTTAGGACCTCAATCAGAGATTACTAGCCCTTAGTTACAGTCTTATCAAATCATGCTAGGTGATCTTATTTCCAGCCCACTGCAGATTAGGAGAAGGAAATAAGAAGGCCAGGGAGGATGCTACAGAACCAAGCAGATTGATTACAATCAAGCACTGGCCAGGCAGGCAGGGAAAAGAACAGGACAATGAAAAGCTGAAAAAGGAATTCAGAGTACAGCACCTCAAAAGCCCCTAAGGGCATCACTGAACTGCCACATAGGACATTAACTGCTGGATATAATGATGAACCTGACGAAAAGTGATAGTTGGCTCAAGAAAGCAGGAAAGGTGTAATCCATTTTACAAAGAAAACACATCATTCATTCAACATTTAATGAGCACCAATGCATGGTGGTAGTTCCTGGAGATATAATAATAAATAAGACACAGTTCCTGACTTTCAGAAGCTAACATCCTAATGCAAGAATCAGACCACTGAGCAGACAAATGATAATACAATTTCACATGTGCAATGACAGAGCTATACACAGGGTACTTACCATAAACAGCAGATGAACTCAAGGAACACAGCTGGGGCTATTTTGGCACAAACGTCAGGAGAGTGCTGGTGTCATAGCCCAACTAATAAGGAATGTCCAGAGGAGGCCCACTGCTCACCTCAGTCTCATCTCTCATCATCACCTTTCTAATGCTCTTTCTTGCCTCTGAGCTTTTGTAAATACTATTCGACTGCCTGGAACATCTTCCCCTCTCCCATGCCTTTAGTTGGCTAACTCCAATACAGCGCTAGGCCTCTGATTAGAAGTCACTTTCTCCAGTGATTCCTCCTACGTTTGAGGTAGTTATTGTTCCTAAGAGCTCCTCTAGCACCTTAGGCATCTCCCAATTCTAGTATTTATTACATTCTATCGTAAGCACTTGCTTACTTGACTACAATTCCCCACTAGACAAAAAACTCAATGAATACAGGAAGTGTGACTACCTTCTCCATTGCCCAGCAGTGTATGGCCATAAGTATGTGCTTGACAAATACTTGTTGAATCAACAAATAAACACATCAAACATAAACAAGGTCCTAATATTATCTTTGGTTTTGGAATAATAAAAATAAAAGTAATACCAGTCAACAGTATTTGGTGGGGCCCTGGAGTCAGACCACTTATGTTTGAATCCCAGCTCTGAACTTACTGACTGTGTAATCTTGGGCAATTTACCTAACCTCTCTGTGCCAGGCTCCTTTATCTATATGTGGAGGTAATAACAGTAACGCCTTCATGGGATGTTGTAAGGATTAAATGAGACACTATGAATAAAGGGGCTGGGTACAGTGCCTAGCATATAGTAGCTCTCAATAAATGTTAGTCATTATCTCATCATGGGCTTCCAAAAGTGTATTTTCTCTGTGAAAAAAGGCTTCACTTGAGGAATCCTGCATATACTTTCCTCTCAGAAAGGCACAGTGAGGTGGGCAAAGTGAGGTGGGGGCAGTGGCTCACGCCTGTAATCCCAGCACTTTAGGAGGCCGAGGCGGGCAGATCGCTTGAGCTCAGAAGTGTAAGACCAGCGTGGGCAACATGGCGAAACACCAACTCTACAAAAAATACAAAAATTAGCTGGGCGTGGTGGCGCATGCCTGTAGTCCCAGCTACTCGGGAGGCTGAGGTGGGAGGATCACTTGAGCCAGGAAGGCAGAGGTTGCAGTGAGCCGAGATCACGCCACTGCACTCCAGCCTGGGTGACAGAGCCAGACCCTGTCTCAAAAAAAAAAGAGAAAGTAAAAGAAGGAAGGAAGGGAAGGGAAGGGAGGGGAGGGGACGGAGGGAAGGAGGGAGGGCACAGTGAGCATAAGAATAGAGTTCTGAGTTAAGAGTCATCTGTTTCACTGGGTGTCACTCAGCAGTTTCTTGTTTGACAGCTGAACCCTCGTTAAAATCCTGCAGTGGTCTCTAGATAACAAAAGCTTTATTTACTGTTCACTTCTGCAGGTGAAGACAACCCTAGCTTTGAGTCCCTCTCGGCCTCTACTGGCCACTCCCAGAAGCCGGTGCCATCTAATGTTATGGAATGTCTAGCAGTGCCCTTGCCTTTAAAGATGTGAACATGTTTCCATGAGAGGGAACCTCTATGACTAATAAGACAAATAAAAGAATAACCCCTTATGTTTGTATCATGTTTTAAAGTGTAGGGAGCACTTCAAGGCAATCATTCCCTCATCCTCATGACAATCCATGTAGGACCGACAGTTCAAGTACTATCATCTCTATTGAACAGATGAGGAAACACAGGCTTAAAGAGGTTAGGTGGCCTGCTCAACTTGCAATGCTGGTCGGTGGTAGGCTAGGACTAGACCCTAAGCCTGAGTGGCTCCATGGCCTCTGCTCTATCTTCTGTACTGTGCAGCTTCTGCCAATGCCCACAGGCCCAAGCCTCATATAACTCAGGGTCGGTTGATACCAGCTGAAGCTCAGGGACTAAGCTAACTTCTTTCAAGAATCTCTAGGAAGAAGCCTCTGGCCTCTCAGCTTCCTCTCACTGAAGACTCTATACAAATTAAGACCCTGCTGAGGCATCACAGCACCAGTTAGAAGCAGAGCACTTGCCCCTTCTTGCCACTGCTCAGGAATGGCATCTACAATGTGTGTGTATGTGAGGGAGTTGTCTACAACCCACCAGAAAGGTCTCCGACTTTCCAACTTGGATGAGTTACTTCATCTCATCATTTTCATCTTTTCCACCACCATTCAAACTAAAAAAAGTGTAGAGAGCTTCAGCATGAAGTGTATTCCAATTACTTTTTATTTATTTATTTTTTTGAGATGGAGTCTCACTCTTGATGCCCAGGCTAGAGTGCAATGGCATGATCTCGGCTCACTGCAACCTCCGCAACACTGCAACCACTGCAACAATCCAAGTGATTCTCCTGCCTCAGCCTCCCGAGTAGCTGGGATTACATGCACGCGCCACCATGCCCAGCTAATTTTGTATTTTTAGTAGAGATGGGGTTTCACTATGTTAGCCAGGCTGGTCTTGAACTCCCGACCTCAGATGATCCACCTGCCTCAGCTTCCCAAAGTGCTGGGATTACAGGTGTGAGTCACTGCGCCCGGCCAAAAAATTTTTTTTTATTAAAAAAAAATATATAGAGAGAGATGGAGTCTACCTATGTTGCCTAGGCTGGTCTCAAACTCCTGGGCTCAAGTGGTCCTCCTGCCACAGCCTCCCAAAGTGCTAAGATTACAGGCATGAACCACTCACTGCACCCAGCCTTCAAACAAATTTTCCTTCCCACCTTTTTCCTTTCCTCCTCCCTTCCTGCCACATAGAGGACCCTGGTGACCCCAGTATGACTCCTCAGCAGGCAGCAACGTGTATTAGAAAGACCATGGGGGCTGGAGTCAGCAAGCCTGGAAAGCAAAACTGACTGTGTGACTTTATTAACATCTGTGAGATTCAGCTTCTTCATCTCCAAACAGATAATATCACCTATCTCACAAGAGTCAATGGCAAACCTAATTTAAAAAATGGACAAAGGACTGGAATAGACATTTCTCCAAATAAGACATACAAATGGCCAAAGAGCACATGAACAGATGCTCAATATCACTGGCTATCAGGAAAGTGCAAATCAAAACCACAATGAGGCTGGGGGTGGTGGCTCCTACCTGTAATCCCAGCACTCTGTGAGTGTGAAACAGGAGGATCATCTGAGGTTGGGAGTTCGAGACCAGCCTGGCTAACATAGTGAAACCCCGTCTCTACTAAAAAGTACAGAATTAACTAGGGGCTGTGGTGGCACATGCTTGTGGTCCTAGCAACTCAGGAGGCTGAGATGGAGGATCCCTTAAGCCCAGGAAGTCAATGCTATAGTGAGCCGTGATCACACCATTGCACTCCAGCCTGGAGGACAGAGCAAGACCCTGTCTCAAAAAATAAAATAAGATTCAATTTCTATTTAATGTCCAGATTAGGCAAATCTATGGAGACAGAAAGTAAATTAGTGGTTGCCAGGAGCTGGGAATAGTTGAAGAGAAATGGAGAGTGACTGATAATGAATACGAGGTCTCTTTATGGAGTGATAAAAATGTCCTAAAACTGATTGTCATAATAGTTTGCACAACTCTTGTGAATATACTATATAAACCATTGAGTTATATACTCTAAATGGTGAAGTGCATATAGAACCAAAAAGAGTCCAAACAGCCAAAGCAATCCTAAGCAAAAGAACAAAGCCAAAGGTATCAGACTACCTGACTTCAAACTATACTACAAGGCTATAGTGATCAAAACAGCATGGCACTGTACAAAAACAGACACATAGACCAATGGAACAGAATAGAGAACTCAGAAATAAAGCCACACACCTATACCCAACTGATCTTCAACAAGGTCAACAAATATAAGCAACGGGGAAAGGACTCCCTATTCAATAAATGGTGCTGGGATAACTGGCTATCCACATGCAGAAGAATGAAGCTGGACCTCTACCTCTCACCATATACAAAAATCAACTCAAGATGGATTAAAGATTTAAGTGTAAAACCTAAAACTATAAAAATCCTAGAAGAAAACCTAGGAAATACCCTTCAGGACATCAGCCTTGGCAAAGAATTTATTACTAGGTCCTCAAAAGCAACTATGACAAAAACAAAAATTGACAAATGGGGCCTAATTAAATGAAAGAGCTTCTGCACAGCAAAACAAACTATCAACAGAGTAAACAGACAACTTATAGAATGGGAGAAAATATTTTTGCAAACTATGCATCTGACACTGGTCTAATATCCAGAATCTATAAGGAACTTATGTGGGTCTTTTGTCTTGTTTTGTTTTGTTTTGAGATGGAGTCTCATTTTGTCACCCAGGCTGGAGTACAATGGTGTGACCTTGGCTCACTGCAACTTCCGCCTCCCAGGCTCAAGCGATTCCTCTGTGTCAGCCTCCCACATAGCTGGGATTACAGGTGTGCACCACCACACCCGGCTAATTTTTGTATTTTTAGAAAACCCTGTTTTCTAAAACAGGGTTTCACCATGTTGGCCAGGCTGGTCTTGAACTTCTGACCATGGGTGATCCACCTGCCTCAGCCTCCCAAAGTGCTGGGATTACAGGTATGAACCACCGCACCCAGCCAAGAATCTATAAGGAACTTAAACAACTCAACAAAGCAAAAAACAAATCCCATTTAAAAAATGGGCCAAAGACAAGGACATTTCTCAAAAGAAGACATACAAGCAACCAACAAACATATGAAAAAATGTTCAACATCATTAATCATCAGAGAAATGCAAATCAAACCCACAATGAGATACCATCTCGCACCAGTCAGAATGGCTCTTATTGGTGAGGCTGTAGAGAAAAGAGAATGCTTATACACTGTTGGAGGGAATGTAAATTAGTTCAGCCACTATGGAAAGCTGTTTGGAGATTTCTCAGAGAACTCAGAACTACCATTCAACCCAGAAATCTCATTACTGGGTATATATCCAAAAGAAAACAAATCGTTCTACCAAAAAGAAACAGGCACTCATATGTTCATCACAGCACTATTCACGATAGCAAAGACACAGAATCAATCTAGGTGCCCATCAGTGGTGGACGGAATAAGGAAAACATGGTACTATACCATGGGATACTACATGGAATACTACACAGCCATAAAAAAGAATGAAATCATGTCCTTTGCAACAACATGGATGCAGCTAGAAGCCATCATCCTAAGCAAATTAACACAAGAACAGAAAACCAAATACTGCATGTTCTCACTTACTATTATTATTATTTTTTGAGATGGAGTCTCTCTCTGTTGCCCAGGCTGGAGTGCAGTGACACAATCTAGGCTCACTGCAACCTCTGCCTCCTGGATTCAAGTGATTCTCGTGCCTCAGCCTCCCGAGTAGCTGGGACTACAGGCGCGTGCCACCACACCAGGGTAATTTTTGTATTTTTAGTAGAGTTGGGGTTTCGCCATGTTGGCCAGGCTGGTCTTGAAATCCTGACCTCAAGTTATCCGCCTGCTTTGGCCTACCAAAGTGCTGGGATTACAGGCATGAGCTGTGTCCAGCCTGCATGTTCTCCCAAAGTGCTGGGATTACAGGCGTGAGCCACTGTGCCCAGCCTACCTGTTCTCACTTATAAGTGGAAGCTAAACAATGGGTACTCATGGACATGAGTACCCTGTTGGATGGCAACAATAGACACCAGGAACTCTTAGAGGAGGGAGGGATGAAGGGGGGCACGGGTTGAAAAACTATTGGATACTATGCATAGTACCTGGGTGATGGGATCAATTATACACCACACCCCAGCATCATGCAATATACCCAGGTAACAAACCTGCACATGTAGCCCCTGAATCTAAAAGAAAAGTTGAAATAAAAATATTTGATACAAAATTAAAAAAAAAAGAAATGAGGTAGGAATTCTAGTGAGGTGTGAGAGGAGAGGAAGAGAAGCTTTTTTATATTAAGCTCTTGTATAATTCATTTTCTTTCTTTTTTTATTGATATATAATTCACACTCCATAAAAACAAATGGTGAATTGTATAGTATGTAAATTAAAACTTAATAAAGCTGTTAGGTTAAAAAATATATGTAAGAAGATAAGCATATTGCCTGGCATGTAGTAAGGACTCAATAAATGGTAATAAATTCATTATTGTACCCTTTCCTCTTCCTGATGTCATTCCAATACTGGCTAGGATCACCTCTAACACTAACACTGTAGAATATGTCAGGCTCATTCGAGGCAGCCCATTTCATACTAGTGGAGAGTCACAGGTGAGTCCTGAAGGCTAACATCCCAAGACTAAGAGTTTTCCTCCAATACTCAGACAACTAAATATACAACAGAACAGTAAGAAAATAATGGTTCCATTTATTGAACACTCACTATGTGCCCAGGTACTGTGCCAGGAACTTTACGACTATTCTCATGAGAATCCTACTAGGCTGTTATATTATTATTCCTATTCATTAAACGAAGAAACTGACACTTAGAGAAGTTATGTATCTTACAAAGTCACACTGGCAGTCACTGACTGAGCTGGAAAGTTCAACTCCAAGGCTTATAACTCTTTTTCTCTAAGTGATTACATGGCTTTATTATGCTTTCTCTTATTTATGCACATTTTACCCACACTTTACAATTCAAGCATCTTGATTTCACTGATCTCCCTTTCCTCTATGCCTTCTGTTTACATCAAATTAGTAAACATTTCCTTTTACATAGTCTTGTGTGTTCTCAGATTGTTTCATGTATATTCTCTTAAGTATGGCAGGTTGCTTAATAAACACTTCTTTAGTGAATGGATGTTAAGCTTCCTCAGGCAGGAAACACATTCTTGATGGACAGACACTGTGTCTTCAACATGTCTTTATCCTTTATATAGAGAAGGCACTCATGGTCAAGTAGGTTGGCCGATGGCTGGAGGACCATTCCCTACTTGAAAATGGTTCTCACAGACATCATGCTTTCTGCCCATGGACTGGAAGTTTTCTCCTTAGGAATAGGACCTCACCTCATTATCACCCCATCCTAGTGTAGCATGGGGGCTCAGAATAGAGCTGATGAATTAAAGACTGGGTCAACACTTATTCCACTGGAGACACCTCAAGGGCAGCCTTCCCACAGGGACCCCAAGCACATTTTCTCTCACCTCCATGAAAGGGAAGGGGGAGACCAGGAAGGATGGCAAGGAACTTGAAGAAGACAGGCTATTGTCCCTGCCTGTGGCCATGACAGTCAGTGCGGCATCCTCTCTGACTCAGGACCCTTCTTTTTAGTGCAGACCCAGGGGGTGCTTTCCAGAGCCCACATCTCACCTTCACACCACCAAATTCATAAGGTGGGGTAAACTCTTAAGAATCTGTTAGTCGGTTATCTACAGACCCATCAAAACTCTGTTTTAACCTCCTCTACTTCCTATCTCGCCTAACTCTCAGAGTAGTGACATGCTCACAAGTATCTAGATTCCCTTAGATTTGTCCTATAAGTACCCTGAGGTCACCCTCTTCCCCCTCCTCCCCCACCCCCATCCTATCCAAAGCAGTGTTCTTTGAGCTCCAGGGATCCTCTGGGGCAGGGATGGCAACAAGAAGAAGGTGGCAGCTCTTTGCCTCTCGGCAGCTATGCTACTTGGTTGGTCAAACTTGGTCCCTCTGTGTTCCCCGTCTCTACACCTGCTTGCCTCTCCTCTGCCTTTTCTTCAAGATGTTAAAAACTCGCAATAAAAAACAAATACAAAATGCTGTAATTAATAGCCAATTCCAAGCCAACCCAGCATCTCTACTAATAAACCTCAACACTTGCAAAAAGAACAATAAATTCTGCCCCTCTCTGGTTCTGAGGTGGTCTCTTTTATATAGTCTGTGTGTGTGTATGTATGTGGGTAAGTGTGTCTACATATATATTTATTTTCCTTTATTTCCCATCCAGGGAGGGGCAGAATAATGAACTGCGTGCGTCAGGGAAGATGAATCTGAGATACTAGGGAGCAGTGCAGTAAAAAGATTAAAGTGTTATTATTGTTGGGTTTTTTTCCCCCATGGTCCATTGTGACAGCTCGACCGTCATCTGTAAAAAATGTCTCAGTGAGAGATAATCATCGGAAACTCAATAAAGCGTCAGGGGGAGCCTCAGCCCCTATCAATCACTAGGTGCCTGGAAAATTTCAGCCCTCTGTCTCCCTTCCTGCTATCCATATAAATGTCTCTAATATATTTTGTGTGGTGTGTGGGACCCGTCCCTGATTTGGAACTTTTGATGAAAAAATATTTATACACAAAATATGTAAATCAGTTAAAAATCATAAGACTAGTTCTTTGCCACCCAATCCTATTGTTTCTTATTTTTATAAATGCATCAAATTTATTCTGTTTAATAAAACATGTCAACTAGTCTATCTCTCTCTCCTAGGACACAGACACACACACACACACAGTTTGGAGGGCTAAAAGGATGGAAATAATTAACCTAACTGGCTGATTCATTTAATCATGCAGTTGGCCAAAATGTATCCTGGTAACTCTATGGTGGCCAGAACCAGCACTATGGAGAAATGACATGTAGAAACATTGGCCATGGAGTGTGACAAGGCTCTGAGTGAGCCTGGACAAGGATGAGGAAGGGGCTGTGACATTATTAAAAATAATAAATTGCCCATACAGCTTTTGGCCTGGCAGATTCTCCCAAGCCTTTGGACAAGCCAGAGATCTGAGCTGACTAAGCTGGGGGCACATGCAGGCTGATATGGTTGCTGGGTCTTATACAAGAGCAGGAGGCAGTTCTGCTGGCATTTGACATCCTCACTCTGCCTTAGTTTCCTTTAGTACCTGCATCATAAGGTTACTGTGAATACAAAGTAAGTATCAATCAATATTATCTGCTACCCTTGCAGCTATCATCATCATCGTCATCTCATTATCACCTCCCTCTGCTTCTCTACCCTGGAAGGAATCAGTTCCTGCAGTGCCCTCTCCTTTAGGACCTTCAAGGCTCTTCTCTGTCTAAAGGATAAAGTCCAAGAGTCTTGATCTGGTCCTATTCTACTAATGTTGCATCTTTATTGCTCATTACTCTCTAAGATGAATCTTCTGCTGTGTGCCTGCTTCACCCTAACATGTTCGTCTATCAGCGTGAAACATAATTTTTCTGTTTCTCATATCTGAGTGGTTTTTTTGTTTTTTGAGACAGGGTCTTGCTCTGTCACCCAGGCTGGAGTGCAGTGGCGTGATCATGGCTTACTGCAGCCTTGACCTCCTGGGCTCAGGCAATCCTCCTGTCTCAGCCTCCTGAGTAGCTGGGACCACAGGCACAACCCACTACACCTGGCTAATTAAAAAATATATATATTGGGCAGGGCGTGGTGGCTCATTACTAATCCTGGCACTTTGGGAGGCCAAGGTGGGCAGATTGCCTGAGCTCAGGAGTTCGAGACCAGCCTGGGCAACATGGTGAAACCCTGTCTCTACTAAAATAAAAAATTTTGCCAGGCATGGTGGCACATGCCTGTAATCCCAACTACTCAGGAGGCTGAGGCATAGGAATTGCTTGAACCCAGGAGGCGGAGGTTGCAGAGAGCTGAGATCATGCCACTCACTGGACTCCAGCCTGGGCAACACAGCAAGACTCTGTCTCAAAAATAAAATAAAATAAAATAAAATAAAATAAAATAAAATAAAATAAAATAAAATAAAAGTTGTGTAGAGATGGGGTCTCACAATGTTGCCCAGGCTGGTCTTGAACACCTGGGCTCAAGCAGTCCTCCTGGTTTAGCCTTCCAAAGTCTTGCGATTATAGGCATGAGCCACCACACTCGACCACTCTGTATGTTTTGAATATAGCACACCCCTTCTCTACTCACATTCAATTGCACTCACCTGTCAACCCTCCATACAGCTGTCCAAAACCTTCCTATACTTGGAGGCTCAAATGTCATTTTATTTCCTTGACTTCTCAGCCACAGATTCTCTTCTCTGAGCTCTGATAGTCCTTGTTATCTGAACCTCTGACTGGACCCTTTGTCAAATATTGTTTTGGTAATGTCTTACATCTTTATTATTACTAATTATTGTTCTTGCAAGCACCTTACATTTGCACAATGCCTTGTATTTTCTCAAGCGCTTTCGTAAGTACTCCAATTTGGGCCTTAAAATAAGCCTATGGTGTAGGAAATATTATTCTCTACAGATGCGAAAATCAAGCTCAGAGAGCGAAGAAGAACTGCCAAGGTCACACAGTTAGGTAATGGCTAAGCCATTCCTTGGACTCTAAATAATATTTGGCTCTTTGAGGGTTAATGGTTTGCTACCAGAGGAAAGCATTTGGAAGGCTGTGTCAAAGACTGACATTCCGTTAAGAATATGAGGAGGAGGATGTAGAAACACAGGTTTACATTCACAGAATTTCTTCTATGTTCTGGGGTTTAGGTTAGGCGTAAATGTACTATGCTGCCTCCCAATAACCTTTATTTTACAAATAAGGAGACAGTGCCTCTGGCAGGTATAGAAAATTGCTCCAGGTGTCAGAGCTATTAAGTGTTCTGCACACATATAATACCATGGCTTAAACACATAGCCTCTCTAGGAGTGAAGCTTAAAGTGGCAAAATAAGATCTCTGGTAGGGAGGTGAAGGCCCAGATGAGTTTTTTAAGCAGTTCAAGCACAACACCACAACTAATACCTGTAGTCCAAATCATGCTTCCCAAAGGGTAGGAGCCTATTATTAGAAACGCAAAACCTCGGGTCCCACCCCAGACATACTCAATCAGAATCTCTGAGGGTAGGGTCCAGGAACCTGTGTTTTAACAAGCTCTCTAGGGGATTCTTATTTCCTTGGGAGCCTTATTATTCTCATCTGAGTTTTTGCTCTCCAAGAGCATGCATTCTCTCTGCTATGCTTGGGTTAGGCTGGGCACACAGTGGGTGCTGGGTAGTTAACTTATACTGAGTAAAAGAGATAGTCAGATGAGACCATCCTTGGCATGTCCTGGGGAGGGGGAGAAATATTATACAGAGCAGTTCCATTACCGCCAGCGGGGAGTCCTAGCCATCTCCTGAACTCCAGGGCACTTGTCCACTGGTTTGTGATGTGCCGGCTTGCACCGTCCTGTCCCCCATCTGAAGACACAGAGATGGGGAGGTCAGCTGGAGCAGGCCAGGTCCTGCAGGCCCTGGAGCTCTGGGAAGGGGGCACTCAGGCTGGTGGGGTTGTTCCAAGCCCTCTACCCCCAGAAGGGCCCTATGCCAACCCAGCTTCTGCCCCACTCATCTTTATTCAGCTGCCACTTGGAGCTGAGAAGAGAGGCTGATTTATAGCCTGCTCTGGCTGCGTCTCTGCCGTGTTTTATTGTTTTAATTGTACATATGAGAGGCACTCAAAATGCTTGCTTGCATTTCTGACAGCCCCAGACACCCAATGTTTATAACAGTTACTTATAAGCAGCCAGCGGCAACCCCGGCTGGGCGACTTGTTTACTGTTACCACTAATTTATTACCTCCTCCATCTGAGGATTACGGCCCCCACCCATCAGCCAGCCACAAGTGGAACACTCCTGGAGTGGGCATGGGTAGGGCTCAAGGCACTGAATGGAATGTGGTTGAGATCAGGGAATAGGTTGGCAGAGGAACAGCTATGATCCTCATACTTCTCTCTACATTTATTCCATCTCACAGACATTCTAAGCTGTGCCCTCTGCTTTTTTATTTTTCCCCATCCTCTTCATCCTCCAAAGCCCAACTCAAATCCCACTTCTTTCAAGAATATCACATTGGGTGCAGTGGCTTACCCCTGTAATGCCAGCACTTTGGGAGGCCAAGGTGGGTGGATCACCTGAGGTCTGCAGTTAGAGACTAGCCTGGCCAACATGGTGAAACTCCATCTCTACTAAAAGTATTAGTAAAATAAAAATAAAAATTAGCCGGGCGTGGTGGTGGCGCCAGTAATCCCAGCTACTTGGGAGGCTGAGGCAGGAGAATCGCCTGAACCCAGGAGGCAGAGGTTGCAGTGAGCCGAGATCATGTCATTGCACTCCAGTCTGGGTAACAAGAGCGAAACTCTGTCTCAAAAAAAAAAAAAAAAAAAAAAGAACATTACTTGCTCTGATAGTGAGCCTAGAGCTTCTAAACATTAGAAATCACATGGCTGACAGGGGCACCGGAGGCCAGATAATCCAATGACCCATGGCGAGAATCCCCTTTACAGAATCCATGATGGGCAGACATCTCAGCTGTTAGTACCCCTTGAGTGGTGAGTTGCTCAATACCTCCTAGGCAGGCTTCCTGCTTTACACTTTGCCAAAACCCACCTCCATAGAGAAATTCTTTATTAAATGTCACTGTGCTTTAAATATATATGATTATCTCTAATCATCCTAACAACCCTATAAGATGGGTATTGTTTTTACTATGTTACAGATGAGAAAATTGAAATTCAGAGACTTTAAGTCATTTACTCAAGATCACACATCTAGTAATAGAGCTTAGATGAATCATTCAGATATCTGGTACTGAAGCCCAATCTTTCTCTAGGACACCAATGTGCCTCTGAAGATGCCACTCTGAGGGCTGGAGGGAAAGCAAAGAACAATCAGGCCAACAAGATTTCCATACCAAGCATCCTTGGGTTACCTGAACCAGTAAGACTGCCCTCTACCCAGAAACACCAACTTTGACAAAAGTGGACCCAGCTAAGTAGGCTTCTTGCTAAAGAGCAAATGCTCACATGACATGGGAGAAGAGTGTCACTAGGAATGGCATAACCAAAGATAAAGTCTCAGCAAGGATGGCAAAGAAGTTTCTTTCCTCCCTAGGCTGTGTCTGTTCTCAGCAGGTAAAACAGATACAAAGCATCTTTGATACCTTTTAGTTTTCTTGCCTGGATCCTTTTTCCTGCTCACACCTTAAATGCTGGTATCCTGAGTAAAGGACTTGTCCTCCTACCACCCCCTCACTTTAAATCCTTTCTTTGGGCAATTTTGGTTACATCTATTGTTTTAACTCCCAAGGAAATGGAAAATACTCCTAAATCCCTATCTCCTGCCAAACTACTCCTTTGAGCTCTCCAGACCCACATATCTAACTATTCACTCAAATTGGAAACTGAGGTGTCACCATGCATACCTCCTTTTCCATCAATTCTCACAATCCACTGAGTACTCAATCTTCTAATATTCTGCTAATATCTATTTACTCTATTCCCAAAGATCACCTTTAGGAATCTCCAGATATTTTAAATGTTTTTTTGGAGGACAGGAGCATAGCTTCTTACAGATTCCCAAAGGAGTCCATTATCCCTAAAAAGTCAAGAACCATTGCTAATCTTTCCCCTCCAATTCCTCCTCCACCCTGTCAGAATGGTCCATCTAAAATGCAAGTGTGAATTCGACATTGCCCTGCTTAAAATCCTTTAACGGCCTTCAGAATAGAGAATGAGCTCCCTAGAACTGCCTTACAAGGTCCTTCCTATGTGTAGCCTTCTTCACTCTCCGGCCTTATTTCTTGTTATTCTCCTCAATCCTGCAGCAGATGGTTCCACCTGCTGTCACTCCCTAACCCCCACCCAACGCCTCTGCATAGACTGTTCCCTCTGCCTGGAAGGTCCATCCCTTTTAGCCTTCCTGGCAATCTCCAACTCATCCTTAAGACCCAATTCAAGGTCACTTACCCTGTGACACTTCCCAGACACCAGCCTGCTCACTTCTCAGGTAGAGCTCACCAATACTTACAGCAGTGCTGCCTACATACTTTGTGCAGCTACCATTGCATTTATCACTCTGCGTTGTGATTCCTTGTTTACAGGCTTGTCTCTGTAAATGACTGGGAGCACTGATGAGGGGCTAGACTATGTATAATCATTTATATAATCCCAGCAACTGGCAGAGTGCCTGATACTCGGTAAGAACACGCTGAATTATGCATAAATGAAACTAATAAGCAATTACAACTGTAGAGCACTTTACAATCCACATATCACATATTTTATCTCTTGATATTCACAACAATACTGATACGGAAGAAAAGGAATGTATCATTGGAGGTTAGAGAGGTCTTGCCAAAGCCACAAACTACACCTTCCTTCCAAGGGCCACAGAAATATCTATTAGAAATTTAGTGGACTTCATGGACTTGGCAGTGACTCCATAGTCTAATATAACAGCAAAGGACTGCCCAACTTTCCTGAGCTTGTGAACTTCCTGTGAATTTGCCTAGACACACTCGAAGGAAAGGGAATTACATCTCTTGTTTTACTCTACCTTCCTTACCCATCCCTACAAGTCAGGTAATTTTTCATGCAAAAGTCAATGCAATACAAAAATAAGAGAACTACAGGATTCTTTTGTTTCTATTTCATCCATGAGAATGAGTCAGAGCTGGGTATGGTGCCTTGCATACAATTGGCAGTCAATATATATTGGTTGAATGGCTTAAAAAATGAGGTTTCCTTAAACGGAAAAAGGAAAGACATGGTTAAGACGAAGCTAAAGGCTTAGGCTGATGAGAGAGAAGAGCCCTGAGAAGATTCTAAAAGACTATCACTATCCAGGTCCAAGTCGGAACGTTCAGTGCACCAAGTTGGACAGCAGAGCACATCCAAACTGATACACCCAGGAAAATAAAGCCAGCTGCCAGAAAACTGTGGCAGACAAAGGTAGTCTAGAATTATTTAAAAAAAAAAAAAAAAAGGTAGAGAGATCTTGCAAGCCACAGTGAGTTTATTAATGATTCCTGACAAACTTCTAGGACGTTATTATTATTATTTTTTTTTAACAGTTGTTTGTTTTTGTTTTTGTTTTGAGACAGGGTCTTGCTCTGTCACCCAGGCTGTAATGCAGTGGTGTGATCTCAGCTCACTGCAACCTCTGCCTTCTGGGTTCAAGTGATTCTCGTGCCTCAGCCTCCTGAGTAGCTGGGACTACAGGCATGCACCACCACGCCCTGCTAAGTTTTGTATTTTTAGTAGAAATGGGGTTTTGCCATGTTGGCCAGGCTGCTCGAACTCCTAGCCTCAGGTGATCTGCTTGCCTCGGCCTCCCAATGTGCTGGGACTACAAGCGTGAGCCACAGTGCCCAGCGTTTTATAACAGTTCTTAAACACTTGGGTAATTACCGGGTACCAGTATGGGTTCCCTAAGAACAATAAATCAACATGCCAGAATAACCTGATTTCCTTTTTTGGAAAGCGTTATTAGACAGGAAAATACGACAAATGCTAGAAACATTTTAATTTTAGCAAGAAATATGGGGAAAAAGCTCTTAAAATTTTGTGAACAAAGCAGAGGAATGGAGGATGGAAAAGAATGAAGGTTGGTAGAATTACACCTGAGAATGCTGAATAATGCATCAAAATTATCCTGACCATGTGCTCTAGGACTCTGTGTTTAATAAAGTCTTTATAAACATTTTAATCCAAGTAAGAACATGACGGCAGGGGATCTTGTCTGTCTAACTCATCAGTGCTTAAAACACTGCCTGGTATACAGGAATGTGATCAATAAATACTTTTGAATAAATAAGTGAATCCACAGGAAGCCTACTACTAAATTTGCAGATCATATGAAATAAGAAGAGATAGTTAATATTTTAATTGTTATTTCATAAGGGGACATGATAGCCTTTTCAAATATTTTTGTTGTCTATCTCTCCCTATCTACCTACCTACCCAGAATGTAGGCTGTCTGGCATAAGAGTTAAAAATAATCCAGAGGTTGACCAGGAAAAAGAAAATAAAAGAAAAAAGAAAAGAAAGGGAAGCAAAGGGGAAGGGAAGGGGAAGGGAAGGGGAAGGGAAGGGGAAGGGAAAGGGAAGGGGAAGGAAGGAAGGAAAAACTAAGAAAAAGAAATTATGTAACCTTGAACTAGGAATGCGAAAAGAAAATTATGTAGAGCAGGGTTGGCAAACTACAGCCTCTGGGCCAAATCCAGCCTGCTGTGTGTTTTTATAAATAACATTTTATTGAAACATATCCACATCACTTCGTTTGTGTATTGTTTGTGGCTGCTTCTGTATCACAATGGTCGAGGTAAGTAGTCACAACTGAGATCAACTGGCCCACAAAGCTTAAATGTTTACTATCTGGCTCTTTCTAGAAAGTTTGCTGACTACTGATCTACAATGTTGAATGTGAGTATCACCCTGGAGGTTACCATTAAAACACAAAGCTACAAAACATGAATGTACATTGTGGAGATCAGTGTGACAGCAGAAGTTGGACTAGATGGCTTCATAGCTCTGAGATTCTATAAAACAAAAAAATGTTTATTGAGCCCTGCTAGAATCCTGACAGCAGAAGAGAAGGCACTCAAAAGAATCCCCTCCTGTCTACCTGGCCCTGCCCTCTCAACAAATGCTCCACCTTGCTTTTTGGTGAGAGCACCTGTATTAGTTCGTTTTCATCATGCTGATAAAGACATACCTGAAACTGGGAACAAAAAGAGGTTTAATTGGACTTACAGTTCCACATGGCCAGGGAGGCCTCAGAATCATGGCAGGAGGTAAAAGGCACTTCTTACATGGCAGTGGCAAGAGAAAAATGAGGACGAAGCAAAAATGGGAAACCCCTAGCAAACCCATCAGATCTCATGAGACTTATTCACTATCACAAGAATAGCATGGGAAAGACTAGCCCCCATGATTCAATTACTTTTCCCTAGGTCCCTGCCACAACACGTGGGAATTCTGGGAGATAAATTCAAGTTGAGATTTGAATAGGGATACAGCCAAACCATATCAGCACCTAAACTGAAGACAGAGCTGAGCACTGCAATGCTGTGCCTGAATGAGAAGAGGATGGCCCATAAGCTGAGTCCCCACATATCAGGCTGCAAATAGAGGGCAAGGTGGTACTCATGAAATTCTCTGTTTAAAACATAAACACAATTCCTCCGGCTCAGTGGGGAATACAAGGACACAAAGATCATGGCCTGCACATGAGGAGGAGAGAAAGGACATATGGGTAGATGAGAGTTCAAGTAACCATACAAGAGGCCAAGATCTAGAGAACATTCAAAAGAACAGCTGAGGGCAGGTTGCAATTATTGTCAAGGACAGGGAAGCCTTTGTGGAGGATCTAGCCTTAGCAATGGAGCCTTAAGAGAAGGAGCAGGTTTAGAGAGGTGGAAGGGAAGGGAGAGGGTAACTTCAAACTTTACCTGGGCAGCAATGCCTTAATGCTCTTGGACACTCCTCTCATGCCACTGATTTGAGAAACCTTCTCCCCGGGGCAGCAACAACACCGCTACTCTGAGTTACCACATACCACGTCAGTCTGGCAGCCTTACAGCTCTGAAGGCTGAGCACATTGCTCCCCTTGGCTGAATTTCCCCCAGCGTCAATATTCTGGCTCTCAGGCAGTCAGAGAGGCTGTCTGTCCTCCTGGCATCACTGCTAACACTAAAGCAGCCACTGCTCAGCCACCCTATTGCTGGCAATGTCAGAGGGATCGCAGCCTCTGTGAATGATCCAGGACAAGGGGAAAGCAGTGGCGACAGTCTGGATAAACGAAAGCTCAAATGTAAAATACTCATTTCTGACTGCAGCCAAAGCAACCAGCTGTTTTTTTCAATCCCACTTTGGAAGAAGTACTCACCAGACACAACATAGACTGACTTGCTGAGGCACCCCCCAACAGACACATGATCGAGCCCTAGTGCAAACCCAAACACCTGCCTTGGACATTCAATCCCCAAGACTCATCCCAGAGCCTCTTCATTCTGAAGTTCAAACCACCACCAACACAACATCCCAGACATCCCAGAGGAGGCATTGATGATGACCTCATTTTATGAGGATAGACATCAAAACACAGAGAAGGTCCACTGTTTGTCCTGGATCATAGAGTAAGTTGAGGGGACAGTCCCAGAGACAGGACTGCAATTTACATTTAGGAGGGGGAAAAGCAGTATTCAGAGTAATAGTATTTAGGGACTTCTGAGGCTGAGGAATCCAGTGAGGCTGTTGTCTAGTTCTGGGGCAGGAATGGGGCAAGGTAAGTCTGCAGGAAACAGGAGACGAACAAATCCACATTCCATGCAGTTGCCTTAATTATTTTACTGAAATCTGCTCCGTTGTCCACTCATCTGCGGCTCTCCAGGCTGAAGCACTTTCAGGAAAACACCAGTTGAAATGTACTTCCTACCCGCAATTAGGTCATGAAATCAGGCCTCTATTTCTTTCCCCAAGACTTCTTTTGAAGTGACATAAAGTTAGAGCCAGGGGACTGTGAAAGGCAGCTGTTCCAAGCCCTTTGGGGTCTCCATGAGTCCACAGAGGTAAAGAACATGCAGGCTGTCACTCTGAGTTGCTGGTAGAGCTGACACCACAGAGCAAGGCTGCATGAAAGCCACAAGAGGAGAGCTCTCAGAGAAGCAGGACAGCCCACACTTACCTTCCAAAGAATGGATTCCCTGTTCCTTGGCAGTCTTGTAAACACTGCTGAAATCATCTCCAAGGTTTGGATCAGCCCCAGCAGCAAGCAGGACCTGTACCACACTAGAAGAAATCACAAAGACAGAAGTGTCAAAAGCAAGA
Source organism: Homo sapiens (assembly GCF_000001405.40). NCBI lineage: Eukaryota > Metazoa > Chordata > Mammalia > Primates > Hominidae > Homo > Homo sapiens. The sequence goes on from NC_000011.10 coordinate 72,380,424, forward strand.
AAGGCCCAGGAGGTACAGACCCAGATCCGGAAGCATGTTTGGGGACTGGAGCTGTCTCTGCTCATGTGAGTGATACGGTGGGAAAAAAACCATGAACTTTGGGAGTGTAAAAGACAAGGATAGGAAAGACAGGGACAGGAGATCTTAGCCGGGTGCAGTGACTAATGACTGTAATCCCAGCACTTTGGGAGAATTACTTGAGTCCGGGAGTTCAAGACCAGTCTGGGCAACATAGTGAAACTTCATTTTTAAAAAAAAAGGCAGCAGCCTCTGAAACTTATCAGCTGAGAAGCTTGGGACAAGTTACTTAACACCTTTCTAAGGCCCAGTTTCCACAATTATAAAATACAAACTGTTTATCCAACAATTACTTATCAAATGCCTACCATGTTCTAGTCCCTATTTTAGGTGCTGAGGTCTGTGACCTCAAGAAGCTAGGGCCAGTCTGCTGAGAAAAACAATAATTAAGTATAAAGCTACAGCTCAAAGTGTGATAAAGGTTACGACAGGAGAAACGTGCAGCAGACCAAGAAACAGGATCAAGAAAGCCCTTACGGCATCAGCAAGATGGCAGAACAGGACTCTCCAGCACTTGCTCCCCAGCAGAAACATCAATTTGAACAATTATCCACATGCAAAAATACCTTCACAAGAGCTAAGTAAACCAAATGAGAGATTATAGCACCTGGGCGTAGCACAGAGGTAAAGAAAAGATTACCTACAGAGGGTAGGAAGACAGTCTCCCCTTACCCATATCACCCCTCCCCGAACTCCAGGCGGTACACATGGAGAGACATACACTCATGGGGGAAGGAGAGGGAAGTGAGGGCTGGACTTTGCCTTGGACCCTGAAACCAGGCCCACTCCAGTAAAACTCAGTGCCTGGAAGGCTCCCAAACTCCCGGCTGATACCCTCAGACTAAGCCTCTAGGCCTGCCCTGGTGCCAGGCCATACCCCATAGCCCCAGGCTCCAGATCTGCTTCCTAGCCAGACTGACCTTAGCAGCCCGACTCTGGCCCTAGTGCCAGGCCAGCCCCAGCAGTCATGGACTCTGGGCCCACCTTAACATGAGCCCAGCCCCTACAGACTCAGGCTTCAGGCCCACCTTGCAGATTCAATCTCCAGGCCCATCCTAGCGCCAGGGCAGCCTTGGTGGCCCAGGGCTCTAGACTCCCCCCAGAACCGGCTGGGGCATGAATCCAGGCTTCAGGTCTGCCCTAGCACTGGGTCAGCCTGACAGCCTTAGTTATCAGGCCTACACCAGCAGACCCAGCCTCCAGGTCCACCCCAGGCTCCAGCCCAGCCCACAGCCAAGTTGGTCCACACAGCTCAGAGCTTTAGGCCTGCCCTAGCACCAGGTCAGTACCCCTGGCCTTAGGCACTGGGCCAGCACCTGTGGACACAGGCTCTAGGCCTGCTCAGTTTCACACCAGTCCCTGCGGCCCCACACTCCAGGCCTGCTCTAGCAACCCCCAGGCCCATCCCAGTAGACCCAGTACTGAGCTGGCTCCCACAAATCCAGACTCCAGGATAGCCCTCATGGACCCAGGTCCCAGGCTGGCCCTCATTGCCCTAGTACCCAGGCTAGCCCTCACAGACCTACCCTCTGGGGCAGCATCTGCACATCCAGGCTCTTGACCATCACTCACAGACCCAGGCTCCGTGCCTGCCCAGGAACAGGCCAGCCCAGGCTCCAGGCCAGTCCCCATGCCACAGACTTCAGTGAACCCAAAGTCTAGGCCTGCTCCAGCAGACTCAAGGTCCAGACCCACTCCAACAGATGCCAGTAACAGCCTGGCCCCCATGGGATGAGACTCCAGGACCATCCCTGTATACCCACGTTCCAGGCCAGCCCTTGTGGACCCAGGGCCCGGGCCCAACCCCCATAAACTCAGGCTCCAGGTCTGCCCCAGTACCAGACCAACCCCTGTGGACTTAGGCTCCAGGCCCGTCCACCTGGATGCAGGCGCCAAGTCAATCCCAATGACTAACCATTCCCTGCAGATTCAGGCTCAAGGCCCATGCCATCACAGGGTCAGTCCCTGTGCACTTAGGCTTCAGGCTGGCTCCCGCAGATATAGGCTCTCAGCCCACCCCTGTGGTCCCAATCAATAGGTCCACTCCAGTGGGCCCAGGCTCCAAGCTTAACCCTATGAACCCAGGCACCAGGCCCACTCACCTGCTGACCCAGGTACCAGGCCAGCCTGCCTAAGGACTTCAGCACCAAGATCATTCATGAACCACACAAGATGGCCTGCCCAGAATCTCTGGACAGGCTGAATGGTGAAGGGCTTTCTCAGGCAAAGCCAATCTGCAAAGACTGGATAAGTTCCTACTTTTTCACATGCTCAGACACCAAAGCATGGCCAGAAGAATCAAGAACAATCAGGGAAACTTGATCCCACCCAAAGAACAAAACAAAGGATCAGTAACCAACCCTAAAGAAATGGATATTCATGACCTGCCTCACAAATAATTAAAAATAATTGTTTTAAGAAAGTTTAGCAAACATTAAGAAAATATAGAGAAACAATTTAACAAAATAAGGAAAACAATAAATATCCCAAACAAATTTAAGAGATTGAAATTATTTTTTTAAAAAACATCAAAAGAAATCCTGGAGCTGAAAAATACAATGAATCCAATGAAACTGCAACACAGAGCATCAACAGCAGAACTGATCAAGCAGAAGACAGAATATGTGAACTCAAAAATCAGTTATTTGAAAATAGGAAGGCCAATGGTTTCCAATAAGATTCAGTCCAAATAACACTACACCAAGACATATTATAATCAAACTATCAAAAATTAAAAGACAGGCTGGGTGCGGTGGCTCGCACCTGTAATCCCAGCACTTTGGGAGGCTGAGGGGGGCGGATCATGAGGTCAGGAGATCGAGACCATCCTGGCTAACACGGTGAAACCCCGTCTCTACTAAAAAATAAAAAATAAAAAAATTAGCCAGGCGTGGTGGCGGGCGCCTGTAGTCCCAGCTACTCGGAAGGCTGAGGCAGGAGAATGGCGTGAACCCGGGAGGCAGAGCTTGCAGTGAGCCAAGATCGCACCACTGCATTCCAGCCTGGGCGACAGAGCAAGACTCTGTCTCAAAAAAAAAAAAAAAAAATTAAAGATAAAGAAGGATTCTGAAAGCAGTGAGAGAAAAAAAGCAAGTAACATATAAGGGACTTCCAATAAGGCTAACAGTGGATTTCACATTATAAACCTTATAGGCCAGGAGAGAATGGGATGATAGATTCAAAATGCTGAATGAAAAAAAAACCCTGCCAACTAAGAAGACTATATCCAGCAAAACTCTTCTTCAGAAATCAAGGAAAGATAAAGACTTTCCCAGAGAAATAAAAGCTGAGGGAGTTTATCACCACCAGACCTGTCTTATATTTCTTAGACAGGTCTGACGGTAATAAATTTATATGAAATGCTAAGGAGAGTGCTTCATGTTGAAAGAAAAGGATGCTAATTAGCAACACAAAAACAAGAAAGTATAAAACTCACTGGAAGCCTGAGAAACATGCTGAAACCCCATCTCTACCAAAAACAGACAGACAAACAAATACAAACATTAGCCAGGCGTGGTGTCACATGCCAGTAGTCTCATATACTCAGGAGGCTGAGGTAGGAAAATCACTTGAGCTTGCGGGGCAGAGATTGTAGTGAGCTGAGATCAACCATTGCACTACAGCCTGGGTGACAGAATGAGACCCTATCTCAAAACAAACAAACAAAACACCCCAAAAACCTCACTGGTAATGGTAAGCACATAGTTAAATTCAGAATACTATGATACTGTAAATGGTGGTAAGTAAATCACTTTTATCTTTAGTATTAAGGTCAAAATACAAAACTGCTAAAAATAATATTAGCTACAATCATTTGTTAAGGGATATATAATACAAAAATATGTAAATTGTGACACTAAAAATACAGAATATGTTTGTGGCGGGTATGGAATAAAAGTGTAAAGAAACCACAAAGTAAAACCTAAAGTAGATTCATAAAAGGTAAAAAGTAAGGAATATAAGTATACTACTAAAGAAAACCACCTAATCACAAAGGAAGACGGCAAGAGAGGAAGAGAGGAATAATGGATCTACAAAACAACCAGAAAACAACAAAACGTCAGAAGTTAGTCCTCACCAATCAATAATTGCCTTGAATGTAAATGGATTAAAAAGAGTAAGACCCTACTGTATGTTACCTACAAGAGACTCACTTTACCTATAAGGACACACATAGACTAAATACGAAGGAATGGAAAAAGATATGGCATGCAAATGGGAACCAAAAGAGAGCAGAAGTACTGATATTCATATGGAATAAAATAGACTTTAAGTCCAAACTGTAAAAAGAGACAAAGAAGGTCATTATATAATAATAAAGGGGTCAATTAATCAAGACACTATAACAATTGTAAATATATATGCACCTAACATCACAGCACCTAGATATATAAAGCAACTATTAATCAATGGGAAGGGAAAGATAGACTATACTACAGAAACAGTAGGGACTTCAATATCCTACTTTCAGCAATGGACAGGTCATCCAGAAAGAAAACCAATAAGGAAATGTCTGACTTAAGCTACACTTTAGACTAAATGGATATAACAGACCTATACAGAACATTCCATCCAACAGCAGTACAACACACATTCTTCTCAAGCACATGGGAACATTAAAGGTCTCCCCTTACATGCATCTCCTTAGTCCAAATTCCAAGAGTAACTACTGTTTATAGATTGGCAAGTTTCCTTCCAAACCTTTGCAATTACAAAAATCACTCCAGTGGCTGTATAAGAAGAGGGAGTATGACCAGAGGCAGGGACTCCATGTTAGCTTCCCTTCTTCCTGCTATTTATGTAATATTCCCACTAATACATTTTTTCCTTCTAATAAAAAAGGGCTCATGTTCACTATAAAAAACCAGAAAATATAGATAACCAAAAGAAGAAAACGTCTTAGAACATATAACATCTTTCCAGTTTCTTCAATGGATATATACATACTTTTATTTATAAAAATGGCATCATATATAAACTTTCTCTCTGAATGCACATACATCTTTCCATGTATTATATGTCTATTACATTGTTTTACTGGCTGGGCACAGTGGCTCATGCCTATAATCTCAGCACTTTGGGAGGCCAAGATAGCTGGATCACCTGAGGTCAGGAGTTCGAGACCAGCCTGGCCAACATGGTGAAACCCTGTCTCTACTAAAAATACAAAAATTATCTGGGCGTGGTGGTGTATGTCTGTAATCCCAGCTACTTGGGAGGCTGAGGCAGGAGAATCGCTTGAATCCGGGAGGCGGAGGATGCAGTGAGCCGAGATCGCGCCACTGCATCAAGCCTGGGCGACACAGCAAGACGCCGTCTCAAACAAACAACAATAAAAAAACCCACATTGTTTTAAATGGCTACACAGTATTCCACTATAAGACTATTCCATGCTTGATTTAACCAATCCCTACTATAAAACAATAGATTGTTTTAAATATTTTAGTAACATATTTCTGATTATTTCCTTTGGATAAATTCATATGAGATAAAATTTACATCAAAAAGTATAAGCATTTTAAGAGTTTTATAAATATTACTAAGTTGCTTTGCAAAAAGATTGTGCTAATTTTTATTTTCACTAGCAAAGTATGCTGTATGAGAGTAACTGCTGTGCCTTCCTTTACCAAAATAGAGTAGTTTTTTTCTTCTTTTCCAGAATATGTCAATCTGGAAAACAGAAAATAGAATCACACTGCTCTTTCAATTTGCATTTTTTGATTACTAGTCAGGATGAATTTTTTTAAAATATGTTTAATAGTCAGTTGTGCTTCTTCTTCACAAATCCCTTATTAAGGTCCTTTGCCCATCTTTCTCTTAGGGTGTCTATCTTTTGCTTACTAACCTTCAAAACTGCTAATGCTTCTGCAAGCAGAAGTGGTAAGCATTTTAAACAAATTACTTATCGTAACTATTAAAAAGCCAAACTATGGCTTGTTTTCTCTTCCTTGATAGTTTTTTAGTATTTGTAACCAGTAATGTTGATGGTTTCCCACGTACCATTTGGTTTGAATTTCATTACCTTCAACAGGCACAGTATCTGATTCAATTACTTGCTGAACGAATGAAGGAATTTCACTAACTTACATGCACACAAAGATACAGTCCTTACAGGTAAGCCCAAAACCAGATTCCATCTCCTACATAGCAGTGGTTCTTCTATATGTGACCTAAATCAGTTAAGTGAGTCTTCTGTGCCTACTCACCTTACCTAAAATAACTTTTAAAATTACCTTCAAAGGTAATTTATCCAGAATATGAATTAAGATTTCAAAGAGAAATGAGAAGGGTCTCTAAGCAGCTAAAATCTATGTCTAAAACTCATATGTTTAATTCATAGAAGTCTGTTGGGTTCTCATTTGGAGACTATTTACTCTCAGTTTATACACAATTTGGATTAAGATTGGCATTAGTCAGTCTTCCTATTTCCCAGAACGTTTAAAGCTAAGAGGGTACAAAAAGGCAGATACAGATAGGCAAACTAACTGAAAGCACTGCAAAACAATGTCTGATAGAGAAGTAGTATGGCACAGAAATTAAGAAAACTGGCTGTAAAATCTGGGATGATCAGAGCATCAGAATGAATAATGACAGTAATGTATTATAACCCATTAATTATATATAATTATAACCCACTGAGTAAAATAAGATTCTCCATTGAAGTCCACACTGAAAATTAATAAGTAAATGGAGAGAAGGGAAAGTTCTGTCTTACTATAGAATGAAAACTAATAATTGTAGAAGGAAGGATGAAATTAGAAAACCACCATTTTGTGGCCTCATAATAATTATTAGGATAATAAGAGTAGCTCATCTGGTTGTGTTAATACACATAAAGTAGCTTAGAACAGTGTCTTGACACATAACAACTGCTCAATGAATGTTAGTTATTATTACTATGTACCTGACCCTGTGGCTGGACTAAGGAAAGTCAGGAGACATACCAATTAAGACATCTAAATTGGGAAGACAGCATGGCATTTTATAACAAGCACAGAGAGACCTGTGTTCAAATCAAAGCTCTATCATTTACTGATTGTGTGTTCTTGGACCAGTGACTACACCTCTGGGCCTTCATTTCCTTACCAGAATAATGGAGATAATGATGGCTGCCGTGCAGGTTATAAGTACGTAAAACTCCATAGTGCCTGACACATTAAAAAAAAAAAAGCTCCACAAATCTAAGCTCTTTACCCTCTGTTTGTATAATCTCAGCAATAATCACATGAATCTGGGCTGTGATGGGCACCAGATCTATACCTGACCACCCTAGCACTCATGCTGGAATAGTCCTGCGTTAAGAAGGCAGCTCTTCTATATTCTGCACAAGTTGATGTGTGTTAAAATCCAAGTGTCGATCTAAACTCAAAGGGACGTAATTTGGTTAATCCTCAGCTGCTGTGTCCAATCACCATTCAATCACACCCCCTCCCATGGCAGGCTGTCCCTCCAGGCAGCTAGCGTCACTAACTGTGCTACCTGGGCCTCTCCAGGTTCATGAGTATTGATTTCATCTGTCCAATTTGCAGGCTGTAGGACGTGTCCAAGCAACCACGTATGTTGCCCTTGGTCCCAGAGGGCAGACAGTGGTCTAGCAGGGTGGGGAGAAGAGAGTGACTAGGATCGACCCTGGGGCTGCTAACCCAATCAAAGGGAATAAGCAATTCACTTCACAAACTTGGAGGCCAAAGAGGGTAAGCATCCAAGACAGTGACTCATCCTGAAACCTCAGAGAAGATTCCCTTCCCCTTTTTTTTTTTTTTTTTTGAGACAGAATCTCGCTTTGTCGCCCAGGCTGGAGTGCACTGGCGCAATCTCGGCTCACTGCCAGCTCCGCCTCCCGGGTTCACACCATTCTCCTGCCTCAGCCTCCTGAGTAGCTGGGACTACAGGCACCTGCCACCATGCCCGGCTAATTTTTTTGCATTTTTAGTACAGCCGGGGTTTCACCGTGTTAGCCAGGATGGTCTCGATCTCCTGACCTCGTGATCCGCCCGCTTCAGCCTCCCAAAGTGCTAGGATTACAGGTGTGAACCACCATACCCGGCCCTCCCTTCACTTTTAATAATACTCAAAAGGCAGCAGCACCACTGTGGGGTATAGACAGGGCTAAAGAAACCATGGCTGCTCAGTAACCAACAGTGGCGTCAAACACCTTGACATATGGCCAGTAGGTTTTTTGTTCAACAGCCTTCATGTACTTATAAAGTATCTAACCAAGAGCTCCAAACGGGTCAGGCCCTTCTTGGAGAAGCCAGCCCAGATCGGGCTAGAGGGCTACAAGAGTATGATTCACCACTAGCTTTGATCACCAAAAGAACCTCACTGAAACTATAGCATATAGCATATAGCAGGGCAGAAACACGGTAGAAGGCTAGCCAGGTTAGAGAAATCTAAGGCAAGGATGGTGAAAACGGGCTCAGCAGTAGGCCAACACCAGGGAGTGCCAAGAAGTTCACAATCAAAATAAAATTAAGGGCCACACACCAGGCAGCAAAGGTGTACATGAGGTCAGAGGTCAAGAACTAGAGGGTGAGGTAGAACAGATTATAAACCAAGTGAGTAGCCAGAAACCAAGGATTACACTGGTACCAGAAGTCAAGGCAAGGCAAAAGCAGCAGCATCCAGGAGCAGCAGTAAGGAGACAATGGAAATGGAATTATTTCTGCCTCTTTTATTTTCTGCTGAAGCAGAAAGAAATCCCCAACTCAAAACAGTATTTGGGAGAAGGTGACTTACATGGGGAGATGATGGTGAGTCAGCCCACCTGGCTGATATACAGAACACAGAGTGAGCAATAAGAACCAAATCTGATGGCACAGAGGAAGGTAGGCACTGCTACTGGAGCTGATCCATTAAAGGACAATAGGACAGTAGCAACTTCTCCTTTGTTCTGATGCTGGCATACTGGCTGCCATGTTGTAGGTGTGGGTTTCACTATTACTGTCTTAAATTTGAGTAGCTGGTACCACATGGGCTGTGGTATAAGGCTAGGTCTTCACGGTCTTAACAGTTGGATTAAAGGAGGCAGAGTAAAACAGGCCACTCAATTATGTTTTTCTATATCAGGACACATCTCCACTCAAAGGAATTACTCCACAGGCACTCACTGGGCAAAGGCTTAAGAATATCAGCGATTCTCTGGCTGGCATGGTGGCTCATACCTATAATTCCAGCACTCTGGGAGACTGAGGAAGGAGGATCATTTGAGCCCAGGAGTTCAAGACCAGCCTGGGCAACATAGTGAGATCCTGTCACTTAAAAAAAATTAAAAATTAGCCAGGTGTGGTGGCACATGCCTGTAGTTCCAGCTACTCGGGAGGATCGCTTGAGCTCAGGAGGTCGAGGCTGCAGTGAGCTGTGGTTGTGCCACTGCACTCTAGCCTGGGCAGGAAAAAAAGAAAGATTATCAGCCATTCTCTCAACCAGCTCAAGATTTGGCCTCTCATGGTAGTACAACCCTCAAAGGCTAGGGATAATCTCCAGATACCCTATTACCCTTACTAATTTGGGGAAGCAGAGAATGTCTATGGCACAAGTATGTTATATTGCCTTTCACTTCCCAATACTGACTTTCAGGTAGTTAATAGTCTGTAGGAGCACTTTGCCCCAGATCAGGCTTTGATAGAAATGCTAGGATCAGAAGGCCCAACATGCCAGGCGCAGTGGCTCATGCCTATAATCCCAGCACTCCGGGAGGCTGAGGCGAGCAGATCACTTGAGGCCAGGAGTTGGAGACCACCCTGGCCAACATGGTAAAACCCCATCTCTACTAAAAATACAAAAATTAGCCAGGTGTGATGGCAGGTACCTGTAATCCCAACTAATCGGGAGGCTGAGGCAGAAGAATCACTTCAACCCAGGAGGCAGAGGTTGCAGTGAGCCAAGATCACACCACTGCACTCCAGCCTGGGCAACAGAGTGAGACTGTCTCAAAAAAAAAACGAAATAGAAAAAAAAAAAAAGAAAAGAAAAAAGAAAAAGAAGGCCCAACAAAAATGAGGCAAAGATATCAACAGCCAATTCCTAGAGGAGGAAACCAAAAAAGGATTATTACTAGGTATATAAAGAAAATCTTCAAGTTCATTTGTTATTACAGAAATGCAAATTAAAATGAGATATCACTGTAAATTCAACATATTCACAAATGTTAGAAAGCTGAAAAATGGCAAGTGTTGGTGAAGATGTGAGGATCTGGGACACTTCATGCACTGTTAGGGTATAGACTGGTGCAGCCATTCTGGAAGCCAATCTTGCAGGACTTCATTAAAGCACCTTACCCTATGACCAAGCACTTCTGCTCCTGAGTATACAATTCTTAGAAAAATTCTTATGCAGGTCCATAAAGGGCAACACAAGAAATGGTTCATCACAGCATTCTGTGGCAGTGGGGAGTTGCGGGCCATCAAGTGTCCACCACTGGGGGGACAGATAAGGTAAATGTGGTAGTCACACACTATGAAACACGATGCAGTAGTTAGAAGCAACAGGCTGGATATACATGCAACAACATAGATGGATGATTTTTTTCAAAAAGTGTTGAAGTCCTATCTCTTTTATTTACATATTAATTGAACTTGACCATTTGTTCCAAAAGTTAATCCCTTTCAGGGAGTCTCTCAATTATAAAACTTCTAATTCCTATATGATCTAGTAGTCTTGGGGGCTGAAATATTAAAGACCCACTGAAAACAATGAACTCCCTGCAGTACACCAAGGGCCATCAAAGATGCCACCTGCTGTCCCCTCCTTCAACTGGTTGGTGTTCATTCACCTTCAGGGCTCCTTGGTGACACCATCACCAACTCAACTGTGCCTTCTCTGATTCCCAGTATGAGTCCATGCTCTTTCTCTTTGTCTGCACAGCACCCAGTACTCACTCCCATGGTAGGTGACCCTCATATTGTATCATGATGGCCTGCTTACTTTTATTTGCCTTTCCCACTAGACTATGGGGCAAGGGCCATGTCTCAACCTTATTTCCCAGCTCCCTGCCCAGTGCCTGGATCACAGATGTTTTCTGAATGAGTGCATGAATAAATAAATGAAAGATGAATAAATGAAATCATTAATTTATTTGATGGAAAATGGGAGAGAAAGGTGGACAGCAGCTGTCTCTGCCCTGCTCAGCCTTCTCCCACCTGAAGGTCCCAACTAGGCTGCGGGTGGTTTAGCTGTGGAAAACGTATATGTTCCTCTCCTGAACAGTAGCTCCTTCCTGGGCTACAGAAAGTTCCCAGACAAAGCTCAGGAAATGAACAGGAGGGTGGTCACTAAGTGGCAGCTCCTGAGATTCATGGAACTCCCTTTGGAGCCACAGCCAAATTAATTTGCTGATCAGGCTGTAATTAGATTAAAAGTGGAAGCACATGTAGGAAGGTTGGCTCACACTGACCTTGATGAGCTCTTGCTTTCAGGGTGGTGGGGAGTCACAATAAATGGGAGGGCAGTTACTTCAATCAGTGTTTAGGCTTTCTGCTTTCAGTGGCCAGAGGGGGTTGGGGTGCTCACATTGTTTAGGGAAGAGCGAGAAAACCTATGGTGTGAGCTCAGGCTTGTGTTGGGCCAGGCGCGTGTCAAAGACGGCTGGCGAGCAGCTGGAGTTGGTGAAGCAAGAAGGGCAGTGATCCCAGCTCCAGGTCATCCCTACACAATGTTGAGCTTCAGAAGAAGCTCCTCTAACTCCTCCTCCTCCCCACCCCCCACATCTGAAGCATAGGATCACTGTGATGAGTGTCACGGGTCCCAAGGAGAAGACAAAGAGTGACCTCTTCTCAACCCAGTGCACACCTCGATGAGGGGAGGAAGTGAAAAGGTCACAGTTCAGGAGGTCTGCTGGAAAGTCAAATGAGTTGTGGCTCATTCAGTAACCTGGTCTCTGGCTGGTCAGGAAAGCCGGGTGGCCCAACCAAAGGCACTAGCATTTGTTAAATCTACAAGTCCTGTGGCATGGGGACATGAGCTGAGAGTAGAGAGGGCACAGAGAACAGTTTTCTTTTTAAAGCCAGATTCCTAAGGAAATGAATTAAAGATTGGGTAGGAAATAAGGTACCTGTATAGAAAATGTGCCCCAGTTTCCTCAAATGAGGATAATGTTTATTTATTTACTTCAAAAAGTAAAGATCAATAATCATAATAAAGCAGCCGCAGTGTGTTAGACACTTTATATTCACTATTTCAGATCCTTATAACAACTTGCAATGAGGTACCAGTCCTATTTTATAAATAAGTAAACTAAGGCTCGGCAAGATAATATGAGTTACCCAAATGTACACATTAAATAAGCACAAGAACCAAGATTCAAAACCAGGTCTGTCTGAGTCTAAATTTGGTGTACATTCCCCTAAACCACGTTGGCTCTCACCCAACTGACCATCCATTAGTCTGTCTTCTTATCCCATAGTTACTAAGCTCTTACTGCATAGTACCAGGAACAGTGATATTTTCAGATGGCAGTTAAAGCAAAGCAGGTCATAGCAGCTAGCTGGGATAAGAAGGAGTCTGTTTGAGATAGACAAGGGTAAAAATCAGTGGTGAACCCAGACAGAGGTGATATAATTAGGGGCAAGGCTCGAGGAAGGCATGGCACGTTAAGCTGATGGCCAAGGAATCAAGATCACCCACAACAGGGTTTCCAAGATAATCCCAATTTCACATCCTCAGCGTAGTTCTAAATACACTTCCATGTCTTTCAATTTGTGGTTCATAATATATGGTCACCAAACCTAAGGCCAGTGTAGTCAGGCCCTAGATGTTAGGACTTATTACAGTATGGACCCAGACTAGGCTCTCTCTAGGCAAATGATCCAGAACAGTATGATGGGGCTGGCATATCTCTTAGACTCGGGTGAAAATAACAACAAAAAGAAAAAACAATATTAATAACAGCAGCAGATACCTACTTATTCACTACACTAAGTAGTTTTATGTGCATTTTAATCTTTGCAACCACCTTATGCTGAGGTAGGTGCCATTATTATTCCCATTTTGCAGATGGGTAAACTAAAAACCATAAGAGGCACAGCAAGGTCTTCAACACAGGCAGCTTCACTCCAGAGCCCCTATTCTTCACTACCATAGTATACATAAGTAGACTGGATGCTCCCCAAAGCAGGGACTGTGCCTTGACTATTTCCATCTCCACACACATAGGGCCTATACAGGGCAGTAAATATTTGCTGAATCAATTCACTTCTGGGGCCTGATGTTGCACAGCAGACAACATATTGGGTTTTTAGTCAGCTTCTAGACTTTACTTTTAGTATTGCTAAGTTTTGCACGTTGGGTTTTACAGTTGGTTTTTAATTGTTGACCCATATACTTATCCTTGTTAGTTTTTATCAACACAGATTTAACCATTGCTCTAGCCCACTGAGGTTTTATTTAATGTCCCCTATTTTTTCACCCAATATATTAGTACCTCCTCAAGCTTCATTAACTCTGTTGGCATTTATCAATGACCTCAATGAAATCAGTGATATAAAATACTGAACAGGACAGAGCCCCATTGCTCACCACTCAAGCCTGCTCTCTAGTCTGATGTCCATTCATACATAAACAATGAACCAGGTCATTTACATTTACTAGTCTGACTATACTATTTTTACATCATAATTTTACTCATATAGATGTCATTAGAGACATCCAAATATCTTACTAAAAGCCTGAAACACCCATGATATCTACTGCCGACCCCTGGCCCACCAGCCTGGCAGCTCTGTTAAAATAAGCAGCTTATGGTACAGCTGTTTTTAAAGAAGTCTCTTAAAGAAGAGGTATAGAACTAGACCATCTCACAGTTCCTAGAGATGGAACACCCTGCCCCAAGCAGCTGAACTGAATGAACACTGGATGCTTTCCTATCCCCAACTGCCACTCTCCATAATGAACACTGGATGCTCTCCTATCCCCAACTGCCACTCTCCATAATGAACACTGGATGCTCTCCTATCCCCAACTGCCACTCTCCATGAAGACAGCACTGAACACAGAACCCCAGGACAGAACAGAGCATTGGGCCCAGGAAGTATACCCTGAGACTGTCACGTTAGGCAAATGAGCTGGCACTGATTTCCAGGGAGCAGCGTCTTGAGTTGCCTGAGGTTGAGGCATGTGTCTGCCAAACTACGAGTGCATGCTGGAATTGGAATATCATTACCACAAAACAGGATTATCTTGAGCAACGATTCCAAATGGGATTAGAAATGACTCTTTCTTACTCAGAGATAATCGGCCATAGCAGTAGGGGTGGGAGAAACGTCAAGCCCAACACTTTCCTGGGGGCACGGTGCTGCGGTGCTGGCATTCTGGGCACTTGGCCAGCACCCTCACCCATCCTTCCTTGCTGGGGAATACTGGGTACTGTCCTGCACTGGGCAGGTGGCCACCTGTAACAAAAGCCAGCCTATATCAAGGTACCCTGCTCAGGGGTCCCATGTTCTTGGGTTCCCTGCCGGTTGCTTCTACGAGCACATCTCTGCTTTCCACCTTTGTGAGCCTATGCTCACAATGGTCCTTCTGCAAATGCTCTCCCCCTACTCCCTATGTTACCAATCAAATCCTGCCCAACTCCTCTGAAAGGGCCTCTTTTCATGATGCTGGCTCTACACAGCATCATCTCCTCCACAGCACTCTATGTGTTCTTCTCTGTGGCACTGAACACATTCTGCCTCATTCTCCAAAGCGGGACTTTTATCCCTTTTCTGAGTGTCAGCTTTCTGAGAACAAGGAGAGTGGCTTGTCTGTTTTTACAGTTCTCAAAATCCATATAATACATCATGGGTCATCAAGAAACCCTGATAGAGCCGACTTGACTCCTGGTTCCAGCATCCTTCGGTCCATCCCATGGCCTTGCTCCCGGCCCCTTCCCTCCATAGGCAGTGTAGTCCAGTGGAAAGAGCAAGGGTTTGGGGTTCAGAAAGACCCAGCTTCAAATCCTGGCTCCTTCTTTTACTAGCTGGACAACCTTGGACAACTCTGAGCTTCATTTTCCCTATCTGTAAAATAGGAATAATAATCCCTTCCTTTCAAGATTGCCCTGAGGATTAGACCCAACATGGGAAGTGCTTGACATGGGCCTGGCACACAGAAAGCACCCAATCAACTACTGCCATCATCATTACTACAGTCAGGAGATCACACAGCACAAAGCCCAGCCTCCTTGGGCAGAAGGTAGCCCTACTCTACAGCACGAAGCCAGACCAAGAATAGGTTAGAAGACGGAAAAGGCTCTGTGCCCCTAAGGCAGGACCGACTTCCATGTGGTTGGTCAGGTTCCCTAAGGACCTACTTTCAAGCACAGGTACACTGGTACTCTACCTGCTCCACGTATAGCTAGCCAGGAAGGAAGCAGAGCCTCCCAGGGAGGCTGCCAGTAGTCTAGCTGCAAGATTAGCATCTGCTCTTCGCTCTAAGAACACCCATGGAGCTGTTGGGGTCCACAAAGGAAGGCCTTTAAAACCTCTTCTGTAGGACAGCAATCTGGCTTAGGCTATCGGTTTTTTAAAGAAAGGGTTTAATGCACCCTCTCCCCTTAGTAAGGCAGAGGGAAAATAAGCAAATGCTAAAAATAAATGACTGCTGTGAGAGGGAATTGAATGGTCTTCAGCCAAGGATGGCAGCACTTTAAAATTAACAAAGCCCGGGTACCACATCCAGGAAGGCCTTGGCAAATGCGTGTTATCCACTCATTAGCTCAGTTCCTCGGGGACCCTGGCCAAGCAGGGAAGGCAGTGCCGGGAACCAGTCCTTCCGACACTGATGAAATGCACTCGGGGAGAAAAGGCAGAAGGAGGGAGGGAGACTCTTGTGGGGAATTTCAAACAGTTCTGATGTGCTTCATGCTCTGCCTTGCAGTTCTCACCTTCTCCGAGGCAAAGGCTTGCAAAAGCCACCACCAAGCCCAAGCAGGATGAAATCAAAATCTCCCCACACCAGCCTCCCTTTTCAGGATCTTTGGTTCCTGAAGCACCACAACGGCCTCACTATATAGGTGGTGTCCCTGCATGAGAGTCCAGAGATAAGGAACCCAAGAATAGTGTGGGAGAGGCAAGCTCCCAGTCTGTAACCTCAACTTTCTCCTTGCTGGAATGAAGAATCATATACTTTATGAATTTATACAAGTCCACTGTACACTACTCATAAAGTGAATTTATCACTATTCATCAGTAATTATACTTCATTACATCACTGATAGTATGAATTGACAAATCTTCATTCCCTACTAAAAATCAGAATGCATATCACTCTAATGTGAGATATCATCAACAATAAGAATTCAAAACATTCCAGGTGACCATTAACAATATGAATTAATTTTGATACTACTAATACAAATTCTCAGTATGCCACTGGTCACAATTAATAATGAAAATTAGAGAGGGATGACAGCTTTTTAAAAAGTGTTTAAAGTCAGTTTACTGAAGTATCACATTTACACAGAGTAAAATTCATCCTTTTTAAGATATATAATTTAATGAATTTTGATAATTATATACATTCATGTAACCAGCATGATAATCAGGATACAGAATATTTCTCCATCATCCCAAAAAGTTCCTTTATATTCTCTTCCCATTCCCAAACACTGGCAACCACCAATCTGATTTCTGCCCCTAAAGTTCTGTCTTCTCCAGAATGTCATATACATGGAATTACAGAGCAGGTAGCTTTTTGTGTTGGTTTTAGCTTAGCATGGTGCTTTTGTTGTTGTCATTGTTTGTTTGGCTGTTTTTACCGTATGGATATACCACAATTTGTTGGTCCATTCACCAGTTGATGGACATTGCATTATATCCAGTTTTTGGTGGTCATGAATAAAGCTGCTATAAATATTTACATACAGGTATTTTTGCAGACGTACATTTTTATTTCTCTTAGACAAATACCTAGGAGTTGCTATTGCTCTGTGGTATGGTAAATGTATACTTTACCTTTATAAGAAACTGCCAAAGTGTTTTCCAATGTGGCTATACCATTATGCATTCCTATCAGTGATGTATCAATATTGTTCTGTATCCTTGTCAGCCCTTAGTATTGTCAGTTTTCCTAAATTTTAGCTACTGTAGCAGGTATGTAGTGGTATCTCATTGTGACTTGAATTTGCACTGAGTATGTTTTCATGTGCTTATTTGCCACCCATCTCTTTTTCGATGAAGCATCTGCTAAAATATTTTGCCCATTTAAAAAAATTAGATTTTTTTTATTATTGATTTGTAAGACTTCTTTATATGTTCTGGGTACTACTGCTTTATAAGATACATGTTTTTACAGCTCCTTTTTTATGAATTAGAAATTATAAGAATCTAAGTCTTACAATTTTTCTTCTAAACCACTATCCTCTGCACATATACTCTAATTAAGGGACTAGGAACAACTTAAACTTCTAATTTACAAACATCTTAGTGCTGCTGGAACAGAGGGCCAAGAAGTACTTAAACCGTGCTAAAACTCATGAGACTATTTTTATCTCCATTGCAAGCACCTAACAATACCAGAGCTTTAAGGAAAGCTACATCTGGAGAAATGACTGTCCTATGAACAGCTTTTGGCCCCCCAGGCTCTGCACCTCCCAAAGCCCTGTTCTGGTCCACCAGACTTCTGGAATGGTCAACAGTCGTCACACTCCATTGCTGGCCATTGTTCACTGGGAAAGGTAGGAGGCTCCCAATCCATCCCTCAGTGGAAGAGCAAATAGTGGGGCCTGTGGCTGCTTGGACATCAAAGTTGAGCAAACAGGCCTGGCAGGCCCTGCCTCTCCGCCTACACATCCTGCAAATGCCATCTGAAGGAGCTTCCCCAAGGGGGTCATGACTTTCAGCCTGTCATAGAACACATCAAAGTTTGCACCACACACGAACTGGGTGCATGGGTTCGAATCAAGTCGCCCGAGAGCGGATACTCAGCCATTGTGTCCAGTTTTAATCCTGTGTTTTCCCAAGTAATTAAGCCTTCTTGCTTATGAACTTGTGACTAAGTAAAGCATCACCGAGAGGTTGTAACATCAAAGTGCCTTCCACCGTCTGTCCGTGTTTGGTAAAATTGGATTTCTTTTCCTTCTTAAAGAAAAACTAATTGAATTTAGCTGAAGGCTGTGTATATTTGCACAAGCCGGTGAAGGCTACGCTAAGTCACAGTGATCATTCTGGGACCCTGTGGCTTAGCCTTTAGCTGGACTGGGTCAGAGTGCAATATAGAATGAGACACCCAGACTCAGGCTAAACAAGTGCCTTGTGGCATGAGGCTTATAGAGGGCTAACTGTGGAGAAGGGGCCAGACCCCAATGACTGTTCCTTGAGTCAATACTATACCCAAGCTGTTACTAGGGCTGGCAAAAGGATTGTCCTAGTAGAATGTTGGTAAAGCTTTGGCAGCACGGCTACTGAAGACAATGGCCATCACATTACTCAAGTCCTGGATGTCGGCAGTCCAAGTAAGCTTCTTAAGGCAAAAGCTGTGACTGCTTATTCTCTGAATCCCTGATAGCCTAGCACATTAGCACCTGACACCACAGAGTTTTTAAATATGTTTGCTGAATATACATAATGATAATATATATTTTATATATATAAAACCATAAATATATATAATACATAAAGATATAACTCTCTGTATCCCTTTTTTGCCCTATCAGGAAACTTCAATCTAAATTAATACTCAATTTCCCTAATTACTTAATTTACAGTAAATACAGCATGGTCCCATTCATGTTAAATTTGTACATAAACATATATATAACAATCAATTTCCAGATAAAGGGAATTCAGGTGACTACTATTTTATGTATGATTTTTACAAAAACAATAAATCTATTTTCAGAAAAGAGAATCTCTGGTTCAATCTTTATACAATTATCTTTCCTTTAACCAATATGATTTCTGATCTTGATCCAGTTTTCCCTCTCCTGTGTATATTTATATTTGTATTTTAAGTCACTTCAAACTCTTTTTGGAAATAAAAGGAGAAAATAAATTATAAATTAAATTATTGTGCATATTTTTAAAGTGTAGTTCTATAGCACTGTTATTTCCTATTCAAAACCAAATAAAATGTACATACAGACCTAGAAATTCATAAGACATTAAGCTCCTTAAGGACAGAGACTATTGTATTCTATATCCCTAAAGACTTAACATATTATTAAGCAGCATCAGGGTGAAATGATTGGGCTACTCCGAGGATCTCTCTCTTGAGCTTGTGGCTGCCTACATCCTAAAGGAGGTGAAGGAGGTGAAGGTTCTCTGCTTTCAGCCTTGAATCAAGGGTGCTCCCCCTCTATCTTCCCTTCATCGAAATCTAATTCAAAGGTGGTAGCATTTCAGGCCTGACCAATATGATTCTGGAAGGATTTGGAGATTGATTATATGAAAATCAGTATATTTCTAATAAGGAAAAACTTATTGGCAGATTGTGCTGGTATGGATATGCTAATCCTCCAAGACTACTCACAGGGCACCTTAACAATGAGGCCTACTCACCCTGACCAATGTACTCCTGGTACTCCCTTTTTAACAAGTTCTACTTTTCCTTTTTCCCACGGCACTTATCTTCTAATATATTAAATAGTTTACGCATCCATTATACTCATTGTTTATTGTCTATCCACATCTTTCTCTACCAAAGGACCACAACTAATACAGAAATAAGCTCTATGTGGGCAGGGATCTTTGTTTTTCATCAACATTATTTCAAGTACATAGAACAGTACCTGGCAAACAGTAGGGGCCAAAAAAAAATTCTGCGATATGAATACATAAATCCAACCCAAGAGTGTGCTATTTTCAGTAAAAATCTGTCCTCCCTGGATAGTGGAAGAGAAGGTCACAAAATGGATAATTAGTCCTAGGAACCAAAGCAAGTAAATATAAGCCAACACTCTCACTTTGCTCAACAAGCATCACTGATTTGCTAACAGCTCTGGATAAAGACAGAGCAATCAGTTAAGCCAACAACTCATTAGATTCAAAGAGATGTGTCCCCAAAAGCATATCTACTAGCCATCTGATCACTAATTGACAGTATTTTTAAGCATCGTGTTGTTTCCTATTCAGTCTCAACCTTGAAAATACTACACACAGAAGGGAACACACCTCTCCACCTCTCCTTCTTTAGCACCACTGGCTATTTCTTGCAGAGGGAAACAGCTACAAGCTGGGGGAAAAGACTGGTGCATGTGGTGAAGTACCAGCGGTGTAGAATAACACATGTGTTTGTGTACAGAGATCTAATGGGGGCATCAGGGACTAACAACCCACCTTTATAACCTGTAGCACATACATTACCTTATTTGATTCTCCAAAGAATATGGTGAGGATCTACTATGCTGCCACATTGAGTCCCCTCACACCCTTTGCTTCGAGGGTATCCCATACATACTGCTCTGAAATCACTGATCATACTATACTATGTCTCCTTACCTGCATTTGTTTTCCCCATTAGACTGCAAACTCCCCAAGGTCTCGGATTCTGCAAACACTAGCACAGGGCCTGGCTCAAGGCAGATATTTACCTAATGTTCATAGAAATAATTAATTTCTGATGAAGAAACAGGCTGTCCATGGAGTTCTGAAATTCAGTTAAGGCTTGGAACCAGGACTGGACTCTAGGTCTCTCAACTACGAAGCCTATTTATATCAATTTTGCTTTTAAAGAATAGGTGCGCCAGACATGGTGGCTCACGCCTGTAATCCCAGCACTTTGGGAGGCCAAGGCGGGTGGATCACAAGGTCAGGAGATCGATACCATTCTGGCCAACATGGTGAAACCCCATCTCTACTAAAAATACAAAAAAAATTAGCTGGGTGTGGTGGTGTGCGCCTGTAGTCCCAGCTACTCGGGAGGCTGAGGCAGTGGAATTGCTTGAACCTGGGAGGTGGAGGGTTGCAGTGATCCAAGATCGCGCCACTGCACTCCAGCCTGGCAACAGAGTGAGACTCCGTCTCAAAAAAATAAATAAATAAATAGTAAAAGAAAAAAGAAAAAAGAATAGGTGCTTGGAGCTAAAGAGAGCAAATCAGGAAACCGAGTGACTAAGAACAAGTCCACAACAAAGGAGCAGAGAAGAGAGACCTATCTCATGTACAGCTAAGTCTCTCAGTCAGTCTGAGGCAGTACCACCTCTAGATTATAAAATCCCAGTTACATTTGTTCTTTCACATTTATAATCCTTTCACAGGTGGCCAGTACACCTTAAACACCTACTTGCAGAAAGAACTGAAATTGGTACCTCCAACTATCAATTTCAATGGCTGTTACTAAAGTGCCCACTCTGCTTTCTTTGAAAGTATCCCTTTTTGCTCTTAATTCTTTCGCACAATCATAGCTAGAGCAAATGTGTACTTCATCCCAGCACTTCCAGAATTATACAGACTCCAAGGCAGAAATCAGAACAGACTGAAATGGAAAGGCAGCATCAGCACTAGGCTGGTATCTGGCATCGGGAGGTAGCAGTGAGATAAAGTAAAAAACACAGATCATGGCTGGGCACAGTGGCTCACGCCTGTCATCCCAACACTTTGGTAGGCTGAGGGTGCAGGAGCACTTGGAGGCCAGGAGTTCAAGACCAACCTGGATAGCACAGTGAGACCCCTATCTTTAAAAAAAAAAAAAAAATTAGCCCAGTGTGATGGTGCATACCTGTAGTCCTAGCTACTCAGGAGGGTGAGGTGGGTGGATCGCTTGAACCCAGGAGGCTGGGGCTGCAGCGAGCCATAGATCGTACCACTGCACTCCAGCCTGGGTGACCAAGCAAGACTGTATCTCAAAAAAACCCCAAAACCCAAAAACACAGACCTTTCAGGCAGCCAGACCAGGTTCTAAATCCTGTCCATGTGACATAAATAAATCACTTTATCTCTTTGGGTTTCAGTTTTCTGAGCTACAAAATGAGCATAATATATATTTTGTGGAGTGATTGTGAGAATTAGATAACTCACTACACAAAGTAAACTATTTCAATCTTTATACAATAGCTACAACCCTGATAGGATGGGGGAGGGGGCAGGAAAATAGCACAGCCTCCAATGGGAGGGAAAGAAGCCCCCATCTTTCTTAGTTTCCATCAGAACTTCCAAAGAAAAAGCCCCTGGAGGAGCACTCACTGGGGACAGTAACTGCAGACTTCTCAAGGTCAACAGATGGTAGGTAACAGAACATTACAATAATTTGCACCTATAAACACAACCAATTACAACAGGCTTCCAAACATTTGGTTGCTACAACAATGCAAATGACGTGCCTAAGGTCACAAAGCCAATGACTGAGGGAGCTGGGATTCAAGGCTACATCTTTCTGGTCCACAGCTACTATACAGTCCAATGCACCAGGTGAAGTCCAGTACCTCAGTCTGAATCTATCTTCCTGCCTCTGGAAAAGACAGCAGGGAGGCACACCAGGTGGGAGAGTGCTCAGGAGCACAGTCTGCAGAGATCTGCCTAAAGGAGCCCTGTGTGGAAGGTGGTCTCTCACCTGTTGTTTCGGTTGATGGCTGCCACCATGAGTGCTGTCCAGCCAAGTCTGTGCTTTGCATTGACATCTGCACCTTCTGACAACAGCCTAAAACAAGACAGAGGAATATTTTCAGTGTATGGCTTGACATCTGCACCTTCTGACAACAGCCTAAAACAAGACAGAGGAATATTTTCAGTGTATGGCTTATCATGGATGTAAAAGTAGAAACAACCATAGAAGAAATGACATAGTCAACAAACAGAGCCTGAATGAGTCAGGAAATAGAGGCCTTTGAGGACTACATTCCCAATTTCAGCTCCTCTGGCCATTCTGTCCCATCAAGACTTTCCCTACCTCTCTCCTTCCCTTAAATCAGTCTGTCCCCCTTATTATCTTCCAAACCCTTTGAGAAAAGAATGGTCCCTCCCTAACTTAATACTCTGACACTGTCACTCCCTTGGTCCAGAATGCTCTCTCCCGGCTCCTTTGCCTATTTGAATTCTCCTCTCATGCTATTTAATACAATCCTTGTGGCTCGTGGACTCCTGAGAAGGAAGCCTTCCTTAACTCATCCAGTCCACAGCAATTCCTTCCTTAATTTCCCAATGCTAGGAACAGAATGCCTAATGACATGTCTTATCTAGGTAGTTCTCAGTTCACAAAATGATCATATTCCTCAAGTTTATCTGTACTGTGGTTGTTTGGAAATTGAAAATCCTTCAACTCAAGGAAAGATGGAAACAATAGATTAGGTTCCTAGGAGAGTCCACACAGACCCTACCAGAATCTATATGCCAGTGCCTAACACATTGTAGAAGCTCAATAATTATTAAATAAATTAACAAACACAGAATTTAAAGTATCCCACTAAAAGTCTGAATTTTTGCTCCCAGGACAAAAGGACCAACAATGTAGGGGTGGGTAAATAGAATGAACTCTTACTGAGCACCTTCTACAAGCAGGAACTACCCCAAGTACTTTACATTCATGATTCCATGTACTCTCAACACCACCTAAGGACCTAAGAGTAATCGCCTCTTTTCAGGGATAAGGTAACAGGCTCACTGAGGTGAAATGACTTCCTTAAGGTCACGCAGCTAGTTAAGGGGCAGTGCAGTGACTGGTTGGCAGTGACTCTACAGCCAGGCTCCTTCTCACCTCACCACCCTTCCTCCAGACAGAACCTGGCTCTAGATAACATGAAAGACAAACACTACACTGATGTCAGTGAATCAGTATGACATGCACTTGGTCCCCTGCTAGATTCTGGATGAGGGTGAGGAGAAGACATGGCTCAAGACAGCATATCAAAGAACACAGTGCCAAGAAAGGGAGGAGGGGTTTGGGAAGCTAGGAGGCTGTTTTTCAGTGGGTTCTAGCCAAAGGGCAGAGAGTCAAAGGCTTGGGTTTGAATCCTAGCACCATTCTTGTGCCACGATCTATAGTAAATGTCCCTACAGACCAAGTCAAATAAAATCTGTGTTGCTGATGTTAGCAGGTAACTAAGGCTTGAGAGGATGATGAGAAACATCATGTACTAAGGCTTCTCTCAAATACTTTCGAAGGCACTGTCAAAGCCCAAGGGGGAGACAGAACAGAACTGCACATCTCATGAGTGATATGAATGGGACTATGGGTTGCAGGTGCACTACAAGGAAACTTAACCCAGTCTCAGTGGCCAAAAAGGCCTCTCTGAGGAGGTGCTGATAAAGGGGAACTGGCCAAACAAAAGCAGGTGAGGGAGGGGAAGGAGTGTTCCAGGTAGACGCAGTCCTCTTCACCTGGAGCAGACCCAGGGTATATGAGACCCCCTAAGATGTTTGGTATGACTGGGGTACAACATGTGAGGGAAGAGTATTAAGAGAGGTTAGGAAACATTCCTTTCTTACCTCTAGTTTGGAGGATTTACTCTGGTGAAGGTCCCTTACTATACATAATGTTACACTTCTTTTATGCAGAAACAATTTTCTATGGCCAAGAATGTTAAAGACGCTAAGAACCCTGTCTAATTTACAAAAACCTCTTCTCCTTGTTTAGCAGGCCACGTGATATGGTAGAGAGCGCATGGTTCTGATCCTAACTATGATCCTGATGGGATGGCCTCGCTTCTCTGACCCTCAGTCCAAGAGGCTAGAAAATCAGGATAGGCTGAAGAAAATCAGAGGCTTCTGACGGCACAAACTTGAATTGTGTCTTGAAGAAGGGGAAGAGTTTAGAGAAGTGGAAGGAAGTGCACGTCAATCAAGGCAAGAAACAGGGTATGACTGCGAAGCAGGAAAGGAACATTCAGAGATCATTAGGCAGCTCCATCTGGGTGACAGTTCACAGCAGAGAAACAGACAGCTGCTGAGGCATGCACAGCCAACACAAGACCTCGAATGTCAGACTAGGAGGCTAAGGCAGTGGGCATAAACCTTTCTGAGATATGGGCTCTTTTGTGACTACGATCAAATTTCTTCCAGAAAAGTGCATAGGAGCATACACTCTCAAAAACATTTTTTTTACATATAATGATCAGGTGTTCGCAGCCCCCATGAAATCAGTAATGGACCCTAGGATAAAAGCTCAGTCTAAAGGTTTGACAGATTCCTGGCATGCATGCTACTGTCCTGTGCTCCCACGTCTAAGAGGGATATCACACATCTCTCCCAGCAGTTCTTGCTGTGGAGCCTTTGAAAGAGCCTCAGAATCCTCTTCAAGGCCGGGCACGGTGGCTCACATCTGTAATCCCAGCACTTTAGGAGGCCAAGGCAGGTGGATCACGAGGTCAGGAGATCGAGACCATCCTGGCTAACACGGTGAAACCGCATCTCTACTAAAAATACAAAAAATTAGCCGGGCGTGGTGGCAGGCACGTGTAGTCCCAGCTACTCAAGAGACTGAGGCAGGAGAATGGTGTGAACCTGGGAGGCGGAGCTTGCAGTGAGCTGAGATCACACCACTGCACGCCAGCCCGGGCGACAGAGTGAGACTCTGTCTCAAAAAAAAAAAAAGAATCCTCTTCAAAATAGGTTCCAATCAGCCACCATCAATCCACTGAAGTTAGCAACAGAGAGAAAACCTAGTTGCCATTCCTTAGCTTCCCACCAAAGGCAGTGAGGTTGTCCATTCAAGGTTTTGGGACAAAAGAAATTATAAAATTAACCTAATCACTAAGCAGGCTGAATTTGAAGGGCGAAGAGTACAAAATGGGGATAAGAAGACCAGTTTGGAGGTGTAATACAGACCTTGGGAGAGGAGCTTGGGCAGGAAAATGAGAAAGGAGGGTGCAGCTAGGATAAACTCAGAGTGACCAAAATCCCTCATGCCTCCAAGGGAACAATGACCCATGTTCCCCTGCCTGGACCCTGAAAATTGTGGAAGCAGCGTTGCTCTAGAGGTAGGGCTGAAGAAAGAAGATTGAAATGCCTCCTCCTACTGCCCCTGAAGGGCCGAGTGCAGTCTAATAAAAAGAAATGGATGAATAAAGGGCATTGGAGTAAGTCAGACCCCGATTTGAATTCTGATCTAGCTAGATAACTCTAAGCAAATCAACACTAATTTTCAGTCTTCTGACCTCTGGGATAATAATCTCTAAGTTGCAAGATCCCAGCCTTGGCATATAGCAGGTATTCAATACAGACCCTACTATCCTATCTCACTTCCATCATTTTGATGGAACAAAGTGTTGCACTCTCAAGCTGGTAGTGGCAGGTTGGCTAATACCCAGGGATTCTAAGATGTGATCACACAGGATGACCTGGATAATTCAGCAAAGCTGGCTCTAGGCACTTTGTTCATTCATTCAGCAAACATGTGCACACACCCACTCTGTGCCCAGCCTCTTGCTGGCTACTGGGGAGGAGACAGAGAGAGAGGTTCTTGCTTTCCAAGACCTGAGCCAGGCAAGATCTATCTCTTCTTTTCCTTCCCTCCTTCCTTCTTTTATAAATACATATACATGGGTGTGTGTAGGTACGTGTGTGTGTGTATGTGTATAAAATTCTGCTTACAACTTTTTTCACAGAAAATTCTGTTTTAAGTATACTCATATTGCTAAGTATGCAATAACTCCATTGTTTTTAACTGTTGCATAACTCCCCACGGTGTGTGTCCACATTTTCTTTCTCTGCTCTCCCAGGCATACCCGCCCAGGGAGCCTCTATCTCCCAGCCACCAAAAACAATGCTCACAGAACATCCTCTCCTATGTCCCCTTTTGGACCTATGTGAGCATTTCCCTGTGGCATGTACTTGGAGTGAAATCACTGGGTCCTACAGTATGTGCATAGTTGATTTGACTAAATAGTGCCAAGGTCCTCTTCTGAATAGCTGCCCCACTGACCCTTCCACAAGCAGGACAGAGGTGTGCCTGTGTATCCCTCTTCCTGTCAACACTTGGCCATAGCCAGCTTTCTAATCACTGCCAGTCTAATGGGTGGGTGTAAAGGGCTATTATATTATTGTTTTATCTTGCATGTCTCTGATGACTAACAATTTTGAGCTATTTGTTATACGCATGTTTGCATTTCGGGATTTTCTCTTCTGTATATTGCAGGGTTTTCTATTTTAAGAGGAAGAACTCCTGGAAGAGGCATTTCTCTAAACCTGCTATCATAGAACTCCTGGAAGAGGCACTTCTCTAAACCTGCTATCATTTCAATGAAAGAACATACAGGAGAGTCAGGAGACCTGGGTTCTAGCTCTAGCTCTGCCACCTACTATTTTTTTTTTTTTTTGAGATGGAGTCTCGTTCTGTCGCCCAGGCTGGAGTGCAGTGGCACGATCTCGGCTCACTGCAAGCTCCGCCTCCCGAGTTCACGCCATTCTCCTGCCTCAGCCTCCCAAGTAGCTGGGCCTACAGGTGCCTGCCACCACGCCCAGCTAATTTTTTGTATTTTTTAGCAGAGACGGGGTTTCACCGTATTAGCCAGGATGGTCTTGATCTCCTGACCTTGTGATCCACCCGCCTCAGCCTCCCAAAGTGCTGGGATTACAGGCATGAGCCACCGCGCCCAGCCTCTGCCACCTACTATTCTAACATCCTAAAGGAAGGCACATCATCTGGCTAAGCTTTGTCTCTTCATAGGTCCAATGAGGATCACAATCCTCCCAGTGTCATAGGAGTTTTAGGAGGCAGCACCGAAATATAAAGGAAAGGGCTCTACAAACCTGAGGGGCCATTCAGAGGAGGAAATCTTGGTGTTCTTCAGTGAGACTCCAGCATTCAGCCCTGCCCAGCTTCTTGACTGAGCATCATTCTTTGCAGTCTCTTGGGGCTGAGGTATAATGGAAAAAAAGCAATGACCCTGGAGTCCAAAGGCTGGAGTTCAGATTCTAGCTCTGTCACTTACTAGCTGTGAAATGGAAGATATTAATCCCTCTTGTGCAAGGTGGTCGTAAGGATTAAAACAGAATTTCGTAAGGAGTGGTGGCACCTGGTAGATCAAGAAAGAACCGGGCTGGGTGCGGTGGCTCATGCCTGTAATCCCAACACTTTGGGAGGCCAAGGTGAGTGGATCATGAGGTCAGGAGATCAAGACCATCCTGGCTGACACGGTGAAACCCTGTCTCTACTAAAAATACAAAAAATTAGCCGGGTGTGGTGGCACACACCTGTAATCCCAGCTACTCGGGAGGCTGAGGCAGGAGAATCACTTGAACCCAGGAGGCGGAGGTTGCAGTGAGCCAAGATTGCGCCACTGCACTCCAGCCCGGGTGACAGGGCAAGACTCTGTCTCAAAAAAAAAAAAAAAAAAAAAGAAAAGAAAAGACCACAAGAGAACCCAACCACAAGTAACTCTGAAAGAGCTGGGTAGGCCCCTCCCCTGCCTCCCCTCAGTGCAGAGCAGCCCAGAAAGTTGGAATTTTACAAACCAGGTCTCCTGCATTTCACTGTGTTGCTCTGCAAGTGAATGCACAGTGGGCAGTCATTTCAAAGTCCTGGGCCAGCTAGGCGGCGGGCTGCCCGCTGAGAGAGGCTGAAAGGGCGTTTGAGGCCTGAGAAAGCCACCCTTGCTCTCCCCTGTGATTTTCACCAATGGGCAAAATGTGGCAAGTGAATTAATCTCTTTTAAAAAGAGCAATGCTTGTGACAGAGTACGGTGTCTCTGAAAAGGTTAGGATTCCATCATCCCTGAGATGATGAGTAGAATGCTTAATTCAGGCTGCCACTCAGGGCAGAACAGCCTGTGTCCAGGGGCTAGAGAGGCAGGGTGGGCATAGTGGGCCTTTCTGGGCTCACTCCAGACTTGTGGAAGGCCCTTCCCTAATGAACTAGGTCTCCTGCTTGGCAGGGCAGCAGTAGGTGACCCCTATCTGGGGATTGCCCAGGGTGGTAGACACAGAGTAGACCGCATTAGAAGTCCAGAGTTGAAGCCACGCATGGTGGCTCACACCTGTAATCCCAGCACTTTGAGAGGCCGAGGTGAACAGACCACCTAAGGTCAGGAGTTCGAGACCAGCCCAGCCAACAAGGCGAAACCCCATCTCTACTAAAAATACAAAAATTAGCCGGGCGTGGTGTCGGGCACCTGTAATCCCAGCTACTCGGGTGGCTGACGTATGACAATCACTTGAACTCGGGAGACAGAGGTTGCAGAGAGCTGAGATTATGCTACTGCACTACAGCCTGGGCAACAGAGAGAGGCTCCATGTCAAAAACAAAAAAAAAGTCCAGAGTTGAATCCAAGCTCTTGCACAACTCTCAGGCAGTAGAGTGGGTCAGAAAAATCAGCAGCAAAGATCTCGTTTCAAATCCAGGTTCTGGGGGCCAGGTGCAGTGGCTCACACCTGTAATCCCAGCACTTTGGAAGACGGAGGCGGGTGGATTACCTGGGGTTGGGAGTTCGAGATCAGCCTGGCTAATGTGGTAAAACCCCGTCTCTACTAAATATACAAAATTAGCTGGGCGTGGTGGCGCACGCCTGTAATCCCAGCTACTCCGGAGGCTGAGGCAGGAGAATCGCTTGAACCCAGGTGGCGGAGGTTGCAGTGAGCCGGGATTGTGCCACTGCACTCCGACCTGGGTGACAGTGAGACTCCGTATAAAAAAAAAAAAATCCAGGCTCTGGCGGGTGGATCACCTGAGGTCAGGAGTTTGAGACCAGCCTGGCCAACATGGTAAAACCCCATCTCTATTAAAAATATAAAAAATTAGCCTGGCATGGTGGCCAGTACCTGTAATCCAAGCTACTCAGGAGGCTGAAGCAGGAGAATCACTTGAGCCCAGGAAGCAGAGGCTGCAGTAAGCCAAGATCGTGCCACTGTACCCCAGCCTAGGCAACAAGAGCAGAACTCCATCTCAAAAAAAACAAAACAAACAAATCCAGGCTCTGTTACTTACTAAGTGAGGAGTGGTGGATGAATGAATGACTTAGCCTCTCTGAATCTCAACTGCTTCCTTCATTTACATGATAGCTCCTGCTCTCTAAGCCTGTTTCTGCATCTGTTAAAAAAAAATGGAGAACACCTCACCAACCCTACTATATATGTCACATAGGGGTGCTATGAAGAGACAGTGAGAAAAAATATGTAAAAATACTTGGGATGCAATAAAGCACTGTACAAAATAGCATAAGAAGAGCTTATACTATTCTTATCACTTTCCAATTTGTGTTCACTCGATTTTAAAGAAGTGACAGAGTAACTAGGATGATACAGGAAAAGGTATACACAGAACTTGGAACACAGTAAGTGCTCCAAATTACTGGAGGATAGATAAATGAACTGTCTAAAATTCCCAGGCAAGGGCAGCAGCAGGAAAGGGAAGGTTCCCTAGCCCAAGAGCTGAAGATTACCACAGAAGGACAAATCAGTCGGGAAAAACATATCCTGCTCCCATCCATCAGTGATCCTGGAGAGTCCAGCAGGCTAAAGACCAAAGAGGTAACAGCTATTACCACTGATTGGGGAAGGGGCAATGAAGCAGTCAAGCTTTCTCTTTCTGCTGTGAGTACCTCTGTATTGTTTGAAGTTGTGCTGTTTTTATAACAATGACCATACTATTACTCTTTTTTAAAATAAAACTTTCTTAGGAAAAAAAAAAGTCCTATACTTTAAGAAGCCTTCCCTAAGATGACCTTGTTGCCACCACAATCCCCTGTGCTAACCTGTATCAATGTAGTTATCATACAGTCCACAGGTCTAACTTCCCCAGTAGGCAAGCATGTCCTTCTAGAAACAAGGACTTGCCTTCATCTCTTTGCTCCAGGTGCCTGCCATGGCAGTTGGCACACCACAAAGCTCGGGGTCTGAATGAATGAATGTCTACAGCACTTACCTACATTAACTTCTCACCAATACTTCTGTCTGGTGCTGGAAGTTACCTGTTTTATAACTGTAAGCTTGTCTTTTTCGAAGAACTTAGGCTTCTATGTATATGTAGGAGGGTGTGAGTGCAGCTTCTCAGTCTCAGGGCTGAGGACATTTGTGGATACAGGCCTAGGGGCTACAGGTCACAAATTCCAGTCATGGCTCTATCACTTACTAGCTATGTGACCACAATAAATGTCTTTGTGGTCCTTACTTTTATCTGCAGTAAAAGAAGGAAATGAATGAAATTATTTCTGAAGTCCCTACCAGCTCTATAATGTTATAATTCTAAATATGTGTAGCATCAAAATGAAAATTGAGTAGATTCCTAGCAGACGCTGCACTCAGCAAGACTTCCAACGAAAAGACAACTCCCCAGGCTCTGTTTGTGGGAGGGAGGGAAAGAGTCCCAGAAAGGGACACAGGGGCAGCTTTGAGTTATTCTGGCTAACTAGCTCTTCCACTCAGGGGAGGGAGGTACCACTTGATTTTTCTTCCTCTTTCTTTAGGACCAATCAATACAAAGCGGCCACTGAACTTCAATGACGCATTGTTCCAACTGATTTCCGGATCCTTCACATGAACCAGCCCTCAGCTGCAGCTGGGGAGGGGCTGAAGGGTAGGGAGCCCTATCCCACCTGCATCAGAGGCCTGGAAGCACTGAGCCATGCAGACCCAATCATGATTGCTATCTGGGCAACAGGGCCCTGGCTGGAGCCTCACAGAAGGCCCTGTTTACAGTAATAACAGCACCAGGCCCTGCTGTCTGAGCAGAGGCAAGGTGCCTGGGGCCAGAATCCCCAGGCAGCCTCCATCTGTGCCTTATCTAGCCTGCCAGCCAGGGCTGGGAGGGGCAGGGCAAGGGAGCAAAGGCTGCTCATAGACCCCCCAGCCTGGGACAGCAGACTTCAGGCAGGGTCTTGGTGCTTCAACTCCATAGACAAGGCCTCTCCAGCAACTTCTGCATTTGCTACTTGAACTGAGCACCCTTCTCCAAGGCCTAGCTGGGGACCCTTCCGTGAGGAAGCTCTCCAGATGCTCTCACTCCCAGTGAGATGGCCCACTGAGCATTCTGTCATGCCTGGAGAACTCCAAGGGAGTGAGAGCAGTGAGGGAGGGGAGAGGCTGGCAGGTATGCAGTACCTACCACAAATGCCAAGTGTACTGTGGAATGTGTCTGCATGTTTCATAGCTGGCTATTTCCTATCACAGAAAACTTTAAAATTTCTGAACTTAAAGAATGATCTGCAGAGATTAATCAGTCCAAATCTTCCTTTTACACACACAGATAGGGAGGCTCAGAAAGCGTCCCCTTTGGAAAAGACTGATCTATATATGAGCCTGCCTCTGTCTGTCTCTTCCAGGCTGTGTGACTGTGGGCAGATCACACTACCCTCTCTGAACCTCAGTCATCTTACCCTATCAGCCTGTCAGCCCTACCTAACATGGGTGCTGAGATGACCAAAGGAAATAATGTTTGTGAGGGCACTTACATTTTCCAAATCTTAGTTGCTATTATTACACTTGTTCTGTTTGTTGAGGCACACAGTGGAGGAGCTGAATCACAACCTCAGTGAATACTTGCTGGATCAACTGAATAAAGTGCAACACTGGGTGATCATTCTTTGTCCCATCTCTCTTACAGAAACTTGGCCCACATTAAAGTGCTCAGATTATTTTTTAACTTTTTATTTTGAAATAATTTCAAACTTATAGAACAGTTACAAAAATCACACACACACACACACACCCCTTCAAACAGCCTTCATGCCAGGTGCGGTGGCTCAGGCCTGTAATCCCAGCACTTTGGGAGGCCAAGGCAGGCGAGTCACCTGAGGTCGGGAGTTCGAGACCAGCCTGACCAACATGGAGAAACCCCGTCTCTACTAAAAAATACAAAATTAGCCGGGCATGGTGGCACATGCCTGTAATCCCAGCTACTCGGGAGGCTGAGGCAGGAGAATCGCTTGAACCCTGGAGGCGGAGGCTGCAGTGAGCCGAGATCGTGCTATTGCACTCCAGCCTGGGCAACCAAAGCGAAAATCCGTCTCGAAAAAAAAAAACAAAGACAAAAAAACAAATAAATAAATAGCCTTCACTCATATCCTGTTTACATTTTGTTTCATTTGCTTTTCTATTCCTTTTCTATTTTTTTTTGCTGGACCATGTGAGAACTAATTTCAGATACTATGCCCCTTTACCTCCAAATACTTCATCGAGCATATACCAGATACATTGGTACATGCATCTCGTACCTAGTACCAGAGCATTCTCTTACAGAACCACTAACTAATGATGATAAAATTCAGAACATTTAACATTGATATACTATTTTTATCTGATATACAGCCCACATTCAAATTTCTTCAATTATCCCAATATTCATTATAGCAATCTCCCCCTGTGATCCAGATGAAAGCCAGGATCAATATCAGGACCAAACACTGCATATGTTTCAATTTCATCTAGGATAGTTCTTCAACCTTTCTTTGATTTTCATGATATTGACATTTTTTGCAGAGTAAGGCTAGTTTGTTTGTAGAATACCCTTCAATGTGGATAACAATTTTTGAGGTACTACTTATTATGCATCCATTCGTTCCATAAACTCTTCCTGAGGACTGGTTATTACAGGACTCTGAGCAGGGCACTCAGGGTACTGTGATGAATTCTGTGGTATCCTTGCCTTCAAAGCATTCACTGGACAGCTACACACTGGGCAAACAGCTAAAATACAAGCAAGGACCCTAGAGGAAGGTGCCATGAGAGTACAGGTCAGAGCAAGAGAGCCACAGGGATGACTTCCTAGAGGCAGAGTGTGCCAGAAAGGATGGGCCAGAAGCACAGATTCCCAGAGTGACCTTCTGGGATCCTCTATAGCAAACATCTTTGCTTCCCCAGGCAGTGTGTGCCAAGGCTGAGACTGAATAAAACACGGAAGTCCAACAATACAAGGCCATAAACAGGAGGGAGTGGCCCAAAGCACCTTCATCTGGGTACCCCTGCCCAGAGCTATTAATATATGCATTTCCCAGAGAGTCAGCAGCTGTGGTGGTGAGAAGGAAAGGCCTGTGCAGGACCTGAGGTGTGGGAAAGGGTCATAGGCGCCACCTACTGGCCCCACAGCAGGCCTCCTGGCTGGCTGCCAGGAAACCTGTCACACTACAGCAGTGAGACACAAAAGTGGTTCAAATTTCTCAAACAGTGAAACAGTGTTGGTACTTGAGCCACCTTCTGTGAAGTTCAGGAATCTCACAAAATTTCCAGTAAAGAAGAGACAATGAAAAGCCAACCATAAAACCTGGCCTCCTCGGGCAAAGGTGTGGCCTTCACTCACTCAACAAAACTGAAGTAACATCTCCAAGCTAGCCTCTGTGTTGGGCATTGACAGACACCGAAGTCAATCAGACATGAATCTTGCCTACAAGGAGCTCTTATTCTGAGCTGGAGGAGGGAAAATGAAACAAGCGCACAAATAAGTGCACTAAGTATCACAGGTGCTCAGAGATGTTTACACAGGCTCAGGGAGCACAACTCACCGCCTTGCAAAGCTCTTGAATGATGGAGTTCAAAAGAGCTCACATTTCTTGAGCTGCCTACTACGCAACAGATACTTGACATTTATGATCTCATTTGATCCTCTGAAAGAAGCCCAAGTCTTACAGAGGGTAAATGACTGATTAAGATTACAAGGCCAGGCTGGGAACGGTGGTTCACGCCTGTAATCCCAGTACTTTGAGAGGCCGAGGTGGGTGGATCACAAGGTCAGAGGTTGAAGACCAGCCTGACCAACATGGTGAAACCCTATCTCTACTAAAAATACAAAAATTAGCCAGGCATGGTGGCAGGCACCTGTAATCCCAGCTACTCAGGAGGCTGAGGCAGGAGAATCACTTGAACCCGGGAGGCGTGGGTTGCAGTAAGCCAAGATCGCACCACTGCACTCCAGCCTGGCGACAGAGTGAGACTCCGTCTCAAAAAAAAAGAAAAAGAAAGATTACAAGGCCAATAAGTAGCAGCCGGGGATGAAGCCCAAGCTCTATGGAGCCACACTGCCTTCCAGGGCTCATATGCCCAATTCTTCCCTTCTTTCCCAGATTTAGCATGCGTCAGCACACCATAGTTGTCTGATGGGACCAATCAGCTGACAGAAAATAAGGAAAAGCCTCAAGTGGAAAGGAGTTTACTTGAGGGGTGAAGATACTTTCTGTTTAGTCCTGAAGCTTCCTAGAACCTTCTCTCTTGGAAGTTCTAGTTCCTTCTAGTCGCATGCTGAGAACATTCCAAGCCTATCCTTTCTTCTTTCTGGTAGTCTCCATACCACCACCACTACTTTCACATAGTACATATTCACATTTCAAATATTACAAATTCACAAGCAAATACAAAGCCTTAAAGTGTCCTTACCTTTAGGTTAAAACAAGCTCTGCAAACAAATCCAATCAAAGGGTTACAGGACAGAAGAAGTCATGGATCTCAGAAGGCTGGGCCGATTACAAGCTTAACAGAACCTAGGAGTGTAACGCAGCTGCCAAGAAAGCCAATGCAAGGTCGGGCCATATTAATAGAAGTATAAAATCTTTAACAAAGGGGATGGTTGCCCTGCTCCTCACAATAATGGTCATGCCACACTGGAATTCAGAGAGGGCACCAAAACTTTCTAGCTGTTTCATTTTAAAATGACTAGGATGAGGAGGAGACTTGAAACCACAGTTTAGGGAACCAAGGCTCATATAGCTTGGAGCTCTGTCTCCTAAGAGTTAAAAATCTGGAACAGGAAAAGGAAGCCATGTAGTCCTAGAAGACAGAGCTGGGACCAAGTGAGGGGAGTTGCAAAGGGAGCTAACACATAATGACAGCCCATCATGTGCCAAGTGCTATGCCAGGTGCTTTCACACTATTGCTTCAGAGCTCATCAGAAGATAAAACTGTTTTCTACTACTAATTACAAATTGTCTTTACTTACATTACTCCAACTGCCCAGAAAGTCTTTCTGCAAAGCTCCTTGTATACAAATACGACCTATCTCCAGACCCAAACTAAAGGCCACCTTGCCTGTGAAGCCCTAACTTTTCACCTGTACTAACTACAATTCTCTTACCAGACCGCAAGTTCCTTGAAAGACAAAGGTCATCATGATACATTTTTCTCCCCCTCAATGCCTAATAAGAAATTGCTCATAACAGGCCTTAAGAATGAATAAATGCCAAAGAATGGCTGGGTGCGGTGGCTCACACCTGTAATCTCAGCACTTTGGGAGGCTGAGGCAGGCAGATCACCTGAGGTCAGGAGTTCGAGACAAGCCTGGCCAACATAGTGAAACCCCGTCTCTACCAAAAATACAAAAATTAGCCAGGCATGGTGGCACGTGCCTGTAATCCCAGCTACTTGGGAGGCTGAGGCAGAAGAATCGCTTGAACCCGGGAGGCAGAGGTTGGATTGAGCCAAGATCGCGCCACTGCATTCCAGCCTGGATGACAGAGCAAGACTCCGTCTCAAAAAAAAAAAAAAAAAAAAGAAAAAAGAATGAATAAATGCCAAAGAAGATACAGAAATGGCCAATAAGCACATAAAAAGATGCTCACATCATTAGCCATTAGGGAAATGCAAATCAAAACCACAATGAGATACCACTCCACACACACTAGGTTTGCTGTAAGTGATGACAACACTGATGACAACAATTGTTGGTGAGGATGTGGAAAAGGTAGAACCCTCACACGTTGCTTTTGGGAATGTAAAATGGTGAAGCCACCCTGGAAAATGGTTGGGCAGTTCCTCAAAATGTTAAATGTACAGTTACTCTATGGCCCAGCAATTCCACTCCTAGGTATACACTGAAGAGACATGAAAACATACATTCACATAGAAATCTGTACACGAATGTTCACAGCAGCATTATTCATAATAGCTAAAAAGTGGAAACACAAATGTCCATCAACTGACAAATGACATCCTGTATGGATGTACATCCAATAAAATGTAGTACATCCATACAGGGAATATTATTCAGCCACAAAAAGGAATAAAGTACTGATATATGCTACAACATAGATGAACCTTGAAAACATTAAGCTCAGTGAAAGAAGCCAGACACAAAAGGCCACATATTGTATAATTCCATTTATATGAAATGTTCAGAACAGGCAAATCCAGAAACAGAAAGCAGATTAGTGGTTGCAACATCTAGGGGGAGAGGAGAATGGGGAGTAACTACTATTGGAACCAGAGTTTTCTGAGGGTCCGGGGTGGGGTGGGAGAGTGATAGAACATTCTGGAATTAGTGGTGCTGGTTGCACAATCTTATAAATGTTCTAAAATCCACTAAATTGTATATTTTTAAAGGTTGAATTTTATGGTATGTGAATTATACCTCAAAAGAAAAAAGAATGAATGTATATTCAGTCAGAATCTGCCTATTCTTCAGGAGGCAGAGAGTGCCTCATACCTAGAGGCACCCAAAGAGGGCTGGATGTTGACCATCAGAGAAGCTAAAGTGGGGACCTGAATACTGGAAAGGAAATGAGGCTGGAGACAAAAGTGCCTGAGATCCTGTGTGACCCATCTAGGGGTTGTGACTGAGCCCCTGATGTGTCCTGGGAAGGATCCTGCCCCTCCCCACCCCTGCTGGACTCTTGAGCCCTTGGGAATTCCGGGGGCCTCCCTCAATTGTTTGTGCTTTACATCCTGCCCCAGTACACTGTCCATCTGCAAAGGCTGGTCAAACACACAGGCTTCGCAGGAGGCCTGGGTGCTATCCCTTCAAACAAAAGGGCATTGAGATGGAAGCCTCAGCCCAGCCTCAAAGAGGATTCTTATGCAGCCTTCCTGAGCCTTCCATCCACATGAATGGAGGATCCTGGAGACCAGTCAGCCTGCCCAGCTGCTGCCTAGGGCTGTGCTCTCCTGCTGGTTAGCCTTTGGAGAATAAACAAGGTTTCTATCAACCAATCAATCAACGGGCCAGACTCCATCTGTACCATGTGTCTTCTGAGTGCCAGCCAGCCTTGTGTGACTTACTACGGTGAAGGCAGGAGAAGGAGGTGCCATACACCTTGCTGTGACAGGGCTCACAGCCTAGGTCAGGAGAAATACATAAGAAGCAACTGAAGAGAAAAGTGAAGAGATGAATCAGTAAACATGACACAGCAATGGTGTGAGGCAGGTCAATTATCATCCCTACTTTGCAGATGAAGAATCTAAGGTTAAAGATGTTAGACAACTTTTCCAAGGTCACAGAACTAACCAATGGTCACAGCCAGGATTCAAGCCTTGTTTTGTCAGACTCCAAAGTCCTCACCACTGCTTCCTGCTAATGATAAGAAATCCACTTGAAGGCCAGGTGCAGTGGCTCATGCCTGTAATCCCAGCACTTTGGGAGGCTGAGGCGGGAGGATCACGAGGTCAGGAGTTCAAGACCAGCCTGGCCAACATGGCGAAACCCTGTCTCTACTAAAAATACAAAAATTAGCCGGGTGTGGTGGCACACACCTGTAATCCCAGCTACTCTGGAGGCTGAGCCAGGAGAATCGCTTGAACCCAGGAGTCAGAGGTTG
Organism: Homo sapiens; assembly: GCF_000001405.40. Lineage (NCBI taxonomy): Eukaryota > Metazoa > Chordata > Mammalia > Primates > Hominidae > Homo > Homo sapiens. The sequence continues at coordinate 72,418,795 of NC_000011.10, forward strand.
TAATGAGCTGAGATCGTACCACTGCACTCCACCCTGGTGACAGAGTGAGACTCCATCTCCAAAAAAAAAAAAAAAAAAGAAAAGAAAAGAAATCCACTTGTATTTGCATCCATTGACAGAATCACAAGGAGAGGACGACTGATTGCCTTAGAAGGACTTTGGGCCTAGGGCTCTTGCTCAGAAGGGAGGAACACAAAGGAGGCAGGACATAGTAGAGCCTCAAAGTTCAGAAACTGAAATTTTCTGAGGTTTTTTCAAAAAGGCAGACACAGAACAGGAAGTACAAGGCAAGCAGCTTAAGTGAATATTAGAAGCCCAGTAACACACTGGCTTGATTGTTTTCAATATTCTTAGATTCATCTCTGTTCCTCAGTTTCCAGGAAAATTCCTTGGGAGAAAAATTCCAGTTGGTTCTGGCGGTGCTGACATGAATTGCGTTATGATTTTGATTAAGCTGGGATTTTAGAGGAGAGATAGCACTTGGGCGACATAAATGATGGTAGGGAGGCAGAGCCTGACAACTGCCCCTGCTGTTAGGCCCTGAGCGATTACAGCTTTGTGGCCTACACTGCCTCAAGAGGCAGGACCATGCCCAAGATGATGCCTGGCACATACAAGCAGGAAGGCACTCACATTAGTTCCTCATGTTCCTCAGCCATCAGAATGGCTACTGATCATATTGATCCCCTCTCAACCCATCTCAGCTGCCACTGCCATAAAAATAAAGACAAAGCTTCTTCATGTGGCCTCTGATGCCCTGTAGGGTCTGCTTGTTCTAGGCTCCTGGCACCTTCCTCTAGCTGGAGTACCATTGGCCTTTTTCAGTCCTTCACACTGGCCTTGCTTCCTCCTCATGCAGGATTCTTGTAAATAAAAGTTCCTTGTGCTAGAGAGCTCTTCCCAACCTTTTCCACCTAGATAAACTCTTCCTTATCCTTCAATTCCAAGCTCAAGCTTCCTCTGACCAGGGGAAATCTGGCTGTCACAGGCTCTCCTGATTCTCTGTGTCCTTCCTTTGCAGCATTTGTACTAGTTGTCATTTCGCATTTGTAGGATTCACGTCTGACAAGGCTTTGAGCTCCATGAGGCAAATCCTGTACATGTCTGACTACTGATCTACCAAGCACAGTGCCACACATAGTAGGCACTATTTGTTTAATGAATAAACGATTGAACTACTTCATTTTTGTTTGTCCTCTGTCTACAGGTTTATTATGACTGTAATAGCTACACAGTTTGCTTAATTTTTATCATTTACAAAACACTTTTAGCCAGGCGTGGTGGCTCACACCTGTAATCCCAGCACTTTGGGAGACCAAGGCAGGACTGCTTGAGCCCAGGAGTTCAAGACCAGCCTGTGCAACATGATGAGATCTTGTCTCAATTAAATAAACAAACAAACAAAAACACAAAACGCTTTCAATGGCTGGGCATGGTGGCTCACGCCTGTAATCCCAGTACTTTAGGAGGCCGAGGTGGGCGGATCAAGAGGTCAGGAGTTCAAGACCAGCCAACATGGTGAAACTCCGTCTCTACTAAAAATACAAAAATTAGCTGGGCGCAGTAGCTGTCGCCTGTAATCCCAGCTACTCGGGAGGCTGAGGCAGGAGAATGGCTTGAACCCAGGAGGCAGAGGTTGCAGTGAGCCGAGATTGTGCCACTGCACTCCAGCCTGGGCAACAGAGCAAGACTCCATCTCAGGGGAAAAAAAAAAAAACTTTCAATAATATTCAGTGAGTATTTGGTAACTATTTACATGCACAGTGATGAACAACACAGCAATGGTCTGCTGCCCTCCAAAACTCACAGTGTTGTGAGGGAGAGAAGGAAACAGATAACCCATCCCAACAGAAGGTGGTAAGTGCTCTCACTTATATAGTACAGGGTGCTATGGGAATCCACAGATACTGGTGTTGTAGGAGTTATTAAGAAACTATTTCAGGCAGATAAGAGAGGGAGAGGTCCTTGGGAAATTTTCGTTTTTTAAAGCATCTCCAGAAGTTTCTGGTAAAGCCCCGTTCTTAGAGCCAGTCGGCAACCTTTGATATACAAATGAAGGCCATTAAAAAAACTGGGTCTACCCAGCAGAACGCAGTGGCTCACGCCTGTAATCCCAGCACTTTGGGAGGCCAAGGCGGGCGGATCACCAGAGGTCGGGAGTTCGGGACCAGCCTGGCCAACATGGAGAAACCCCATATGTACTAAAAATACAAAATTAGCCGGGTGTGGTGGCGCATGCCTGTAATCCCAGCTACTCAGGACATGGTGCCCTGCATTTGCATATTAAAATGCTAGGGTGGGAGGACCAGCTTTTTTGCAGGGTACATGAATGACATACCTAGTCAAACCAATCCCTTGAGTCCTATGCAAATCAGATACCACCTCCTCCAGCCTCTGTATATACCTGGCTGGTATCCATGGCAGGTGGGGTTCCCTCTCTTGGCTTTGGAGCCCCCTCCCTCTGTCTCTGTACAGGGGAGCTTCTTCCTTCTCCCTTCCTTCTTGCCCCTCCTTCCCTACTAAACTCTCTGCTCCTTAAAACCAATCCACGTGTTTCCGTGTCATCTTATCTAATTCGACATGAGACAGGAGCACTGGTGTCCCTCCACTCATCAGAGCCGTATCACTGGGGGATCAGGGAAGGCTTTCAGGAAGATGTGACAGTGATGACCGAAGGATGAGGAATTTTCCAGACAAGGACTCACCTGCCTGGAATGCTCACAAGATCCTGGGAGAGTGATGAGACAAGTATCATCAAAGATACTTTACAGTGGAGGCCCCCGAGGAAACTGAGAGACTAGCCCAAGGCCACACAGGGCTGGCTGTGCTCCTTTTCAGTGACATGACCCCTCCCTCCAGGCCCACTGCGTTAGGCCCTGGCTGTTCTCTGCTCATGGCCAACTGCCTGCCTCTGCAGGGCTTCTGGGCAGTTGACCACCTGCTCCCACAACTCACCTACCCATGAAGTTATAGAGAAGCTGCTAATCCAACCTTTCCCAATTGCCTTCCATCACCAGGGAACAAGCAATCAGAGCCTCAGCAAGCCACATACCCCAGAAAAGAAGCCAGGCACTACGCCACTCTGTAGAACTGCTTGAGAGGTACAAGGTCTACTTGAGCAAGCCTAGGGTTTCAGTGTGTGATCTGGACCCTTCCAGAAGGACTCAGCTTTCTCTGAACACTAGGAAACTGGCCGGGCGTGGTGGCTCACGCCTGTAATCCCAGCACTTTGGGAGGCCAAGGCGGGCGGATCACGAGGTCAGGAGATCGAGACCATCTTGGCTAACATGGTGAAACCCCACCTCTACTAAAAATACAAAAAATTGGCCGGGCGTGGTGGCGGGCGCCTGTAGTCCAGCAACTTGGGAGGCTGAGGCAGGAGAATGGCGTGAACCCGAGAGGCGGAGCTTGCAGTGAGTCGAGATTGTGCCACTGCACTCCAGCCTGGGTGACAGAGCAAGACTCCGTCTCAAAAAAAAAAAAAAAAAAAAAAAAAACTAGGGAACTGTATTTAAAAGGTCTCAGTGGGGACCCCATGAACAATACTTGGAAGCTAAGACTTAGGGTAGGTCAGTGACTTATTAATGGTCACATAGCTTGTTAGTAACTATGACAAAAGTAAAACGAGGTCTTTTAATTCTAAAACTCTTGTATTCTTTCTGTAACATTATGCTGCCTTTCCAACATTCTGGAAAGGCATTCAAAAAACCTGTGTACACCCTAGCATTCAAAAAACTGTGTGATGATCTTCAGAAGCTCTCACTATAAGTATCAAATTACAGGAGTGATGCCCTTGAGGCCTTGACCTTTGGTCTAGGATAAAGCTTGTGTTTCAATCCACTGCAAGCCACAAGGATATTTACATACTTCCTGATTAAGAGAGCTGGATGTTTTGGTTGCTCTGATGCCATCATTAATATCTTCCCATCCAGCCAAAATGATACAACAATCAATAAACAGACAGCCTCTCTGAGGCCCCGAGACAGCCAAATGTATTTACCAGCCAGGGTTTTGTTAATTAGATAAAATCCCTGGATCAATGTGCAGGACATTTACCTATGCTGTAACTAAGTACATTCTGGACACCTCAATCCTGGCACATGGACAGCAAGTGCCTCAAGCCCCAAGCTGGGGCATCCAGGGACGAGAACCAAACCAAGCCATCAGTGCAAAGCTAGAATAAATATGTTTACCCCTCAACAAAGCCCAACCCTTTCTTTTTTCCTGAACTGTAAACCAAATCAGATTTTTTTCCCCAAAGCCATCTAGTAAACCAGTTTGGGCTAGTATGAAGTTCTTTATTTTCTAAAGCCATAAAACCAGAAATCAAAACAGGACACCAAAAGAATCTCCTAAATGATAATTTAAGAGGCAACATGGCATGTATAGTGGGAAGTCAGAAAGACCCAGAGGTTCTAGTGCCTAAATGACATTTCCATTGGCATGTTAAATTCAGCATGTTTAAAACTGAACTCATAATCTTTTCCCCAAACCCAGTGTTCCTCAGGGATCCACATCTCGGTGAATGGCAAGAGCATCTACACAGATGATCAAGCCAGAAAACTGAAATTCATTAAGACCCTTTTCTCCCTAATCAACCATATCCATTTATATTCATTCATTTATTGAATACTTACTGTGTGGCAGGCACTGTACCAGGCATTGTCCTAACCATCACCAAGTCCTATCTAGTTTACTTCCTCCATCTCTGCTGCTGTCATCTTAGTCCATGTCACATCTTCTCTCATCTGGACTACTCCAGCTACTTTTCAACCAGTCTTCCAGCATCCAACACAGATCTCTACCAATCTGTTCTCTACCAAACAACCAGAATGATCTTTCAAAACTGCAGATCTATATCATGTCACAATGTGTACCTGTTAGTCTTTCTCACACATACACATACTGGCTGAAAATTCCTCAACGGTTGCCCATGCTCTTAGGACAAAAATAAAAACTGTTAATATGGCCTACAGACCCAGTGTGGTATGGTCCCTGCTTAACTCGCCAACCTCATTTGACACCACTCTCCCCCTTGCTTTCTAGGGTCCAGCCTTATTGGCCTTCTCTCAATTCCTCAATTTCTCCACATCTTTGAGTCAGGACCTTCCACCTGCTGTTCCCTCTAACTGAACTGTCTTCCGCCTTTCTCTTCATCATTAAGAGTTCACTTCAGTCTCATTTACCAGAAGCTTTGATCTAGGACTTTGATCTCTAGAACTGAGAGGAATACATTTATGCTGTTTATAAACCACTCAATCTGCGGTATTCTGTTATAGCAGCCCAAACAGACAAAGACAGTGGCCTTCGGTGACTAGCTTTTTTCACTTAGCATATTTTCAGGGTTCATCCATGTTGTAGCACGTATCAGTGCTTCCTTTGAATTGATGAATAATATTCTGATGTACTGTTCTATCATATTTTTATGCAAAATGTATCGGGCCCAGAGAGACCTGAGTATAGGCGCTCAGCCATAACCCCACACCCTTGCCCCATGCCTGGGGGCAATTGTTTAAAGCCATTTTTTTCTTTCTTTTCTACCCTGTAGTTTCCTAACTAGCTGCCTCACCCATTATTTTCCTGTAGTTCCTGGAATATGTGATACAAAGAACAATGTATAGCCAAACAATAGCTTGTTATTTTAATGTAAATTCTTGGTAAACAACTTGGAAAGTGCCTCTTCTGCGTGGTGGCTCAGGCCTGTAATCCCAGCACACTTTGGGAGGCCGAGGTGGGCAGATCACTTGAGGTCAGGGGTTCGAGATCAGTCTAGCCAACATGGTGAAACCCCATTTCTACTTAAAAAAAAAACAAAAATACCCTGGGCGTGGTGGCTCACGCCTGTAATCCCAGCACTTTGGGAGGCCGAGGCGGGCGGATCACGAGGTCAGACCATCCTGGCTAACATGGTGAAACCCTGTCTCTTTGTAAAATACAAAAAATTAGCCGGGCGCGTTGGCGGGCACCTGTAGTCCCAGCTACTCGGGAGGCTGAGGCAGGAGAATGGCATGAACCCGGGTGGCGGAGTTTGCAGTGAGCCGAGATCGCACCACCGCACTCCAACCTGGGGGACAGAATGAGACTCCGTCTCAAAAAAAACAAAACAAAACAAAAAAAAACACAAAAAAAAACTTAGCCAGGTGTGGTGGCATGCACCTCTAATTCCAGCTACTCGGGAAGCTGACGTATGAATATCACTTGAACTCAAGAGGCGCAGGTTGCAGTGAGCCGAGATCGTGCCACTGCACTCCAGCTTGGGTGACGGACTGAGATTCTGTCTCAAAAACAACAAAAAAGTGTCTCTTGTTTTTCCCTTTAAAAACACACTTGCAACTGTTGCTAATCTGGAGCATATATTTATGGCAACTTGAATCTAGACTCTTGGGTTGCAGTCCTCAAACTTGGCCCCAGTAAACTCTTTCTACTAATTTTACAGTTGCATAATTAGTTATCTGACTCCTAGTTAGACTGTGCCAAGAGGGCAGGGACTGTGCCAATCTTGTTCGTTACTGTTAACTGCCACATTCAGCCCAATGCCTAGCTCTGAATATGCACTCGTAAGTATTGGCTGAATGAATTAATCATTTTGTTATTAGTAATAATGACTCTGCCACTCTGTGGGGTTAGTTATTATCATCTTCATGTTAGTTGGAAGGTAGGTAATTTGTTCCTTGTTTCACTGGCTCTCAATGTTTGACTCATGTCCTTCTTCCTCACCAGAGGGCACACGAGCTCCTCTAGGGCAGGGACTGTTTCTCCTTCCTCATTTTGTTGCCACAAATTCAGCTCAGGGCTAGGCACAAAGCACAGGCTGGACAGATGGGCGACTGAGGGACAAACGGAGAGTCAATCAATGTTCTCCACGACCAGGTCGCTACCTGTCTCCAGTCCCTCCTGGCCTCAGACTGTGATCCAGCAACACCGAACAGCAAGTGACTTCCCCTCTGCATACCCCCCAGGCTGCTCCTTGCCTTATGCTACCACATATGCTGCCCTTTTTGCCTGGAATGGCTTCCCCTTCTATTTACAAAGTCCAACTGATATTTTAAGTCTATGATCAGGTGCCATTTCCTCTGGAAGTCTTTCTCAGATCCTCCAGGCTGTTTGTCCTCTGGTCTCCTGCAGCCCCTGTAGTTTCCTGTCTCACAGCACTGACCACCCTATTGCCACAGTTTACCCCGACTCTGTCATCATGGGCAGGAACCATGACTGCTTAAGTGTTCCCTGTGCCAAGCAGAGGACTCAGGATATGGCAGATGCTGTTTGTCAAATGAATAAATAAATCCTGGAGAAAAAGGGCAGGCAGTCTGAGGCCCAAGACTGATCTTGCCAGGCTTCCTTTATTAGAGACTGCTTGGGCTGATGAACAACTGAGGTAAGCACTCAGCAGAGGCCTAGCCCCCTGCTGGGAGAAGGGAGATGGGTAGGGGTGTTGTCTTTCACCCACTTTGTGCTGAAGGAAATGTGATCTCCACCGGGAGAACAGGAGGCCTCACTTTTCCCAGTCCCAGTCCTGACAACTCCTCACATGGCTTGGCCTGAGCCTGGACAGATGTGCCTCTAGTCTGCCTTGTGCCCTAGGTTTCGGGTGAGCAGTTCCTCAGGCTCAAGTTTGGGGTAAGCCCAGGAGCAGGACCACCTGCTCACACTGCTGACAGGTAGGAGGCCAGGCTTCCACTTCTGAGGAACCAGAGATGGATGAACTTAAGTGCCTCAGGGGAGAAGGGAGGAAATGGATGTCACACAGGAAGGGAGGGAGGGAGGGAGCGAGGGAGGGAGGAAAGAGAAGAGACCTGGCCTCCCTCTGATATAGCCAAGGGGAGTGTGAAAGCCTCTGGACTGCTTACTTCAGGTACACTGAAAAGTCAATAAAAAGCAAAGAAAGAGTCACAAAAAACAAGTAAGTGCCGCTGTGCTGTGGAACAGGGTAAAAGACGGTAGAGAACACAACCTTGTCCCTGCCCTTCAGGAGGTGCACAATCCAGCAGTTTCAGATGAAATATAGCCCACAGACTTCTTCATATAAAGAACAGTGTGGCAAGTGGCATTCAGCTCTACTTCTCCAACCTGACCTCCAGCTTCTCTTCCACAAAAGGAGCTCCCTCCTGTGACAAGCTGCCATGGTCCTTTCTAGATCACCCTCATACCCTCCCAGACCAGAAGGCAGGTGTAGGATCAGAGTGGGGGGAAGAGGCAAAGGAAGATGAGATCACACCCAGCTGGGAGGAATCCAAGAAGGCTCTGTAAGGAAAGCAGCACTAGAGCTTTGAAAGGTGTAAGCAGAGGATAATGAATACAGATGGCAGAGGGCCATCTGTGGAGGACCCACATCCAGGGCCCATGGACTGAAGATTCCAGGGTGTCCTTAAAGAGGAGGATCGAATACCTCCCCCTGGGAGCAGAAGAGCATTAGGCTGCTGCCCTTCACTATCCAGAACTTTCCCAAGACTCTGGGGCTAAGGACAGGAGCTGGGGGAGGTCAAGTAGAGGCAGACACAGTACAGAGCCCCAGAGAGGTCAAGTGGGGAAGAAGGGTAAAGCACGACATTATTTACGAGGTCTGAGTTTTGCTCTAAATACTGATATTATTGACCATATCAATCATATACACAGTGACCCAACCATGTGTAACCTACAGTCATGCGCTACACAATGATGTGTTTGTTAACGATAGACTGCATGTATGAGGTGGTCTTATAAGATTATAATGAAGCTGAAAAATTCCTATCCTCTTGTGACGTTGTAACTGTCTCAACATCATAGTGCAACAAATGACCTTTTCTGTATTTAGGTATGTCTAGATACATAAATACTTACCATTATGTTACAATTGCCTACAGTATTCAGGGCAATAACGTGCTATACAGATTCCTAGCCTAGGAGCAACAGGCTATACCATATAGATTAGGTGTGTGGTAGGCTATTACCATTTAGGTTTGGGTAAGTATACTCTATGATGTTCACACTGTGATGAAATTGCACTACTCAGAATGTGTCCCTATTGTTAAGCAAGGCATGACTGTATGTGTAAATTCAAAGAAATAAATGAGTATGGGATTCTGTCCTGCTATAGGCAGGTCTGTTGGGCAGAGCTAAGAGCCCAGGACATTGAAGAAGAAATAAAGAGCAGCATGAACCACCTGTACAGAGTCTAGGGTACAGAAAGGCTGAATAAGGACCTACTGTAGGAATTCCAGAAAGTTTCCTTCTAGCAAGGATGGTCAGGCTCCCTTTACCCCCACTGCCCCCAGACCTGGCTCTGTTCGCAGGAAGAACTATAACTGGTGGGTTACATGTCTGTTTCCTTGAGACCAGGGCCTGGGTCACCATCCCCATCCCCCATCTGCAGTGCCCAGCAGAGGCCCACTCACTCTTTCATAATCAAGAGCTGCTTTGGGTGAGGGGGAGGGAAGGATGTCCTCATTCAGGCCCTCATCATCTTGAATCTGTCTTTACTGAAACAGAAACAGCCTCTTAACAGATCGGCCCTCAGCCTTTTCCCAATGCAGTCCATCCTTCACTCCTCTGCAAGTCAGCCTTAACTGGGTCATTCCCCTGCTCAAAAACTTCCCACGTCTCCCCACTGTGTACAGAGTAAGAGTTCAAAACTCCTCACCCTGGGCATGGCAGGCCTTGCACATTCCAGCTTCTCTCAGACAACCTTCCCTCTTTTCTGACACCCTGTACAAATCCCACCTCAGGAGCATCAACATATTCCGCAGGCCCAGCAGCCAGCCAGCATCTGCTTCCCGCCTTTGCTTAGCTTGCTCCTGGCTCTGTGGTCTTGTATGAGATGGGGGCTGAGGGCAGGTCTGTGCCTCGCTCATCTCTGATGTCCTCACATGGAGTGAAGGGAGATTCTGACAGGGTCATCCTGACCAAGTGAGGTGGGACAAGAGGAGGCAGGAGAAAAGCAGGCTAGAGCCTGGGGACACACATGAAAAGCCCCCCCAGACACTATCCACACGAGAATGAATGTTCAGAAAAATTGTCTGAATCACACATACACCGTTAAGTTCAATTACTTTCTGTATTTTTGGGATGGGTGTTTAATTGCTATTAGAAAAACATGTATTTGAAAGAACTAAATAATCAATGCCTGGCAGCTCAATGGAATATGGTAGTGGCATCCCCTGGGGGATGGAAGAGTGGATTCCCAACATTGCTGCTCTGCAAATGCCCTGCCAAAAGGGGAAAGTCGCAGCCCGGCAGCCCTTCGCAGTAGCCAACAGGTGATTCCAGGGTCAGCAAGGGTCAGTTTCCATACCCGTACTCCTGTACTGCAGCAGAATGAAGCAAAGCACATCTGTTTCTGGAGGAATGAAGATGCCACACACAGCCTGCAGTTATGAATGGCTCTTATAACAACAGGATGACATCTGTGCTTGGTTTTTAAGATGCATCATCGCATGTTTATTAAACTATTGCTCCAACATATTTATTTGGCTACAAAACAACTCCCAGCCCATATTTCCAAAAGTGGTTTATTAAAAACTAAGGCTTGAACATTAATACCCAAAAGCACCCTTGAGAATCAATAATAATGCTGCAGATAAAATGAAAGGGAATCAAAGCAGTAAGTCTTGGTGGGGTGGGCTGCTTTTCAACACTTTCTTGTATGTTCAGGAAGCTAAGGTGGGGAAGAACACCAAGGGCCTGTGGCACTGGGTGTGGAAATAGCCACCCCAACACCTGACTTCCTGTCTAACATGCAGACATGATGGCAAGGAAGGGGGGTGTCCTATGGCCACCTAGCTCTATATAAATGGCCAAGAGAGGCCAAGGTTAGGCCCAGTGGGGGGCATAGTTTCAACAAGAATAAGACCTCTGCCCTTAACCAACAGCCCTGTAACTGATGCCCCATGCTGGCCCCAGTCTGAGCATCCATCCTGGACACAGACTCTGCCCTATACCTGGCACTGGGCTGAGCCGAGTTGAATCTTGCCCTTGCCAAATAATAAGCCTCAAATTCAACCTGCCAGTGGTCACTGGAGACTAGCTGAGCCAGTGAAGCTACAGAAATGCAGTCTGTCCCCGGGCAAAGCCAGGTATGGGCCCCTGGCCCTGCAGGCAGGCATTTCTAGCCCCAGACCTTCTGGCAGATGGTCTCTTCCAGCTCTGTCCCAAATCCCCAAGCCTTTCCATAGATGCCGACCTGCAACCTGTCCAGGCAGCAAGCAGTAATACATGGCCATTCCCAAAGAAATGAGCACAAATCAGAAGATTCAGAGAAGAACCCAAAGGATATGGGGGCTGAAGGGAGTCCAAACCAACCCAGTGAAGAACAAAATAGCTGAAGGATCCAGGGATGTTTGGGAGCTGACTCCCTACCGAAAATATCCAAGGGGTGATCTGGGTAAAGGAAGCCCAGGTGACTCTGTGACTACAGAGATGTCACAGGGGACAGTTCCCAGCTTAGGGTAAGGATTTCCTCCAAAGCAAAGTCATCACACGAGAAGAGGCTCGCCCTGCTCAGCCTCTCCTGTAGGGGAGAGCAAGGCCTGGGGTTCAACTCACCTGCTGACTTCTTGCATATTGTTGGCACGGGCAGCTTCCAACAGGGCTGCATCTGAAGAGAAAGGGGGCACTGGTCAGATCCGCGGCCAGGACATACCCATCTCAGGACTGCGTGGAGGGCCCACTAAGACAGTGGCAGTACTTTAGAAACGTGGACTTTGACAAGCAAACTGATGTCACAATATATAATGAGAAACGAATCATTCCCTCCCCACATGGTGTCCACTGTTAACAACCTGACTTCCACACCTTTCTACTACAGAGCCCAAACTCTTCACTCCTCTCATCATAGAGGGAATGCAGGTCAACTGCTAGCACCACGTCTTGCCTATGGTAAATAATGTGCTCTTCATAATCTATGAAGCTCTGCATATGCTTTATGTTCCTATAAGAGTTATTACTAAAGATTCCCTGATCTTGTCCACTTTCTCCCTCAACTCCAGTTCTTCAACCCAGTTCTGAATCTTGATGTCAAGTCATAAACCCAAAAGGAAAGGTAGAATGGAGAGGAGCAAGCAGGGTGTAGGCCTCTCTGAGGATGGAGAGGTCTCAACTAGGAGTCTTTGAGATCTAGCTCCATTCCACTCCCACTACTCACCACGTGACCATGACAGCTCCTCTCTCTCTCAACCACAGCTTTCCTGACTGTAAAACATAGACAAAACTCCTTGCCCTGCCAGCTTCACAAGGATGTCAAGGAGATGAAATGACAGTTGAGACGTCTGCAAACTCCCCAGTGCTGAGCCCAGGGAAGGGAGACCCAAAGCAGAGGAGACACTAAGCCTAGGAGAAAAGCAACGCTAGCTAAGTGCGTCTGGCCTGGTCTGGGCAGCCTGCAGGCTGTTGCCACCACCTTGTGGCCATAAAGAAAATTGGACTGACTCAGAAAAACTCAAAAGTCAACAGGAGAGGCACAATCTTTTCAAATAGCTCAATACCAGGTACATGGAGCCCTCTGTGCCCAGCCTGGTTCTGAGCTACACTGCTGGGCAGTGGGCGGATTCATAGCCAGCCCTGACTCAGGGAACTCTCAGTCCAGCCAAAAGACTCACTCATGAGCAAATGCACTGGAGTAGAGTGAAAGAGCAGGATCTGGAGACAGTCAGACCTGGGGTCTAGCCCAGCTCTGTCGCTTATTTGCTGTATAACCTAGCCCACCTATCTAACCTCCTGAGCCTTAGTTTCCTTATCTGTACAATACACCTTATCATGCATATGAAAGCCAGTCCTGTGGTTCAGACATTGATGCCTCCTGGCCTAGATTCCAGGGACAGGTCCTTTCTACTTACCTTACCGGATGTACCTAAAGCACATACCCAAGCATGGCTCAGACAGCCACCAGCTGGGAGGGGATCAAGCCTTCCTTAGAGATGGCTATATCCACTCTCCCTTCACTCTGCAGAAAAAAATGTGGCTTCTACAAGGTTACAGAGTGAGGAATGAGCTAAGAACCAGGGCCTCCTGGCTTCTAAAAGGGTTCAGTTTCTACCACACTGCACTGAGGGTCAAAACTCTAAGTCAGGGGACAGGGTAGCTGGCAAGTCAGTTCCAGCAGGAACTGGTCACGGCTTTGACCATTATCTATTTTGGTAAATAGACCCTGGTATTCTTGCTGGAGTTCATAGGCCATAAAGTCCAGTTGGGAACCCCCAGGAACTTCTTAGGCAAGACCTCACCAAATACACTGGACTCAGAACATTCCCTGCTCATGAACCTTCCATAACTCTCCACTGCCTACAGAAGAAATTCCAACACCCTCACCTACCCCACCCCTGACTGGCATCCAGGCCCCACTCCATCTGCTCTCATCTAATTCCAAAGACCTTATCCTCCAACCAAGCTGGCTGCTCTGCTGGCCCCTGCACACACCATGGTGCCCCGAAACTGTTATTTCCATTCCCTGAAGCCTTTGCATGGAATATAATCCAACTCTCACACATTTACTGAGCACCTACTAAGTTCCAGACACTGTGGTGGGCAAATGATGTCTAGGTATTCGGGAAAGTTGCTAGTATAACCTGAAAAAACAAAAGAGAAGATACATTTCCTGCTCTCATGGGGCTCAAAAGATCACTCCCCTTTCCGTTTCTACTTCATCCTTCAGAACTCAAGTTCAAATTTCCCATCCTCTGGGGTCTCCAATACTCCAGAAAGGCTTTCCTGACCCTACTGGCCCTCTGATCCCCCAACGACACATAGCACCACTCACCAGCCCTACATTCCAACTGCCTGCACTGTCCCCTTGACTGATTTTGTGTTAAGTTAGGACTTCCCACACACCTAGCCTAAAACTAGACACACAGTGGGTACCCCCAAAAATGCTGGAAGTTATAGGATTACAACATGCCTAAGCTCGATGCCCTTAGTGTCTATTTCAAAACCCTCATTTTGTAGATGAGGAAACAGAGGACCCGTGAGGAGAAGCAAAAGTCCAAATTCACAATGAGAGTTAGACACAGAACCAAAACAAGATCCCCAGTGTTGTCTCTCCCAGACCAAAGTCCTTCCTTTACAATTGGCCACATCAAACGAATCAAAGTCAAGGCACTCCCTACTCCCCAACTCTTGCTCCAAATTCTCAGAGCTTGGGGTGCATGGAATCTATGGACACCATGCCTCAGTCTTTCTTCTTGAGGAACAACTAAGAACCTGAATGGCTGGACTCACATAGGTCATCAGTCTGGCTCTCTGTCCACTCTCTCAGCTGCTGCTTAGCTCCCCGGATCCAAATGAGATGCTAATCGGGATCAGCCAGTCCCCCAGCAGTTGCCCTTGGGCCTCCAGGAATCCACCTTCCTTCTCCTGCCAACTATCCCACATGGCAAGATCACCTCACAGCATGTGAGACCAGACACAGCAAAATCCTGAGACTGACAGACTCAGGCCGCTGAACTCCAAAAAGAGTCAAAATAACAGTACTGTAAAAATGTTGGGAAACTATCCTTCACTATATAAATAAAGAAATTGGTCAGACGCGGTGGCTCACGCCTGTAATCCCAGTACTTTGGGAGGCCAAGGCGGGTGGATCAGGAGGTCAAGAGATCGAGACCATCCTGACCAACAACTAAAAATACAAAAATTAGCTGGGTGTGGTGGCCCGCACCTGTAGTCCCAGCTACTTGGGAGGCTAAGGCAGGAGAATAGCTTGAACCCGGGAGGCGGAGGTTGCAGTGGGCCGAGATTGCGCCACTGCACTCCAGCTTGGCGACAGAGCAAGACTCCATCTCAGAAATAAATAAATAAATAAATAAATAAATAAATAAATAAATAAATAAATAAATTGAGGTCAAGCTGGCATTAGAACCGAGTCAGGTTGTTCCTGACTCTGGCACCTTTGGTGGCGGGGGGTAGGGGGGAGCGGTTTGGCAACTTCTCTAAACCATCTGGCGGTTGCCCTTAAAACACCCCATAATTTCCGTTTCCTGGAGATCTCAGGAAAGAGGAATTGGACCAGGCAGAATATGAGAAACATAAGGGGACCATGCTATAATATTAGATGTTTAGTCCAATATCCCCATTGTACAGATGGATAAAATGATGCCCAGAGAGGGGAAGCGGATCTATGGTACGAGATTATACAACTCCGAGGTGATGAGGTCTCTAGGGCAACACCCTGCCCCTGTAACCAGATGATGTCTGAGTCCCTCCAAGACTTAGGCTCTAAGGATCTAAACCTATAAGTACCTCCCACCCTCCTAAGATACGAAGTTAGGACAATCTTCCCGCCTCTCCCTTCCTCAAACCCAGATCTCATAATCACCCTTGTTGGACGGACTCTTGCTGTAGCAATGAACCACCAGCGCTGCGGCCAGGGCGCACATGCCCAGTCCGGCCCTGCTGGGGACCCCGTTCCAGCTGTCCTGTCCTGGGAGTGTTTCTTCGGGACCAGGAAGGCGTCCCCAAGTGGCAGCCGCGAGGCATTTGGTATCGAAGCGTCCTCCCTGGCGCCCCCCGGTGGCTGCCCCACGTCCGGAGAACAAGGCCGGCGATGTTCCAGGGCGCCCCCCGGTGGCTACCCTCAGCCACTGCGGCTCCCCGAGACTCCCAGTAGTCACATTCCGGCCGGAAGCACCTCCATGGCCCCGGAGCGTTGGGGACCTGAGCAGCCGGAGGAGTAGCCGTGGCGCCAGTGCTTTTCTCCTCAACACCAGGGACCCCAGCATCTTGACAGCTGCTTCGATAACCCCGTGGTGCCGGCCCCTGTGCTGACCACGTCCAACATGGCTGCCGCGGCGCGTTCGAAGACGCCGCGAACAGGGTGGAGTTGCGCACTACCTCACGGGAGAGGTAGTCCACAGCCCTAAGCCTTTCCCCAGCTGGAGAATAAATAAACTACGTTTCCCAGAAGGCTGTGGGATTGCGTCACAATGACTGCGGGATTATAGAAGCCCGGGGCATATTGGGAAATAGAGTTCGGGTGAAGGGGCGTGGCGATTAGAGTTAAAGATTAGAATCCCAAGACTTCTTTCCTAGTTTAGTTGAAGCACACGACACACTTTTTTTTTTTTTTTTTTTTTGAGACGGAGTCTCGCTCTGTCTCACAGGCCGGAGTGCCGTGGCGCGATCTCGGCTCACTGCAACCTTCGTCTCCTGTGTTCAAGCAATTCTCCTACCTCAGTCTCCCGAGTAGCTGGGATTACAGGCGCCCGCCACCATGCCCAGCTAATTTTTGTATTTTTAGTGGAAACGGGGTTTCACCACGTTGGCCAGGCTGGTCTCTAACTCCTGACCTCAGGCGATCCGCCCGCCTCGGCCTCCCAAAATGCTGGGGTTACAAGCGTGAGCCACCGCGCCCGGCCCACAATTTTTGACTGGTGTAAATTACCCAAGAATCTTCAGCAGAGGCATATTATGAAACTTATGCTTATTTAGTTTAGCCTATCTCTTTTTTCAGCCTGGGCGGCCTTTCAAAAAGATGTTTAGGGTAACTACTGCACCTGAGATAGGAATACATTTTATTTGAAGAGTTGACTTCCGGTCTTTTTTTTTTTTTTTTTTTTGAGACAGAATCTCACTCTGCCGCCCAAACTGGAGTGCAGTGGCGCCATCTCGGCTCACTGCAACCTCCGTCTCCCTGGTCCAAGCGATTCTCCCACCTCAGCCTACCGAGTAGCTGGGATTACAGGCACGCACCACCACGCTTGGCTAATTTTTGTATTTTTAGTAGTAGAGACGGGGTTTCACCATGTTGGCCAGGCTGGTCTCCAACTCCTGACCTCAAGCGACCCACCTGCCTCAGCCTCCCTAAGTACTGGGATTACTGGCGTGAGCCACTGCGCCTGGCCCTGATTGTGTTATTTTTAAAGGGCTTTCAAGTGGGTCATCTCATCTGATCCTCATGGCAGCTGTGTGTGAGAAGCTGGGCAAGAACTGTTATTCCCGTCTACAGTGAAGGGAATTGAGGCTCAAAGGTGAAAAGATTTGCCAGTAAATCACCTGGAGTAAAGTAATGCTCAGGTCTTCTGATTTTGAGCATATAGTTTCCATTAACACCTGCACTCCCATCCCGCCCCCTCTTTTCCAAACTGAACCCATAGGTAGGCAAAGGAGGAAGTTCTTCTTTGTGCCAGTTCTGTTTCTTCCAAGTCTTGTACGTCTGCTCAGACTTCACATGATCAGAGTCTTCCCTGACCATTCTGGTTAAAATAGTAATCCTACGCACCCCATCCTAATTTTCCTTCACAGCATTTATCACCATCTGACATACTACATTTTTATTGTCTTTCTCCACTACAGCATGAGCCCCATGAGACAAGGACTTTGTTTTTTCACTTTTATATCACTAGCACTCAGAACAATGTCTGGAACAAAAGAGGCACTCAGTTTTTTTATTTTTATGTATTTATTTATTTATTGAAGCAGAGTCTTGCTCTGTCGCCCAGGCTGCAGTGCAGTGGCACGATCTCAGCTCACTGCAAGCTCAGCCTCCTGTGTTCACGCCATTCTTCTGCCTCAGCCTCCCGAGTAGCTGGGACTACAGGCTCCCGCCACCATGCTCGGCTAATTTTTTTGTATTTTTAGTAGAGACGGGGTTTCACTGTATTAGTCAGGATGGTCTCGATCTCCTGACCTCGTGATCCACCTGCCTCGGCCTCCTAAAGTGCTGGGATTACAGGTGTGAGCCACCGCGCCCGGCCTGAGGCACTCAAATATTTTTTTCAGTGAATGGATTACTCTCACCTTATTAGTGTTGGAGAGTACTTGAGCTTTGGCATTCAGGCAGACGTGGATTTTAATTTTGACTCTTGCATTTATATGGGTGACCTTGGACAAACTCCCTTTACCTCTCTGGTAGTTAATTACTCATTGTTGAAGATATCAATTCCTGCCTTCAAGATGATTGCTTGTATTAAATAAGATAATATGTAGAAAGCCCCTAACACTGTCCCTGGCTCACAGTAGGTCTTCAAGAAATGGTAGCTATCATTGTATATTCTCTGCTCTGTGTATTCTACACTTCCTCCAGGCAAAGATGGAACTTCTCATTTCCACATCCGTTAGTAAGACAGGAATGAATGAGCGACTTTTTTGGTTTTTTTTGAGACAGGGTCACGCTCTGTTACACAGGCTGGAGTACAGTTGTTACTGCAACCTGAAACCTCCTGGGCTCAAGGGATCATCCCACCACCTCAGCCTCCTGAGTAGCTGGGACCACAGCTGGCACCACTACACCTAGCTAATTTTTTGTTATTATTATTATTATTATTATTTGGGTAGAGACTAGGTCTCGCTATGATGCCCAAGCTGGTCTGAACTCCTGGGCTCAAGCAGTCCTCCTGCCTCAGCCTCCTAAAGTGCTGGGATTACAGGCGTGAGCCACTGCGCCTGGCTTTAATAACTTTTTTTTTTTTTTGAGATGGAGTTTTGCTCTTGTTGCCCAGGCTGGAGTGCAATGGCGCGATCTTGACTCACCGCAACCTCCGCCTCCCAGGTTCAAGCGCTTTTCTTGCCTCAGCCTCCCGAGTAGCTAGGATTACAGGCATGTGTCACCACACCTGGCTAATTTTTTTTGTATTTTTAGTAGAGACGGGGTTTTACATGTTGGTCAGGCTGGTCTCAAACTCCCAACCTCAGATGATCCACCTGCCTTGGCCTCCCAGAGTGCTGGGATTACAGGCGTGAGCCACCGTGCCCAGCCTTGAATAACTATTTTTAAATCATTTTTAAAGCACTCAATAATGAAAGCATTTTGACCTTTCTGTTTTGAGAGATTTTCAGCACATATTATTTTGTTAACCACCCCATTCACTATAGCAACTTCACCTTCCCTGTATTCTTGAAACATTTCTGTCTCCCAACTTAGGGTGGTCACAGCAGGAAGAGCAGTCTCCGAAAGCTCCCATTACCAGATGCAGAGTTCAAACCCTCTCACTGCAGACACATCCCAGGGCCCTTCAGTTTACTTAGCAATGCATAATTTTCAAAGCACTTCCCCATTGATTTTCTTATTTTATTTTCACAGATACCATCTGCGAGGGGTTCAAGGAAGGGTTTAATTACTATCAGTATTTGGTAGGGATACTGAAAAGCTTAAATTATCAATCTCTGAGTGGGGGATGTAGTGAGGAAGTATGGAAACACCCATTAGGGTCGTGTGTGCTTGCTCACGTGCCTGTAATCCCAACACTTGGGGCAGGAGTTTGAGACCAGCCTGGGCAACATGGTGAGATCACAGTCTCTGCAAAAAATAAAAAATTAGCCAGGCATGGGGGTGTACACCTGTAGTTCTAGCTACTCAGGAGGCTGTGGCAGGAGGATCCCCACACTACTGCACTTCAGTCTAGGCAACAGAGTGAGACCCTGTCTCCAAAAAAAAGAAAAATAAACTAAAATTAAAACAAACAAAAAAACCCCACCCATTAGAATCAGCTGGGACTCAGAGTGAATTCTGTATGGTCAATAACCAATCCAGGGCCAGGCACAGTGGCTAATGCCTATAATCCCAGCACTTTGGGAGGCCGAGTTGGAAGGATCATTTGAGGTCAGGAGTTCGAGACCAGCCTGGCTAACATGGTGAAACCCCGTCTCTACTAAAGATCCAAAAAATTAGCTGGGCGTGGTGGCACACGCCTGTAATCCCAGCTACTCAGGAGGCTGAGGCAGGAGAATTACTTGAACCCAGGAGGCGGAGGTTGCAGTGAGCCAAGATCGCGCCATTGCACTCCAGCCTGGGCGACGGGGCGACTCCGTCTCAAAAAACAAACAAACACACAAAAAACTCTTAGGTCACATTTTAACAGATTTTCAACGCAGGATGGCTTCCTTTTGGTCTGCTCAGAAAGCAAAAATTTATATCAGGTTCCAATGACCCCACCTTGGCCCTAAGCTTCTAACTGTTGGGTTGGGAGAGAGAGAACTCCAGTTTTAGTTTGTAGGAAGGTGACTGGGGGATATCTGAATGGGGTTTAGGAGGAGACAGAAAGTGAAGAATCAATGCAGTTGCTGTGGTCAGCTGCCTCTGGCATGGAGTTGGAGGCCATTTGGTGCTACACATTCTATAGGTTTCTGAGAAAAACTTTTCCAGAAAAAGAAAACAAAACAACAACACACACACACATTTTTAAACAAATAAGTAAATAGATAGTAGCTGGGCTTTTCACTGTTGGAGAAAGAAGTTATAAATAGGGAAAAAAAGAAAGCTAAAATGAACCTTGTGGTATTGAATTGGAATCAGATGTATCAGCATAAACTCATGGCTTTAATTTTATTTTTACTTTATTTATTTTTGAGACGGAGTCTTGCTCTGTCATCCAGGCTGGAATGCAGTGGCGCGATCTTGGTCACTGCAGCCTCCGTCTCCCAGGTTCAAGTGATTCTCCTGCCTCAGCCTCCTGAGTAGCTGGGATTACAGCAATGTACCACCGCCCAGCTAACTTTTGTATTTTTAGTAGAGACAGGGTTTCGCCATGTTGGCCAGACTGGTCTCGAACCAGCCTGATTGGTCTCAATTGGTTATTGACCATATGGTTTTGCCACGTTGGCCAGGCTGGTCACAAACTCCTGACCTCAAATGATCTGCCTGTCTCAGCCTCCCAAAGTGCTAGGATTACAGGTTAGAGCCACCATGCCCAGCTGTAAAACTCATGGTTTTTAAAAATAGATACAGACAGATCAATACAGAAATATAAATATGTAAGTATGTATGGGTTCGTGTATTACATATATTACCTAGCCTCTGGGAGGGTCTAGAAGCAATTACACCCTAAAAATTGAACACACCTAACACCCAGACATAAACAGCATTCTCCAATAACCCAGAAACCAGTTACCCTTGGAGAATGGTTGTTTTCAGGACTGGGCAGAGAAAATCCAAAATGAGTCAACAACATCGTATGTGCCAGGAAGTTAGGAAAGGCTCAAAACCAGATGCAGGCTTGTGAAAAGAACACAGGAGCCAGTGTGAAGGAGTTCATAATGACCTAAGTAGGAACAATTTAACTGAAAAGTAATGACCATATGGGGTTTTGATCCACAGAGTAAAACAAATATGATATAAATAATCAAATAAATAAATAGATAAATAGGGGAGGAATGAGGGAAGAGGCAGCTTTCTTTCTTTCTTTTTTTTTGAGACGGAGTCTCGCTCTGTTGCCCAGGCTGGAGTGCAGTGGCGCGATCTCGGCTCACTGAAAGCTCTGCCTCCCGGGTTCACACCATTCTCCTGCCTCAGCCTCCAGCTGGGACTACAGGCGCCCGCCACCATGCCCGGCTAATTTTTTTTTTTGTTGTATTTTTAGTAGAGACGGGGTTTCACTGTGTTAGCCAGGATGGTCTCGATCTCCTGACCTTGTCATCTGCCCGCCTCGGCCTCCCAAAGTGCTGGGATTATAGGCGTGAACCACCACGCCTGGCCCGAGGCAGCTCTTTCTTACAGTGGAAGTTCAATCAATAAATGTAGAAGAAAGAGAGAAATAGAGAATTACCACTAGGCAGACACTGGAGTAATACAAATTTCAGGCTGGGCACAGTGACTCATGTAGTGACTAATGCCTGTAATCCCAGCACTTTGTGAGGCCAAGGCAGTAGGAGGATCACTCGAGGCCAGGAGTTTGAGACCAGCCTGGGCGACAAAGTGAGACCCTGTCTATACAAAAATATAAAATAAAAAAATTAGCAGAGCAGGGTGGCACACACCTGTTGTCCCAGCTACTTGGGAGGCCGAGGCGGAAGGATTGCTTGAGGCGAGGAGGTCAAGGCTGCAGCAAGCCTTCATCGCACCACAGTGCTCCAGCCTGGGTGACAGAGCAAGACCCTGTCTCTAAAAACATAAATAAAAATAAACATTTCAGGCAAGATCCATAGATGATACTAAAATTAGTGGGTGACAAGGAGGAGAAACAGAATTTATATAGTCTCAAAAGTACTTCCTGCAGCCGGGCACGGTGGCTCACGCCTGTAATCCCAGCACTTTGGGAGGCTGAGGCAGGTGGATCACAAGGTCAGGAGTTCAAGACCAGCCTGGCCAAGATGGTAAAACCCTGTCTCTACTAAAAATACAAAAATTAGCCAGGCGTGCTGGCAGGCGCCTGTAATCCCAGCTACTCGGAAGGCTGAGGCAGGAGAATCACTTGAACCCGGGGGGTGGAGGTTGCAGTGAGCCGAGATTGCGCCACTGCACTCCAGCCTGGGCAACAGAGTGAGACTTCCTCTCAAAAAAAAAAGTACTTCCTGCAAGATAATTATGAACTACAAAAACTTTACAGTGGGGAAAACCTGGCAGACACCAATTTAACTACATGATCAAAGGTAAATATCACCAGTAATAAGACATATACACAACAGACAAAATGAATCCCTTGATATGATGCACTGGGAAGAACACATCGTTTTTGTTCATTCTCATCAAGCATATATAACCTCATTCCAAACATGAGAAAACATCAGACAAACACATATTGAGGGATATTCTACAGATAACTGATTTATATTATTATTTGTATTAGTTTTCTATTGCTGCAAAACAAAGCACCATAAACTGAGCAGCTTAAAACAATTGCCATCTAATATCTCACAGTTTCTATGGGTCTGGAGTCTAGCATATTCTAACTATGCTCTGCTCTGGGTCTGAAATCAAGGTGTCGGCCAGCTGCATTCACATCTGGAGGCTCAATTAGGGAAAGGTAGTTTTTCTTTTTGTTTTTTGAGATGGAGTTTCACTCTTGTTGTCCAGGCTGGAGTGCAGTGGTGCAATCTGAGCTCACTGCAACCTCCACCTCCCAGGTTCAAATGATTCTGCTACCTCAGCTTCCCAAGTAGCTGGGATTACAGGTGCACGCCACCACACCCAGCTAATGTTTTTGTATTTTTAGTAGAGACAGGGTTTCACCATGTTGGACAGGTTGGTCTCGAACTTCTGACCTCAGGTGATCCACCCATCTTGGCCTCCCACAGTGCTGGGATTACAGGCATAAGCCACCATGCCCACCAGGCAAAGGTAGTTTTTCAAGCTGCCTTACACTGTTGGTTGAAATCATTTCCTAGCAGCTGTGGGACTGAGGCTGTATTGCTAGCCAGCAGCAGCTGAGAACCTCTCAGCTCCTGGAAAAAACTCTTGGGTCTTTGCCATGTAACCACTTCCTTAGATTCTCTCATACTTGCAAGCAAGCTTCTCTGACTTCAGGAAGGGCCTGGTTATTTTAAAGGGCTCACCTGATTAGATCAGGCCCACCCAGATAATCTCTCTTTTGATAAGTCAAAGTGAACCGATAAGTAATGTTATCACAGGAGTGATATCCCATCACATTCACAGGTTCTGCCTGTACTCAAGAGTGTATACAAGGTATGTACATTCAGCGGTGGAAACCTTAGGGATCATCTTAGAATTCTGCCTGTCACAGTACTCTGCAAAAGTGTCAAGGTCACGAAAGATAAGGAAAGACTGAGAAGCTGTTACAGACTGGGGATTGAGAAGAAATAAATACTAAATGCACTGTGTAATCATGGATAGGACCAGGGAACAGAAAAGGGACATTAGTGGGAAAATTGATGAATTTCAAATAAATTCTAAGGTTTAGTTAATGATATTGTATAAATGTTAATTTCCTGTTCTTGATCATTGTATTATGGTTATATAAGATGTTCACATTGGGGAAGTGGAGTGGAGGATATAAGAGAACTCTTTGGGCTGTGCATGGCGGCTCATGCCTATAATCCCAGCACTTTGGGAGGCCGAGGCCGGCGGATCACAAGGTCAGGAGATGGAGACCATCCTGGCTAACACAGTGAAACCCCCTCTCTACTAAAAAATACAAAAAATTAGCCGGGCATGGTGGTGGGCGCCTGTAGTCCCAGCTACTCGGGAGACTGAGGCAAGAGAATTGCTTGAACTGGGAGGCGGAGGTTGCAGTGAGCCGAGATCGTGCCACTATACTCCAGCCTGGGCGACAGAGCAAGACTCCGTCTCAAAAAAAAAAAAAAAGAATTCACTTTCTGCTGATCCTGCTGCATATTGCCATAGCACTGTCTTCAGGTCCACTCTTCTACAATTCTTCTTTGGAATAACTAAGACAAAATGATTTATTATTAATAATAACAGGAAGTTTTATTAAGTATTTTCTATGTTCCAGCCACTGTGCTGAGTAAGTGAACCACATCAATTATCTATATAAATGATCAGGTAAGTTTCTCCCAGGTTTGGTAGGCATGTTTTCCATGTGATCTCTCCAGTCAATGAAGGCACAATCCCTCAGTGATAGCAGGTAAACCACATCTGAGAAATCTTGGAGAAACTCATCTAAGCATTTTTCAAAAATAGAAGTTAACAGCTACTGAATATTGAGCATGTATTCTGAGTCTGGCATTGTGCTAATAAGCACTTTACATGAATAAACTCAATCCCTACATTAACACAAGTTAGAGACTAGTAGCATCACAGGCTTATGTTGAGTCAGAGCCCAAAGTCTTAGCCATTACACAACTTTTCCTAACGAAGGAACTTGTGTGTGTGTGTGTGTGTATGTGTGTGTGTAAAGTCTTCTGCATTACTTTTTCTCAAAAATATTGAACACTTTCCTTATTCACAAATAGAAGATAGTAAATACAATTTAATCTTTTCCTGATAAAGGTTATTGCTATCCTGATTTTTGTATCACATGATAGATGTAGAACTCTTAAGCACTAACTCAAATCATGCTCTGAAAATAAACAAATCTCTTAATTGCCTCCTTTTCTTGTCATCTGTTTCTTTCCCATAGAATCAAAGTGTAGCATGTGGCCTCTGGGCAGGGTAATATGTCCTCTTATTACATTAAAGATGAGAATTTAGTTTGTGATAAATCTGGCACTTTACGTAAGTGGGGAAAATATTAATTATTTAATAAACAGTGTTGGGACAACTAGGTGGCCAACTGGGGAAAAAATAAATTAGATTTGTCTCACCCCTTCACCAAAATAAATGCCAACTGAATCAAAAGACTTAAATGTGAAAAAGAAACAATAAACATGCCAGTAAGAAAACATGAAGTGATTTTTCAAAATAACTTTGGAGTAGGGAAGCTTTCTAAGCACGACACAAAATTCAGACCCACAATAGCAAAGACTGATGTATTTGACTCTACAAGTAATTATTCTGATTGAAAAATACCATGAACAGTAAAAAATGTAAATGATAATCTCGGAAGAATATATTCACACCACAATGATGGAGGGTTAAGTAATACAG
Organism: Homo sapiens; assembly: GCF_000001405.40. Lineage (NCBI taxonomy): Eukaryota > Metazoa > Chordata > Mammalia > Primates > Hominidae > Homo > Homo sapiens. Next base: position 72,443,972 of record NC_000011.10, read on the forward strand.
AGAACTCTTATAAAATATGAAAAAGACCTACAATGCAGTAAGTGAACAAAGACAATGCCTCTGCTAGCTTATGCAGTGCCTCTGGGAAAAGTAAAGAAAGCAGCCATCTCAGGATGAATTAGAAAAAGGGGCCCCTAAGCAGTGTACATGTCCCAGGGAGCAGCATGCTGCCAGACTGCAGCCTCCACTTCTCCTATTGGTTTAGGCTTTTGAGTGGCACACGAACTGCATATCCAAACACAGCTGCCTGGGCAAAGGACTTGACCAAAGACCTCATGAGAAATGAAATATAAATCATATTTAAATATATGAAAATATGCTCAATACACCCATGACAAGAAACATACAAATTAAAACTATAGTGATCCATATCTTACAGCATATACAAAAATGAACTCAAAATGAATTATTGTCCTAAATGTAAAACCTAAGACTCCAAAATTTCTTGAAGAAAACATAGGAGAAAATCTTTGTGGCTTTGGATAAAGCAGATTTCTTAGATACAACATGAAAAACACAATGCATAAAAGAAAAAAAAAAAGATCAATTTGACTTCATCAACATTAGGAACTTTTGCTCCTCAAAAGCCACTGTTAAGAGAATGGATAAGCTGCAGAGTGGAGAAAATATTTGTAATTATACATCCAGTAAGGAACTTACATCAGAATATGAAAAGAATTCTCAAAACTCAATGATAAGAAAACCACCCAATTTTTATGTTGGAAAAAAGATTTGGAGAGATAACTTCTTACTGTCAAATAAGAACGCTAAAAAACACCCTCAATATCATTGCTCTTTAGAGAAATAAAAATTAAAACCATGAATTATATATGTATTAAAATGTCTAAGATTAAAAAGACTGGCCGTACCACATGACGATGTGGAGCAACTGGAACTCTCATATACTGCTGAAGGGGAATGTGAAATGGTACAACCACTTTTGAAAACAATTTGGCAGTTTCTTTAGAGGTTAAACAAGCATGTACCATATGATCCAGTCATTCCAACTTTTAGATTTATTATCCAAGGAAAACAAAAACATATGCTCACACAAAGACTTGTACATGAATGTTCATAGCAACTTTGTAAAAGCTACAAACTAAAAATATTACCAAAACACCAGGGGTTTGGTCTAGGTCCAGGGAGGGTCCTGCTTCTTCCATATACTAGAGGTTTGGTCTAGGTCAAGGGTTTGGTCTAGGTCAGGGGTGTGGCTTAGGTCAGGCCTGCTGCTCCCCTTTCTTGGTGCTACAGCCTAGAAGATGGGAGCTCAGTCTCAAATCCATCTCCCTGACTGATTAAAACTAGGGGTTTATACATCAGGGAAGAAATGTAACAATGTGTAAAAAAACAGGAACTAGGGAGGGGCAAAGGAAGCAATCATAATGAATGAGGGGTTGTCATCTGGTGCTGTGATCCATTGAGTTTCAGTTCTTTGATACTTTTTCCAGAGGCCTGAAGGTTGTTTCCTGAGGAAGGAACTCAGATAAAACAAATATAAATTTCAAGCTTTAAGATCAGGAGGGTCAATTTCTATGTTTATCAAAAAGAACCATCTTTGGGACTATTGGATTGGTTTCAAAAACAACCTAAACTTCTATCAATACATAAAAGGATAAACAAATTGTGGTATATCCATACAATGGAGTGTGACTCAGCAATAAAAAGGAACTATTGATATGCACAATGACATGGATGAACCTCAAGATATTAATGCTGAATGAAGCAAGTCAGTTCTACAAATAAATAAGCAAGCAAGCAAACACAGACTACACATTGTATTATCCAATTTTATAAGATTCTAGAAAATAAAAGCAAATACTGTATATAGTAACATAAAGCAGAACAGTGATTGCATGGGGATGATAGGATTACAGGGGTAGTGGGAGGAAGGGTTTACAAAGGGGCACAAGAAACTTTTGGAAGTGATGGATATAGTCATCTTGATTGTGGTGATGGTTTCAGAGGGGTACATATGTCAAAATTCATCAAATTTACACTTTAAACGTGAAATTTACTGTATGTCAGTTATACTTCAATAAAGCTGTTTCAAAAAGCTATAATGAGATATAGTTCACCTCAGACTGGCATATATACTGCATGTATTATTACGTATTATATATGTGTGTATATATATATATATATATATAAAAAAAACTGCGTGGCAAGTTTGTAAAGAAAAAACACTCATATTGTTGCTGGAAATGTAAATAGGTACAACTTCAATGGAGGGCTAATTGATAATATCAAAATATTGGAATTTAAAATCTAGATATACTTGCAGGTGTATAAAATGAGGAATGGTTTGAGATATTTGTAAGAGAAAGAGATGAGAAGCCATCTGAATGTCCATCACTGGGACATTGGTCAAATACATTAAAGCTAAACAATGGAATATTTTTTTAAACAGGGTAACACTGTTTTAATATGGAATGCACCGAGATATTTTAGGTACAAAAAAGTTCAAGGCGCAGAACAGTTGTATACAACCACTGGTGTTATTTGAAATATATATCTACTTGGCCAGGCGCAGTGGCTCATGCCTATAATCCCAGCACTTTGGGAGGCCGAGGCGGGCGGATCATGAGGTCAGGAGATCGAGACCATCCTGGCTAACACAGTGAAACCCCGTCTCTACTAAAAATACAAAAAAAAAACAAAAATTAGCCGGGCGTGGTGGCCGGTGCCTGTAGTCCCAGCTGCTCGGGAGGCTGAAGCAGGAGAATGGCATGAACCTGGGAGGTGGAGCTTGCAGTGAGCCGAGATCACGCCACTGCACTCCAGCCTGGGCTACAGAGCGAGACTCCGTCTCAACAAAAAAAAAAAAAAAAAAAAAAAAAAGAAATATACATCTACTTATGTGGTTTTATACCTAGGATATCCCTAGAAGGATATCCATCCCATGTGTATAATAAAAATTGTTGCCCATGGGTTGGGCAAAGTGGGGCTGGAGGAAAAGGGACAGAAGTAGGGAGGGAAGAAGAGTTTACTTTCCACTGTATACTTGAATTCTGTTCTATATGTACATATTACATATTCAATCCAATCAACCAATCCCTATTATTTCTATATCAATATTAACTTTAAACTACTTCTGCCATCAGGTAGAGGGAGTGCTTTTAATTTCATCCAGACTGCCACATTTTTTCTCAAGTAGAGACACTGACATCTTGTGGGCTTTTGGGATAATGCAGTGAAATAGCATTAAAATCAGCATATTCACCATTCCATTCCATTCCACTCCACTCCATTCTTCTCAACAAATTATTTGGCATTCAATGCCTATGCTGGGCTTTTGTCCAACTCTCTAAAGCTTACAAAGTTTCAATAATATTCAGCCTCATTTATTGAGCACCTGTAAGGCATGGGTTACTGAAACTGTAGTCATGAAGAAGCCATGGAGCTCTGGAGGGGCATGCAGACAATAGGCCATGTCAGCAGAGAGTGGTGAGTGCCACGATTGAGATAATTCTGGTGTCCCTGGGAGCACATAGCAAGCCGAGTGGTCAGAGAAGGCTTCCTGAAGGAAGTGACATCTAAGCTGAGCTCTGCAGGAGGAGCTAGAATTGACCAGACGAAAGGGATTACAGTAGCTGATGTAGGGTGGGGCACTTGGAGAATAGGGTCACTGTAGGTAAAGGGAACCCTACGGGCAAATGAGCAGAGGCAAGAGTGCAATTCTTTTTTTTTTTTTTTTTTTTTTTGGCAATGCATGTTTGAGGAACTGAGTGTTCAGTGTGGATTAAGTGTAGAGTGGGAGGGGCTAAGAGGGGATAATGAGGCTGAACCAGAGGGGTTAAGTAACTTACTAGGTTCTCCCAGCAAGTACTTAGTGCACCAAGAATTTGAACCCAGGGCTAAATGACTTAACCATTTTCTCTTATACTCATCATGAAGACTTTGCTCCACGAGCCTTTACTAGACCCCATGCCTACTGCCACTCTGCTTCTTCCAACTGGGCACAAAGCTTAGCCAACTGCTTTCCCTCTCTTGCTCCTTATTTCCCTCTCCTTCCTTCCTTCCACATTGCTTGTTTTCTGCAGCCTTGGTGCTAGGGAGAAGACAGAGAAGGCACTTTGGGTCAGGAGGTGATAATTCAGATCTCAGAGGAACTGTCCACTCTGCTCATGTTGATAGATAAAGCTGATAGATGAAAATGATTCCTGCATCAGAGCCTCTCTCCGTCTCTCCAGCTTAGTAGAGCAGGGTGGGGCCTGGGGTGGGGATGGTGGATGAGCCCTGGCATTGAAAGCTGCGTCTCTCGGTAGTAGCCCTCTGTCTGTTCATGGGCAAATAAATGTGTGTACGTGTTTACTGAGTGCTTACTATGAGCAAGACTCTGCTTTTGCTGCTTATGCTACATTAATTCCAACAACAATCCTATGAGGAAGAGATTCTCTCCACTTTACAGATTCAAAAAACCCAAAATGGAGCAGCCTTGCTAGTGAAGTATGCAGCATGTCAGTCTCAAAAAAAAAAAAAAAATATATGTATATATATATATATATAAAGGTTAAGTAATTTGGCCAGGGTCACCTAGCTTGTAAATGGCAAAAATGGGGCTCAAATGGTCTGAATCCAAAGCCCAGACTGTTTACCACTACAAAATCCCAGCTCCTAGGAAAAAACAAAGATCCACATGTGATAGATATCCTTGAAGTTTGCCTAAGGTATGGAGGAAGAGAAGAATTGAAAGTATAGTCAACACAGTGCTGAGCCAATATGATACATTCTGAGCTGTGATGTGTGCGAGGGTGCACTCTCACATAACTGAACCAAAGGCACAAACAAATGAAAGGGAGGAAGGAAAACTCCAGGCAGGAAGGAATTCCCAGATGCTCAGCTGCACAGATGGCTCTTCCTTGAGAGCTAATGGGATGACCACCATCACTCCTTTTCCAAGCTTGAAGGCTCCCAGTCTTTCTAACTGGACAGGCATAAGACAAACTCTTTTTTCTTCTTCATTCATCTGAGATATTGGACAGCCTTCAAATATAACCTTACTAGAATGCTGACAAAATAACAAAACCTTAAAAAGCAAAGGGACAAGTGTAATTCTAGAGCACATATTTTTGATAGAACGGCGAGTGAGTGAACTCTGGCCATAGATGTGCTGGCTGGGCCCTCTGGTGGGCAATGAAACTTCTACTCTTTCCTTTCCCTCCACCCCATATCTGTTTTGCTTGGATGATGGAGCAAGCTACTTTGTCTCCTGTCACAGGATGGGTTCTCTGGAAGCAGAAGCTGAGATAGAGCTGTGGGTGCAAGATGGTTATTAGGGATCAATATCTGTGAGGAGAAGCGGGAGGGAGCAGGATTGGGCAGAGGAAGAAACTGAACTGTGATGCAGACCTGGCCAAGGCTTGGTCAACTGTATTAGTCCATTCTCACGCTGCTATGAAGAAATACCCAAGACCGGGTAATTTTTTTTTTTTTTTTTTTTGAGACGGAGTCTCGCTCTGTTGCCCAGGCTAGAGTGCAGTGGCACGATCTCGGCTCACTGCAACCTCTGCCTCCCGGGTTCACGCCATTCTCCTGCCTCAGCCTCCGGAGTAGCTGGGACTACAGGCGCCTGCCACCATGCCCAGCTAATTTTTTTTTTTTTTTTTTTTTTAGTAGAGACGGGGTTTCACTGTCAAGATGGTCTCGATCTCCTGACCTCATGATCTGCCCGCCTCAGCCTCCCAAAGTGCTGGGATTACAGGCGTGAGCCATCGCGCCCAGCCAAGACTGGGTAATTTATAAAGGAAAGAGGTTTAATTGACTCACAGTTCCTCATTGCTGGGAAGCCCTCAGGAAACCTAATCATGGCAGGAGGGGAAGCAATCACGTCCTTCTTCACGTGACGGCAGGAGAGAGAAGAATGAGAACCGAGCAAAGGGGGAGCCCCTCATAAAAGCATCAGATATCATGAGAACTTACTATCACGAGAATAGCATGGGGGAAACTGCCCCCATGCTTCAATTACTTCCCATTGGGTCCCTCTCACGGCACGTGGGAATTATGGGAACTACAATTCAAGATGAGATTTGAGTGGCGACACAGCCAAACCATATCAACAACCCAGAGTTACTCCAGAGTATTGACTGTCGGAGCGGTTCTGCATCAGACTAAGTGGCTGAGCCTCTGTAACCCTTTTCCGTTCCCCTGACCTCCAACCTAGCTCAGTCACCAGCAAGGGCTGCTGAAGCAGACTCTGAAAGAGCTCACGGCAACAGTCTGTCTGCTGACTACATTCTCTAAGCCTGGGCAGCAAGTGTTTCCTTGAAGACTGATGTGAGCAGTACATGTCTATGACCACCAACATTTTTAACATTGTTCATTCGCTGATTGATTATTCAATGTGTTGGGTGCTAGCCACCATGTTGGGTGCTAGGGGACAGAAGAGGATACAGGGATGAAGCACAAGTGGATCCCACCCTCAAGTTTGGCCTAGTGGGGGACTCGGATCACTATGGATTAGGGCAGTGAATTCAGAAGGCAGGAGAATACCTAGACAGGGTCATTGCTCCTACTTAGGCAACCTCTGCTCGGGGTCCCTCTCAGTAGAACTTTTCCAAAAAAAGTAGTTCACATTTGGCCGGGTGCAGTGGCTCACGCCTGTAATCCCAGCACTTTGGGAGGCCGAAGCGGGTGGATCACGAGGTCAGAAGATCGAGACCACCCTGGCTAACACGGTGAAACCCCGTCTCTACTAAAAATACAAAAAATTAGCTGGGCGTGGTGGTGGGCGCCTGTGGTCCCAGCTACTCAGGAGGCTGAGGCAGGAGAATGGTGTGAACCCGGGAGGCGGAGCTTGCAGTGAGCCGAGATCGTGCCACTGCACTCCAGCCTGGGCGACAGAGCAAGATTCTATCTTCAAAAAAAAAAAAGCACCAAGTTATGACACTATTTATTATTATTATTATTATTACTTTTTTTTTTTTTTTGGCAGATGCCAAAATCTTGGTGTTTCCCGAATTTGCAGCCCTTTTCTGTACAGGCCTATGACTGCAAAAGAAAGGCACTCCCTGCCAGGTGCACTGGTTCATGCCTGTAATCCCAGCACTTTGGGAGGCCAATTACTTTTCTTCTATAGAGAATCTACTCTTCTGTGCCATCAAAAACTCAGGATGCACGGGACAGAAGGGAGGGAGTGGTGGGAGACGGGGCTGAAAGGTAGGCTGGAATTAGCTTGTGAGAAGCCTTATGAGCAATGCTAAGGAATTTAGAATTGATTTACTGAGGAGGTGATCACACTTCAGATGACTGGTTATTGTGATGGGGGTTTAGTGGATAGCAAGAAGGTATCAGATCAGAAAAACAAGCCAGATTTTGGGGATGTGAAAAGGTTCTTAATAGGTAGCAAGGATAGGTAGCAAGGAGAAGACATAAGAATTTCCATGGAGTTTGGATGCAACAGCAAGAGCACCATTAATTCGTAGGAGTGCCTTTCTTTCTTTCTTTCTTTCTTTCTTTCTTTCTTTCTTTCTTTCTTTCTTTCTTTCTTTCTTTTTTTTTTTTTTTTTTTGAGACAGAGTCTCACTGTGTCACCCAGGCTGGAATGCAGTGGCGTGATCTCGGCTAGCTGCAACCTCTGCCTCCCGGGTTCAAGCAATTCTCCTGCCTCAGCCTCCTGAGTAGCTGGGACTACAGACGCGCGCCACCATGCCCAGCTAATTTTTTGTATTTTTAGTAGAGACAGGGTTTCACCGCGTTAGCCAGGATGGTTTCGATCTCCTGACCTCGTGATCTGCCTGCCTCTGCCTCCCAAAGTGCTGGGATTACAGGCGTGAGCCAGTGCACCCAGCCAGGAGTGCCTTTCTTTTGCAGTCATGGGCCTGTACAGAAAAGGGCTGCAAATTCAGGAAACACCAAGATTTTGGCGTCTGCCAATTCTTTAACATACCTTCCATCAGGATGTGGGGTCTTTGTCCCTTCCCTTGAATCTGGGAAGGAGTTGTGATTGCTTAAATAGAATAAGGCAGAAGTGACGCCATGCCATTGTCCAGGCTCAGGTCTTAAGACACTAGTAACTTTCACTTACTGTCTTTTGATATGTGTGCTCTTGGAATCACGAGGAAGTTGGCGTTGACCCATGGTGAAGCCTATGTGGAGAGGAACTGAGGACCTTGGCCTACAGCCTTAGCTGAGCTCTTAGGTGACAGCCAGCCCCTGCTTGCTAGCCATCTTGGAAGGGGATTCTCCAGCCCCAGTCAAACCACCCCAGCTAATGCTGTGTGGTACAGAGATGAATCAGCCCCATCAAACATTGCCCAGATTGCAGATTCATGAGCAAAATAAGTGATTATTGTTGCTATAAGTCATTAAGCTTTGGGTAAGAGTTTGTTACTGTCTATTGTTTGTTACACAGCAATAGATAACCATGACAGCTGCTCATGCAGTTTGCCAGGAGGTGAGAAGGGAGAAGATATTTGCAATAAATATAACTGACAAAAGGCTCACATCTATGATTTAGTCTGCTCAGGCTGCCATAATAAAATCCCACAGACTGTGTGGCTTAAACAATGCATATTTATTTTCTCACAGTTCTAAAGGCTAGAAGTCCATGATTAAGCTACTAGCAAATTCAGCTCCTAATGAGGTTTCTATTCCTGGCTTGTAGATGGCTGCCTTCTTGTCATATCCTCACATGGCCTTTCCAGAGAGACAGCTCTGGTGTCTTTTCTTCTTTTTATAAGAACACCAGCCTTATCAGATTAAGGCTAGTCCCTTATGACCTCACTTAACCTTTGTTTCCTCCTTAGAGGCCCTATCTCTAAATACAGTCACATTGGGGGTTAGGGCGTCAACATAGAATTTTAGGGTGGGTACAGTTCAGTCCATCACTTCTTAGCATATAAAAAAGAATTCCTACAGATAAATGTTTTAAATAGACAAAATACTTGAACAAGCACAAGAAATGCAGATGGCCAATAAGCATATGAAAAGTGATTGATTTTATCAGTCATTAGGGAAATACAGAATGAAAACATGTTACAACTCTGTACCCACCAAAATGGTAAAAATCTGACAACATCAAATAATGGCCCCAACTAAAGCTGCTGTGCCATATTGTGTCTTTGTTGAAATGGATCAATTCAGTCTATGGCATTTGGCATGTGGCTACTGATCTGTCAAATGTGTTATTTTCTGTCACTGTCACTAAAAGCAGTTTACATCTATAGGAGAAGGTCATCAATACATGTTCACTGTCTTGTCCCATAACTATATTATTTCTCCTGCTCTCTGTCAAGACGTAGTCCACAGGGGCCTTGATCTTTATGTTTCACATATTGGTCCACTATATTGATGGCATCATGCTGATTAGGCCTGGACAATAGAAAGTGTCAAATATTCTGAATCCCCTAGTAAGACAAATGCATGCCAGAAGGTGGGGAATAAACTCTGTAAGAAATCAAGGGTCTACCACATTGGTGAAATTTTTAGGAGTTCAATGATCTGAGGAATTCTAGGATCTTCTTCTTCTTCTTCTTCTTCTTCTTCTTCTTCTTCTTTTTTTTTTTTTTGAGATGGAGTCTCACTCTGTTGCCCAGGCTGGAGCACAGTGGTGCAATCTCGGCTCACTGCAACCTCCACCTCCTGGGTTCAAGCAATTCTCTGCCTCAACCTCCTGAGTAGCTGGGATTACAGGTGCCCGCCACCATGGTTGGCTAATTTTTGTAGTTTTAGTAGAGACAGGGTTTTACCATCTTGGCCAGGCTGGTCTTGAACTCCTGACCTCATGATCCACCAGCCTTGGCCTCCCAAAGTGCTGGGATTACAGGCGTGAGCCACCATGCCCGGCCTCTGGGACATTCTTCTAAAACAAATGGCAAGTTATTGCATCTTCTAAACCCATATCACTAGAGAAGAGGTGGTGTTTTGTGGGTGGGGGGGATTTGGATTTGGGGAGCAATATACATTACACTTAGGAACACTGTTCTGACCTATTTCTCAAGTGACTAGGAAGGGTGCCAGTTTCAAGTGGAGCTCAGAGAAATATAGGGCCTTACAGCAAATCTGGGCTACAGTGGAAGCTGCCTTGCCGCTTAGTGGGTAAATGGTATATTTGGGATCAGTCCAGAGCAGATTCTAAGTTACAAGTAAGTTACATGAAGGAGTGGCCCAGTCTATATCACCCACTTTTGTAGCATTCAGCAAACCTCCTCCTTAATTCACACATGCAACCTCATGGAGGTTTTCCTTACAACCAGCTAACAAAGGAGAAAAAAAAATTGGGATGGCTATGGATGGGGGGGACTCAATATGTTTTTGTAACCAAAGCTGGACAGCTGCCACACTAATACTTCACTAAGTGGGACCCTAAAAGCAAGTGTAGTGAATAGTACACTTGGTTGTTACTTTGAATGGAGGGAAAGTAGTTTGAGGTAAGAATATACATAAACTCCTGGGCAGTGGAGAATGATTTAGCTGGTTGCTCAGGATTCTGGAAAGGTCAAGATTGGAGAATTAGAGACAAGCTGATGCAGGGGAAGAATCATGTGGCTGGATATTTGGAAGCAGATACAAAGTGAAGTGAAAGGACCACTTCTAATGGAGGGGGATGTGATTCTCCCTTACTGAAACTGACACCTGCTCTTGAAATGTTTGCCTTTCCTGCCTTAAGTGCCTTTCCCAGCACCACTATCCCAAAGGCCTGGAGTTGGGGAATGCCTGATCAACCCATATGGGATCCCAGAAGATGTTGCCCCAGACCGAAGGATCCATTTTACGGCCAAGGAGGTGCATAACAATAATCACAGTAGCCACTCGTTCTACCGTATATTGTATACTTGAAAGCAGCTGGCAAACAGAATGGTGAGATGGCCTATTAAAGGCTCATCTAAAGTGCCAACTTGGGGACAGTATTTTGAGGGTGGAGTCCTGTCCTCCAGGAAACCAATAGCCAACATATAAAGATGGAAGATTGGCCCCTCTCACCATCACTCCTAGTAACCAACCCCCAAATATTCGCTCATCCCCTCAACCTTGGGCTGCTGGATTTAAGGTCCTCATTCCCTGGGAGGAGGACTTTTCCACTAGGGGGCACAAAAAAGTCTCCGCTCAATCTGAATCTGTAACTGTGATCCGGTCACTTTGAGCTCCTTATGCCTGTGGACCAGCAGGCGCTAAAAGTTATACTGACAGCAGTGGTTGACCCTAATTATCATAATGACCTAGAGTAGCTGCCAATAATGAGGACAGTGAAAAAAATGTCTAGAATGTTGGAATTCTATGGTGTCTCTCAGTAATTCCAAGCCTAGTAATAACTGTGAATGAGCAATTGCAGCAACCACCACCTGACAAAGGCAAGACAACCAAGAGCTTAGACTCCTGAGCAATGAAGATCTCAGTCCTCCTGCCAGGCAGGCAAAGTAGACAAGATGGAATGCTAGAGTGGGGGTGGAGGGGAGGGTGTGGAGAGAAGAAAGATAATGTCTATTACCATTTTGGGTAACCAGTGGGATTGTAGCTTGTCTCAATAATCCCTATACATTAAATCTTTGTCTTTTTCACTTACTCCAACATGAAGCTTAATATTAAATCTTTTCTAGAGGCTGCAGCTGGCTAACATCTTTAACAGGGTGGATTTAACAGAATGGATATGGGATACAAAGGAATCTTAGTGGCGCAAGAAGTGACCAGAGTCTATGGTGCCCTGTGTCAAAACTCCTTAGCTTCCCTCTGACTTTGGCTATTACTGTGATTGATAGTTCTTTGTGACTGCAAACTCATCTTGTGGTGACTATTCCCACCTCAGGCAGGAATCTGTTTGCATCCTTATTTAATGTTTCATTTTTTTGATATTTAAACTACCAGAACCCAGTGGTAATTAAGATTTGCTTTTCAAATGGAGAAGAGCTGGCAGAAAAGGGCATGCTTTTACTCCAAACCTCAAAGAGTCTGCACTGTGATTCTCCTTTTGGGGCTTGGCAGAGGCTCCCCATACAATTTCTCTTTCTTCTACAGACACTTCCCACACCATGGGGTTTGCTGAGTCTCAAGACCCAAGCGGCAGGGCAGCTTGAATAACTGAGACCTGCTACAGGTATTTTTCTTGCTTTGGGTCCTACACAAGACTGTAAACCTGGATGGGCGTGGTGGCTCATGCCTGTAATCCCAGCACTTTGGGAAGTCAAGGTAGGGGGATCTCTTGAGGTCAGGAGTTCAAAACCAGGCTGGCCAACATAGTGAAACCCCATCTGTACTAAAAATACAAAAATTAGCCAGGCATGGTGGCACACACCTGTAATCCCAGCTACTCGAGAGGCTGAGGCACAAGAATTGCTTGAACCTGGGAGACAGAAGTTGCAGTGAGCTGAGATCATGCCACTGCACTGCACTCCAGCCTGGGTGACGGAGTTAGAGAAACTCTGTCTAAAAAAAACAAAACAAAAACAACAAAACTGTAAACCTTATAGATTCCTTGGTGAATGGACTGGAGCTACAAGTTCAAATGTAGAATATGTTGCCTCCAAAATCCAAACAGGCCTACCAAGCATTGTGCCTCTTTATTCATAGTGGACAATGTATGGTGAAGCAAACTGTCTGTCATTTTAAAGCTACTGTCAACATGCCGCAGGCCTTGGACCCCTAGAAACTTCCCTATGTGTCAGGTCCCTGAATTTTCACAGGGTTTATTGGCCAGCTTTTGAAACGCATGTGTTCCACTAGAGTATGTGGGATGCTTGATACTTCTTTCTCACCAGGTCCAATTAGCATAATGTCATCAATGTAATGGAATAGCATAATGTTCTGTGGGTTATCAAGGTAATCAAGGCCCCTTCTGGCTATAATATACCAAAGTAAAGAAGGTTGACACAGTCCTGAGGAAAAACAGTGAAGGAATACAGCTGTCATGCCACACAAAGGCAGTTTGCTTTTGAATGGAAAAGAAAACACTTTCCAGATGCCAGAGGCTATATTGATTTGCTCTGTTAAAGATACCACATCCAGGTTGCAGCTCTAATTGGATTCCCTACCTGATTACATTTACAATAATCCATAGTCATGTTCCAGGATCCATCAAGATTCTGCATCTGCCAAAAGGACAAATTAAATAGGATTGTGGAAGGAATAACTACCTTGCATCTTTCAAGCACTGGTGGTGGTATTAAGCATCGCAATTTTCTGAGGTTTTTTTTTTTTTTTTTTTTTTTGAGACGGAGTTTCATTCTTGTTGCCCAGGCTGGAGTGCAATGGCACGATCTCGGCTCACTGCAACCTCTGCCTCCCAGGATTAAGTGATTCTCCTGCCTCAGCCTCCCTAGTAGCTGGGATTACAGGGACCACCACCACGCCCAGCTAATTTTTGTATTTTCAGTAGAGACGGGGTTTTGCAATGTTGGCCAGGTTGGTCTCAAACTCCTGACCTCAGGTGATCCGCCCACCTCAGCCTCCCGAAGTGCTGGGATTACAGGCATAAGCCACCACACCCAGCCTGGGATGGTTTTTTGTCTGCCTTAATAGCTAGAATACACAGGCCTGGTCGACTACAAGGTGACAGAAGCATTGCCCCTGACCACCATTTCTCTCAATGACCCACTTGTGGAATTCATGTTTCCTGTAGCCTTAGGCCCTGAGAAGACCTATTCATATGTGCTTCCACCTGGGAACTGGAAACTGTGGTCATGTTTGGCCACTTTGGGCTCCTCATGCCAGAGGATCAGCAGACAAAGAATGGCATTTCTGTACTGGCAGGGGTAGTTGACCCTGAGTCACATGAATAGCAAGAGTTGCCATTTCATAATGGAGAATGAAAGAGCTCCCAGCCTGGGAAACATAGGGGGACCCCTGTCTCTAAAAAATTTTTTAAAAATTAGCCAGGCATGCTGGTGCGTGCCTGTAGTCCTGGCTACTCAGCAGGCTGAGGTCAGAGGATCATTTGACCCTATGAATTTGAGGTCACAGTGAACTATGATCATATCACTGCACTCCAGCCTGGGTAATAGAGTGAGACCCCATCTAAGAAAGATATAGAGATAGAGGAAGGAAGGAAGGAAGGAAGAAGGAAGGAAGGAAGATAGGAAGGAAGGAAGGAAGGAAGGAAGGAAGGAAGGAAGGAAGGAAGGGAAAAAGAAAGAAAGAAAGAAAGAGAAAGAAAAAGGAAGGAAGGAAAGAGGGAGGGAGGGAAGGAGGGAGAGAGAGAGAGGGAAGGAAGGAAAGAAAGAAAGTGAGGGAGAGGGAGGAAGGAGGGAAAGAAAGGAAGGAGAAAGAAAGAAGGAAAGAAGGGAGGGAGGGATGGAGGAAGAGAGAGAGAGGGAAGGAAATAAAGGAAGGAAGGAAGATGGGAAGAAGGGAAAGAAAGAGAAAGAAAGAAAGAAGGGAAGGAAGGGAAAGAAAAGAAGGAAGGAAAGAAGGGAGAGGGAAGGAAGGGAGGGAGGGAGGGAAGGAAGAGAAGAAAGTGAGAGTGGGGAAGGAAGAGAAGGAAGGAAGGAAGGAAAGAAAAAGAAAGAGAGAAGAAAGAAAGAAAGAAAGAAAGAAAGAAAGAAAGAAAGAAAGAAAGAAAGAAAGAAAGAAAGAAAGTAAGTCTGGAACTTGGGGGATTCGCTGGGCCATTTCTTGGTGCTTCTCTGCCCAGTGAGAACTGTGAGTGGTTAATTGCAGCAACCATGGCCTTACAAAAGCAAGGCAAGAGGGCTGAAGGTTTAGGTCACTTCACCAGGCCAGTGACCCAGACCAGCCAAAGTGCTGACTGAGGGTAAGGGAAACCTGGAATGGCTGGTGGAGGTGCAAAATGAGAATATCAATTATGGCCCTGGATGTCAATTATGACCAGCTGTAATAATGGGATTTAACTTGGTTTTCTAACTCCTTTTTTAGGAGATTGGAACTGGCCATCATCTTGAAGAACTGGGTTTTAAATTTTCTTCTTGAGAAAAAGTGAGAGCATCATTTTTTTTCTCATGCAAGATTCAGAAATGAATGGGTCTGAGCAGATCTATGTGGTGCAATGCATGGATGTGCAAGATCCAGTTTCTTTGCACCCCAAATGTGTTGAGCCTGACTTTTCCGCTCCTCTTCCCCAGGGCCTGAGCCTCTTGCCCTATTTTCTGGCTGGATTGGCCCTGGGGATGGCTCATTTCATTCCAGTGGTCATCGCCGTGGCTCTGGTTGCCTCAGCGGAACCTCAGGGTTGGACAAGGCTTCAGCACAGCTTCTGTCACAGCCACTGCCATAGGAGCTGTGGCAGCTTCGATACCACGTCTCACCTGACTGGGTCCATGGAGGCTCTGGCTTCCCCTGTGACTTCCCAGAGTGGTCAATACACAACCTGCAAATCGTAGGGAATTAAAGCTCCATGGGGATGATTTTGACCAAGGAGAAGAATGCCAGAAGGCTTGAGAAGGAGTTGAATAACCTCTGCGTGCCCCTGCTGAATTGGGTTTAGACGCCGTGGTCCTCTGGCCTCTCTGGAGGAGCCCTGTGAGCCCCGCGGTTGGATATTCTTGGAAGATGTTGCCAGCTCTACAGCACACTTTGTGGTTGCTCTCCTGACTTTCCTGCCTGACTGCTCCTTTCCCTCATTCTTGCTTCTTTCTCAGTAAAGCATCAGCACATTTGCTTTGCTTCAGGCTGACTCTGTGTTCCAGGGACCCTGGCCTAGGAAAGAGGTGTGTTCAGAGCATGGGATATTTGAAACTGAACTAGTGATGGGATTGAGGTGATTGTTATGACAAGACTTAAAATATGACCATGGAAGACAATCGCTTAGGTAGAATGGATGACCAGTTCGTTGGAGAAGAGAATATCATGGAATCTAGAGTCCAGGTTCCTGGAATAATCATCCATGTGGGTATGGAAATCTCTAGGAATGTTGGTGAGGATGATCCAGGAGCTAAACTCTTCAAAGCATGGGGGAAGGTGGCAGAGATGCCTGCAGACAGAGGGACTGTGGATTGTGGATACTGAGTCTGAAAGAGAGGGCATCTGGGATTAGCAACGGGGAACGAGGAGAACATCTAACTACCCCCCAGGCCCAGTAATAGAAGGGCTGTGGGAGGGCAAGCAACCACCTCTGAAGAGGACAGCAAAGAAAGAAGTATCCTTAGAGCATGAGGATGAAGAGAACATTTTGGAAAGAGAGTTAGGGTGCAGAATGTTCTGCTGATGAATAACTTTGAGCTCCAGAGTGCACGGTGGAAAGGTTTCAGGAGATGAGGAGCTATGGAAGATGGGGTTGAAAGGTAGTGCACAAGCTGAATGGGGATTAGAGGTGGGGAATGAGGAATGATGCGGTGGCTACAAGCACAAGACTAAAGGGCCTAGTAAGATTCATCCTGACAGTCCCCAGGTAGAGTGACAGAGCAGCTGCAAGTGTTCAGGGAAGCGGGAGTGTGAGCTCTTGTCCAGAGTGTGCCCATTCAGGGGTTCCCACTCAGCCTTGCTGAGAGAGGAGGGGGGGTCCTGCAGGCATGGGGGATGTGTCCTGTTCTGAATGCACAAGCTCCTCCTTCCTCCCTGAAGGATGTCTCACTCAGTTAGGCTGGGATGTCTTCTTTTTCGTTGTCTTTTGGTTGTATGTTTTGCAGGGGACTGTTCTTCTTTGCTTGCACTTGGTACATGTCTACTTATTTCTAAGACACCATTACACTTAGACAAACTTTCATGTTCTTCTATTTTTCTTTTCATTCCCTCACCTATTTTACATAACTCTTTGATTCTCTATCTTCTTATGAAAAAGAGACTATTTTTAATTTCTTGACATTTCTCCTATTCTCTTTTGCTGTGACACCAACTCCTTCTTTTACCTTAACTGACTTTGCACTTGTTTGAGCTCGTTCAGCCTGACACTGCCAGCCCAGACGGTTTCCCACTTCTTCCAAGAGATATGCAAACCTCCCTCCTCCTTTGAGCCCACTCTTCAGAAGGATTTGGTGACCTGTACACAATAACCTGAGTTTACTGGCTTTGTGCTTTTTATTACTATTAATTAATCTTGATATCTTCCCTTCTTCCATCACAGTAGACTTCCTCTCTGTTCAGTATTGCCTAGCTAATATTTCTCCACCTTTTACTTACATTTTCCATCTTCCATAGCATTGCCCTTATCCACAAAATTACCCTCACTTTCTACAAGTATACCCCCACCTTCTACAAGTACACTCTTACTTTAAAAAATACTTTTGGCCAGGCGCGGTGGCTCACGCCTGTAATCCCAGCACTTTGAGAGGCCAAGGCAGGCGGATCCCCTGAGGTCAGGAGTTCGAGACCAGCCTGGCCAACATGGTGAAGCCCTGTCTCTACTAAAAATACAAAAAAATTAGCCGGTTGTGCTGGCGTGAGCCTGTAGTCCCAGCTACTTGGGATGCTGAGGCAAGAGAATCACTTGAACCTGGGAGGTGGAGATACAGGTTGCAGTGAGCCGAGATCACGCCATTGCACTCCAGTCTGGGTGACAGAGCGAGACTCTGTCTCAAACAAAACAAAACAAAACAAAACAAAAAAGCAGTGCATGGTGGCTCACGCCTGTAATCCCAACACTTTGGGAGGCCGAGGAGGGTGGATCATGAGGTCAAGAGATTGAGACCATCCTGAACAACATAATGAAACCCCGTCTCTACTAAAAATACAAAAAATAGCTGGGCGTGGTGGCATGTGCCTGTAATCCCAGCTACTCGGGAGGCTGATGCAGGAGAATTGCTTGAACCAGAGAGTCAGAGGTTGCAGTGAGGTGAGATCATGCCACTGCACTCCAGCCTGGCAACAGACTTAAGACTCCATCTCAAAAAAAAAAAAGGCCGGGTGCGGTGGCTCACGCCTGTAATCCCAACACTTTGGGAGGCCGAGGAGGGTGGATCAAGAAGTCAAGAGATCAACACCATCCTGGCCAACATAATGAAACCCCATCTCTACTAAAAATACAAAAAATACCTAGGCATGGTGGCACGAGCCTGTAATCCCAGCTACTCGGGAGGCTGTGGCAGGAGAATTGCTTGAACCAGGGAGTCAGAGGTTGCAGTGAGCTGAGATCACGCCACTGCACTCCAGCCTGGCAACAGACTTGAGACTCTGTCTCAAAACCAAACCAAACAAAACAAAACAGAAAAAACTTTCCATGTTTGATGTGTGCCTTTCTAAGATTTTTTTCTCCCAAAACCTACTCCTAAATTTTATTTTCTGGGATATGACCAAAATGCCAGTGAATGACTCACGTAGTTTGGGCTGATCAATACAAAACTTTAATAATTTTGCTAGCTAGTGTGCACATTATCACTACTTTTTCTTTTTACTCGTATTTTTATCTTTTGAGGCAGAGTCTCACTGTGTTGCTCAGGTTGGAGTGCAGTGGCACGATCACTTCCCGGGCTCAAGTGATCCTCCTGCCTCAGCCTCCCAAGAAGCTGGGACTACCAGAGTGTGCCATTGTGCCAGGCCATCACTACCTTTCAGTTCCCTTTGTGAAGTCTTCCTTCTAACTATTTAGGATGCTGTGGACTCACAGTTCTTTCAATAGACTCAGTTCGTTCTGATTAACTGTGGTCATTTTTTCCCTCTCTGGAGTTTATGTGGTCACTCTTTGGCTACTCACAGCTCTGCTTTCTTGAATGACAGGGTGTTCCAGGCTGGGTATGAAATGCTTTCTACTTCAAAAGGTGGAATCAGTTTTTTTCCCCAGAATCTTAGTTCTTCTTCCAAGAGAAAAATATTAGAGCCAAAATTTGGGACCTAGGCTGGTGCCACTTATCAACCAGGAGAAGGCAGATCAATATCAGAGTTTTCTCAGGTCACTTTGATGACCTAGCATGCATTTTCTTTTTGTTTCTGCCCCACTCTCCCTTTCATGTAAGGAGTCATGAGTACATCGTATCATGCTCCAAGGTTGTTGTTACTTTTTTCTAATGTGAGATATTATTAAATATCCCTCCTTTTTTCAGCTGATAATTTTTCTATTTTCTCACCAACATTGATGTTAAACAACACTCAAACCAAGCCATGTTTTCATTAGTTTTATTCCCCCAATTTCTAAGTCTCCAATTCATTTTCTCTTTTAACCTCAGCTGAAGCATCCTCGGGCTGGCTACCAAGTGTGCACATCCAGATGATCTGACTGATAAGCATCAGTTGCACATCAATCATCCAAAAGGAAAAAGAAGTGCCAACCATCCTAGAGTAGCCTCAAAGCAAGTACCAAACGCTTATAAGGGCAGCATATAGACGAATACCATTGCTCACAGTTTCATTCCAATTTTTCCTCTAGTTTCCTCCAGCTGGACCTTACCATTTAAATCTATTTTCCTTCCCTTTGATTTTTTCCCCTTTTACTTGGTGCTCAAAAAAATTGTTTTTTTCTTCAGGATTGGAGGTCAAATAAATTTTGTTTTGTTTTTAGTGGTTTTAGAACTGAACTCCATTTTCTCAAAGGTCCTAGGGTACATATCTTTTACTCTCCTTACTTGTCTTCCCAATTTGCTTATAACATTGTTTGGGGTTCCTTTATTTGTTACTTCTGTAACTTTAAATGCTAACTTACACTTTTATTTCTTGTTTCATTGCCTATGGGCTGTTTCTTGACCTCAAGTTTTTAAGATATTGGTGCTCTTGTTCTTTATTTACTCTTCCTTTTATCTTCCACCTCTGTTTCTAGCATCTGTGCTTTTATGTTAACATTGTCAAGTTAAAAACACTGATATTGCTTGATGATACTGTCTTATAAAAATAAATAAAATAAAAACATTGATAGTCTCTTCTTTTGCCATAATACATTCTGTTCAATCTAAAAGTTAAAAATCAATATGTGAATACATACAATCTATATTAGTTAAGAATATTTTCATTGTATGCAAGACTATTTTCATTGTAAGCAAAAAGTGGATTGATAGGCTCATGCAATACAAAAGTCCCAGATTAGGGCTGGCTACAGGTGTAACTGAGACAGGAGCTTGTGAAACATAATCAGGACATGGATCCCCTCTGTCCTTTGGCTCTGCTCCCCAGTTTGTGTTGGTCTCATTCGCAGAGAGAGTGTCTCTCCCCTGTGGTTTTGATATGACTGTCGGCGACTTCTGGGGCAACATCATTCCACATTCATGTCCAGTAGGAAAGTGTGAAAATCTTTGCCTCAACTTTTCATCTAAAGTCATAAGACTCCCTGTGATGGGACATCTTGGGGCAAGTGTTGCCTCTTAACCTGTCAGGTCATTGGTGAGTGCTTTGTGTTGTTTATCTTAAGCCTGGCTTATATGGGCCACCCTTAGACTTGAGAGCAGAGCCCCACTTAAATCAAATGGCTGATTGGAGAAGGGCCTTGAGCTAATTGGGGAATAGATATTATGTAATTCTCCATTTCCTTGTAATTTTCCTTCAACCCCAACTTCCTTTAACCTCAATGCCCATCTCCCCTCCCCTCATATATATCAATTCTCTTAAACAGAACCCTGGGAGAAAGTTTCAGGCCTCACACTCCTAATTTCTCCTTCTCCTTCTCCTTCTCCTTCTCCTTCTTCTTCTCCTTTTCCTTCTCCTCCTCCCTCCTCCTCCCCCCTCCTCCCCCTCCCCTTCCCTTTCCCTCTCCCTCTCCCTCTCCCTCTCTCTGTCCCTCTCCTTCTCCTTTCCTTATTCTTCTTTTTGAGACAGGAGTCTTGCTCTGTCACCCAGACTGGAGTGCAGAGGTGCAATCATGGTTCACTGCAGCCTCAACTTCCCAGGCTCCAGTGATCCTCCTACTTCAGCCTCCAGAGTAGCTGGGACTACAGATGCGGGCCACTATGCCTGTCTAATTTTTGTATTTTGGGGAGAGATGGGGTTTCACCATGTTGCTCAGGCTGGTCTCAAGCTCCTGAGCTCAAATGATCCACCCACCTTGGTCTCCCAAAGTGCTGGGATTACGGGCGTGAGCCACTGTGCCTGGTGACACCTCCAAGTTCTGAGTAGGTAGACTCTTCTGAGAGCTCCATCTCCTGAGCATTTCCTGGAATGGGTACAGAGAAGAGGAGAGAATGGTAGTGTAGATTCACCAGGAAAGGATTTTGAAGCAATTTTTTAGAAATGAAAGACAATGGCTTTTCAGAAGGGAACAAAGCTTTCATTACCTCCTTAACTTTCTCTAAATACTCCAGGAGATCAAATTTCTTGACTCCATATTCTCCAGCTCCCTCCCTGTTGGAGTCCTCCACCTTCCTCCTCCAATCTGGACTGGTTGCCTACTGGGATTTCCCTTCATTAACCTACTGGCTTCAATCTCAAGTCACATCTTTGTTGGTTTACTCACTTTTTTTTTTTAAATGGAGTCTCTCTCTGTCACCCAGGCTGGAGTGCAGTGGCTCGATCTCAGCTCACTGTAACCTCTGCCTCCTGGGTTCAAGCGATTCTCCTGCCTCAGCCTCCCTAGTAGCTGGGATTACAGGCATGCGCCACCACACCCGGCTAATTTTGGTATTTTTAGTAGAGACGGGGTTTCACCATGTTGGCCAGGCTGGTCTCAAACTCCTGACCTCAAGTGATCTGCCCGACTCTACCTCCCAAAGTGCTAGGATTACAGGCCTGAGCCACAGTATCCGGCCTAGACCATGACTAATTCTTAAGAGAAATAAGCCAATGAACAATGGAAAAGCTTTGAGAAAGGGCCCAGTGAGAGGGAGATTCTGCTTGAAATGTTCAGGAATCATTGGGGTGGGATAGAAGAGTGGAATAGAGAAGAATAGAGAGAATCCTGTAAAATATCTGAGCCCTGGTCACAACTCTGGCCAATGCTATTTCTATTGCATCCACTCTATCAGGAAGATCCCTTCATCTCAACCCTTTTTCTATGGGTTTCTCCAGGACAGGGAATAGCCATGAACAGTATGTTCATAGTCACATCCATCTCAGACTGAAGCATGCACAGGGTTTCCCTCTGAGAAGCTAGGTGGTACTAAATGGTTGGAGTCCTTTTCTATTTTTTTTTTTTTTTTTTAGTCTTTATATACAATAGAGTTATCTTTTGACTTCTAGTTCAAGATAGAGAATATGTGTTTGTGTCTTTTCCTACATAAGAACCCATTTCATGATAGAAAATAAAATTTAAGGCCGGGCACAGTGGCTGGCGCCTGTAATCCCAGCACTTTGGGAGGCCAAGGTAGGCGGATCACCTGAGCTCAGGAGTTCGAGACTAGCCTGGCCAACATGGTGAAACTCCGTCTCTACTAAAAATACAAATATTAGCCGGGCGTGGTGGCACAGGTCTGTAATCCCAGCTACTGACAGGAGAATCACTTGAAACTGGGAGGCGGAGGTTGCTGTAAGCCGAGATTGCACCATTGCACTCCAGCCGGGGTGACAGAATGAGATTCCACCTCAAAAAAAAAAAAAAAAAAAAGAAAATTTAAAAAGTTATAAACCCACAGCAAACAGAAAATAAGAGAGAGGCTATCAATGTAAGAGAAATTTCAATGCATTTTGAAGAGAAAGAAAGTGAATGAAGAGGTAGTTACAGGTGAGGCAGGTGCTGGAAGCTGCAGCGTGGAATATGCAAGGGTGTGTGGGGAACAGAGTTGAGAACCCAAGAGAACCCTAAGACACAGAAATGCTAGGACAGCCACAGGAGGAAAGACGACTCACCCATGAAAACTGGGAAATAAATTGAAGTTCTATAGATAGAACATTGTACCCTTCTTGCACCCTCTCCTGCCCCACCCACACACAGAAACCCTAGCAGGCAGGCATCTGTCTCTCAAGCAAATATTTAGAGCATGCTTCTCTAACATCTACACTCTTGCTAGCTGGTTACTAGATCAGCCTAGAACAAATCCCTCCAATAAACGAGCCCAGTACATGCTCCTAGAATCCCAGTTAGGTATTTATGGCTCATTCTTAAAAATAAAAGAAGTATTCCCAGGCATCTGAAAGCCTGCAAGATGAAATAGAGTAACCAAGAGGCTATGAAGAACAAGAACAAGGCTGGGGCGGGGTAGCTCATGCCTCTAATCCTAGCACTTTGGGAGGCTGAGGCAGGAGGATTGCTTGAGCCCAGGAGTTCAAAACCAGCCTGGGCAACATAGGGAGACCCTGTCACTAATAAAAATTCAAAAAAAAAAAAATGTCAGCTGGACGCGGTGGCTCACACCTGTAATCCCAGCACTTTGGGAGGCCAAGCCAGGCGGATCATGAGGTCAGGAGATCGAGACCATCCTGGCTAACACAGTGAGACCCCGTCTCTACTAAAAATACAAAAAATTAGCCGGACGTGATGGCGGGCGCCTGTAGTCCCAGCTACTCAGGAGGATGAGGCAGGAGAATGGCGTGAACCTGGGAGGTGGAGCTTGCAGTGAGCCAAGATCGCGCCACTGCACTCCAGCCTGGGTGACAGAGTGAGACTCTGTCTCAAAAAAAAAAAAAAAAAAAAGTCAGGCACAGTGGTGCACTCCTGTAGTCTCAGCTCCTTGGGAGGCTGAAGTAGGAGGACCGCTTGAGCCTAGGAGATCGAGCCTGCAGTGAATGTGTTCGTGCCACTGCACTCCAGCCTGGGCAACAGAGTGAGACCCTGTCTCTAAAATAAAAAAAACAACAAAGGAAAACAAGAACAACAAGCTATGAAAAAGAACAACCAGCTCCTAGGATCTAAAGATATAATCGGCAGGGCATGGTTGCTCACACCTGTAATCCCAGAACTTTGGGAGGCCAAGGCAGGCAGGTCACCTGAGGTCAGGAGTTCGAGACCAGCCTGGCCAACATGGTGAAAACCTGTCTCTACTAAAAATATAAAAATTAGCCAGAAGTGGTGGCACACGTCTGTAATCCCAGCTACTCGGGAGGTGGAGGTTGCAGTGAGCCGAGATCATGCCACTGAACTCCAGCCTGGGTGACAGAGTGAGACTCTGTCTCAAAAAATAAAGATATAATTGATAAAATAAATAATGCAATAGAAGTACTGTAAGATAGAAAACATGAGAAAAAAAGATTATCAACATCAGAATCACAGAAACTCTAGAAATTACAAATGGGTAAAACAAGGAGTGAGAAATTATCAAAGAGATACTAGAGAATTGACCAGAACTAAAGGACACAGATCACTGGACTAAAAGGTTCCGTCAAGTTCCAAGCACATGAGTAAAAGAGACTCTCATCTTGATAAATCATTGTGAAATTTCAGAACTCCATGAAAAAAGAGGAGATTCTAAAAAATTTCAAAGATGGAAAAGAAAAAGGTGACTTTCAAATTAAACTTGGGAATTAGACTCACTTGGAACTGCTAGTCTGTAGTCCTAGGTGCTAGAGACAATGGAATAATGACTTTAAGATCTGAGGGGAAAGGTTTTCTATTTTAATTTTATGTTCTGCCAAATTTTCTGTCAAGTGTGAAGGCAGACTAAAGATATTTTTAGACAAACAAGGAATCAGAATTTTTACCTCCAGCATAGCCACTAGGAGGAAGTTACTTGAAGATAAACTCCAATAAAACAAGTGAGTAGCCGGGCCTGATGGCTCACGCCTGAAATCCAGCACTTTGGGAGGCCGAGGTGGGTGGATCACAAGGTCAGCAGTTCGAGATCAGCCTGGCCAATACAGTGAAACCTCGTCTCTACTAAAAATAGAAAAATTAGCTGGGCGGTAGTGGCATGCGCCTGTAATCCCGGCTACTCAGGAGGGTGAGGCAGCAGAATCACTTGAGCCTGGGAGGCAGGGGTTGCAGTGAGCTGAGATCACTCCATTGTACTCCAGTCTGGGTGACAGAGTGAGACCTCGTCTTAAAAAAAAAAAAAGGCCGGGCACGGTGTCTCATGCCTGTAATCCCAGCACTTTGGGAGGCTGAGGCAGGCAGATCACGAGGTCAAGAGATTGAGACCATCCTGGCTAACACGGTGAAACCCCGTCTCTACTAAAAATACAAAAAAAATTAGCCGGGCATGGTGGCAGGTGCCTGTAGTCCCAGCTACTTGGGAGGCTGAGGCAGGAGAATGGCGTGAACCCAGGAGGCGGAGGTTGCAGTGAGCCGAGATCACGCCACTGCACTCCAGCCTGGCGACAAAGCGAAACGCCGTCTCGAAAAAAAAAAAAAAAAAAGGTCAGAGCTCCCAATCAGGAAATCGGAGAATTTGTGGGGTGAATAAATAAGAATAAGAGACTGGAATCTAAATTAACCTGAGTCCTTCCTGAAAATGAGAATTTAGGGGAAGGTGAAGGAAGGGCTGAGGACTGGGGAAGTGGTGGCAATTAGGAGGGGGTGTGGGAGTGGATAACCAAATATTCCAAGCAGGGAAGTAACATCCCTTAGGAAATTCTAAAATTTAACCATATCATATCATTGTCCCCTGGCCCCTGGGGCAGCTCTGCTGGCTGCCTGGTCCCACATGGTCCCTTGTCAAAATGGTGAAACCCGGTTCCTCAGGACAGTTGATGAGCAGGAATATTCTATTTTCCCACCTCTCTCTCCCATCCCATTCAAGTTCCCCTGACTGTGTTAATCACCTCCTTTTTCCTTTAGTCAGATTTTTGTTGGAAATGAAAACTGTGAAATCAAGTCCTTCAAACCGATGCCCCTTGTGAGGGGTAATTCATAGTGGAAGGCCATGGTTCTGTATTTCCCTTGTCCATTTAGGCTCTGATAGAACATTCTGTTCTACTTCGAATGATTCTGTTTTATTGAGTTAGCATGACGGGTATGGGTATGAAAAAGAGCACCCAGAAAGTTCAAGGTGAGGAAATACTTGAGAACAGGAACCTGTCTGGCCCATCTTTGTAGTTCCCTTAGCCCAGCCTGGTGTCTAGCCAGGTATCAAAGGTACCAGAGCAGTGACTACAGTGCCATTGAGTATTGAGCTAGACGTGCTGACTACCTCACACTCCAGGTCAGGAATCACCCCCCAGCCTGGGGTAGAGCCACAAAGGCCAGTGGCATAAACTTGGCTATGGGGAAGGACTGCAAAAGCTAGACACCAGGAAGTTTTGACTTTCCAGGTGTGAAACGTAGAAGATGGCCAGTGACGACTAACTTCCCAATTTGTTATAAATACACATACATAATATGTTTATAGAAAATTACTTTTGAGAGTGAAAAGCAAGAAGCAGTTTTGAATAATAGGTGCTGAGAAATTATGTGATTATTAAAATAATGACTATGTAAAAACTACACATGCATATTAATGAATGAGGATAATCCAAAGAAAGACCACACCGACACTAAAATAGTTTCAGTGATAGCATGAAGCAATTTTAAGTGAAATTCTAATTAATTTTTATAATGTCATAAATGTAATTTTAAATATTCAAAGAAAAAAAGACTACTGAACTTCAGCATTGCACGTGGTGAACTGAAATTAACTTGGAAAACAGCACATGAGAGAACCCATTCAGGACTGCTACTCCTTGTAGATTTCCCCACAGGATCTGAACTGTGGGTAGCATACTTCCTTCCCATTTGTCACCTCTTTCTCCTATATCATTTTGAAGATGAAATACAATGGCTATTGGGCATGTCAGGTTTAGACAGAGATCCTGTTCCATGATCTTGGGAATTAGGTGGAGAATATTTCATAGTCCCCCAGGAAAAAGTATCTAGGGACAGCTGGAACATAGGCAAGATATCATTTTCAATTTCCTGTTTTCCTGTGTCTTCGCCCAGTTGGTTCTGGACCACCTAATTTCCCCTCTCCTTTAGTCACAACACACATTAACGAACACAAATAGATGTTTAGGCAGCTGCTGCCAGATTTACACATTCAGTATCTGATCTGATGGAGCTCTGCTGGAATGCTCCACTACGTTTAAGTGTGTGTAAGTTCTGGACAGCTGTGGAGAAAATGAATGATCAGAGTAAGCAGGGCTTCCTTGGTACTGTTGTCTAGTTCTTGCACTGCGTAAAGATGCCTGGCTGAGGAGGTGCAAGTGGACTGAAGCCCAGTCCCTCCGTCACTCCTCATGCTGTGTGCACCAGCAGGAGCTGCTTCAGAAGGAGTGCTATTTTCTTCTCACAAAGATGTTGTCCGCTTGTTAGGCTGTGGTCCCCAGGGGCCGCGTCTGCTCAAAGGAGGGCACTTGTGTCTAACTTGTCCACATAGAAGGAGCATTCCTCATTCATTCAAGGCACATACACTTCGCACCTGCTCTCAGAATGGGTTAGGGTTACTCAGAGAAGCCTGCTTGAGAGAGAAGGATTTTGAGACAACTCTGAAGGAAGAAAAGTATAGTTTTCCGAAGAGAAAAACTGGAAATGCACAGACTTATTTAGGGAAGGGGCCAGATGTCATAGAGACTCTCAATGTCTGCCTGTTTTCCCCTCAGACACTGCCATCTCTGTATTTGTTGCATCTCTGTACCTGAGGACTGTTTCCAGAACCATGGAAAGCTGTCTTACCCACCCAGACTCTCTAGGCTGGAAGTGCTGGGGAACAAACACTCCCGCCAGCAAGCAGCCCTCAACTGACGAGAGTTGGTATAAAGTACCCCAGTTCCCTTGTATCCCTAGTGAGATGATTCTGAGGGGGTGTGTTTTATACTTTTAATCAGAATTTTCCGTGGCGTTAAGCTCTAGTTGCACTCTGTGGCAGTCAGCTTGTTGCTCCTTTCACTGGCTTCCCTCAATCATTTCTCTATCTCTCCTGCAGGGGGCTCCTGCACCTCGCTTCAAAACTGCCTGCGCTTCCAACTCGTGCTCGGCTTCTGAGGGAACCCACACAAAGACATGGTTTGCCCGGCTGAAACAGAGATGAGCTGGGATTGAGGGGAAGCTGGATACATGATAAGGGGCAATTTGTGGAAGGCCTTAGAGACCACACTGAGAGGTCAGACTTGATTGAGGAGACAGTTCATGTGCCGGATGACATATGAGTGATATATTTTTCTTTCAATTTATTATTTTCATATTTGATTTATTAATTCCTAGGTTTCTACAAGCCTTGCATTGCCCATTGAGTTCTGGCTAATAAAATCTCAGCTGGGCCAGGCACGGTGGCTCACATCTGTAATCTCAGCACTTTTGGAGGCTGAGACAGGGGGATCCCTTGAGGTCAGGAGTTTAAGACCAGCCTGGCCATCATGGTGAAACCCCGTCTCTACTAAAAATACAAAAATTAGCCAGGCGTGCCTGTAATCCCAGCTACTCGGGAGGCTGAGGCACCAGAATCGCTTGAACCCAGGAAGTGGAGGTTGCAGTGAGCTGAGATCACGCCTCTGCATTCCAGCCTCGGTGACAAAGCCAGACTCTGTCTCAAAAAAACAACAACAACAACAAAAAAAAACTTAGCTGAAGATAAACACTGTAACCTTCTTATCTGTCAGTTGCCAGTAAAAAGAAATTCTAGAGAGAAAAGTGTGATTAAGGTGTAAGACTGAGATGAAATTCAGAGCTATGAAACCATTCCCAAGATCTCGTTAGAGAAATATGAAGGTGAAAATAATCACAAGACTATAGTCCACATAAAGGATTTTTATTTGCAGCCATCCTGTTCAACATTTTATATCCTTAAAAAAACCAACTTTGTAAAGTAATCTGAAAAGTATCCTTAAGCACACTGGGTTTTCAAAATTTTAAGATTATTTCTTATGGTAGGAAACCTTGAATCCCACAGCACTGCATAATAATTGGTTGTCAAGGGAAACTGCATGACTGTAACTGGTATTGGTAACTCCTAAATGTATATAAATAACTTAAAGCCTTTGTTTTGCAGAAGAGTCTGAAATTCTGTACATGGTTCTTCTCATTTAGACCCAGAATAAAATTAATAATGTCAGTGACTCTGGCAGACTCTTTGTCCTAAGAAAATACTTTTGAGTGGTTTAAATTAGAAATTTGGCAAATACATTATATTCTCTTTGCTTTGAAGGCTTAGAAACACAGATCAAATCTTCTGTCTAAGCATTTTCCTCTGCCACACAACTTCAGAAACCTAGAATCACCTTTAACATGTGGACTGTCATCAATCAATCTCACAGAAAATGTGGTATTAAAAAAAACCCAGAATGCCAGTTTGATAATTCATACTGGAACTCTTTCTACAGAGGGGTCTGGGTGCTCATATTCTCCTATCAGAGCACTTTTGCCCTGCAGGCAGCTACCCAAGGAGCCAGATTGTAATCAGAAGTTTATGTGGCATGCATGAATTCAAAACAAAGGGAATTTGATGAGTTGAATGGTTAATGGTTTCAGGCCAAATGAAGGTGACACTCCCATCTTATTCCCGGGACAGAACATTTTATGGATTTCTTGGTGCAGAGTCCTCATCACCATGGATAATATTGGATGGACACTGATAGTGTGTGTCTTTGTGACTCTTAAATACTTTTAATACATTGAACTAGTCCACACAGGCATGGGGTTCTTAACTATGGGTTTATGAACTGGATAACTAGAGATTCTTTCTTTTTTTAGGAACAGGGTCTCATTCTGATACCAGGCTGGAGTGCAGTGGCTTGATCCTAGCTCACTACATCTCAAATTCCTGGACTTTTATGATCCTCCTGCCTCAACCTCCTGAGTAGCTAGGACTCCAGGCTTGCCATCAAGCCTGGCTAAATTTTTATTTTTTGTAGCAACAGGGTCTTGCTATGTTGCCCAGGCTGGTCTTGAACTCCTGGGCTCAAGTGATCCTCCTGCCTTATCTCCTGCCTTGGCCTCCCAAAGTGCTGGAACTACAGGCATGCCCAGTCTGTATAACTAGGATTCTTGAGCACTTGGAAACTAAATGCAAATTTCGTGTCTATGCATATTTTCTCTGGGGAAAATTTATAGATTTTATCAGACTCTCAGTGTGATTTGTTATCCAAACAGAATTAAGAACCACTGATGTAAATAAAATCAAGTCCTGCCAGCCTGGGTCTCCACTTTTCCTTAAAGTGACTTTTTTAATGTTCCTGCTCTGATTCATTATGTGCTGCCTTTTTGTTTTGTTTTGTTTTGTTTTTGTTGTTGTTGTAGTTTTTGAGACACAGTCTCGCTCTGTCGCCAAGGCTGGAGTCAGTGACGCAATCTCGGCTCTCTGCAACCTCCGCCTCCCAGGTTTAAGTGATTCTCCTGCCTCAGCCTTCCGAGTAGCTGCGACTACAGGTGCCCGCCACCATGCCCAGCTAATTTTTGTATTTTTAGTAGAGATGGGGTTTCACCATATTGGCTAGGCTGGTCTCAAACTCCTGACCTTGTGATCTGCCTGCCTTGGTCTCCCAAAGTGCTGGGATTACAGGCGTGAGCCACTGCGCCCGGCCCCCATTATGTGCCGTTTTAAAGCATTAACTGCTCTAGGGAGCTCTTATTTCCAGGTTTAGGGGGAAAAGAGAGTTCCTTAATGTAACCATGAAAGGTTTGATAATCAGAGAGAAATGGGAGGATATTCTACACACAGTGATCAGTGTGAGCCCAAAGTGTCCCGTCCATCAAGAGTTTAGATGTATTTTTAAAAATTTACTCTGTGTTATTTTGAAAGTTCCAAGTTTGATTTCTTTCTTTTCATAGTTAGTGGTCAGAATGAGTAGAGATAGCATTAGAGCTGGAAAAGCTGGAAAGCATATGTGAAAATGAATTTTAAGTGCATTGGACCAAAGAGGATGAAATGTAAGTTTGATAGTCATGAAATTATCAGCAGGAGTGTACTTACATGGATTCAGGCTGTAGTAATTAATTGAGTGCTCACAAGTGGCTTTAACAACTTGCTTGACTAGTTTACTGAAGCCTGGATTCAGTGGTGGTCTAGAGTCAATGAGGCTAAGGTGTCAAAGATCCAAAATCTCAGGAAGATGGGAATCTTGGAATGGACCTAAATGTGCAATTTTCCCAGCCACCCTCATCCATGACCCTGGAAGGTTCAGAGGATGCTCCATTTACTGTGGTGCTGAGATATGTGGACCTGATGGGCACCCCAAAAAGCATTGCCAAATGTGATAGTGGGAGATGCTACCTGAGAACTGGTAATAGGTTGCAGGGACAGAAAGGCTATTAGAATGCTTTGACCTTCGAAGATCAGTAGTAGCAACTAATTGATGGTAGGGTTCTTAGAAATGAACAGATAGACAGTCTACCAAGATGTGGCTTTATCTATATTATTGAAAAATAGAAACCTGATTCAAGTCACCACAGTGGGAATTTACTGCCTCATACCCAATTATTAAACCTAAGACAGTTCGCAGGCCTATTGCTCATTGATTGAGAGAAAGGCTCAGTCCCTTTAAGGAAAGATCTTGCAATGTGGCAGTAAGTATATATTACAAACAAACTTTCCTCCAAGCCTCCCCTGGAAAGGCCTGCAGCCACTTACTAAAATGACTGTGCATTGGGAGAGAAAATACCCAAACCCTTTGGAAGCTATTATACACTGGTTCTGAGTGTGTACTAATCATTGGTGGTACAAAATGCCAACCTGGTCTTCTGGTCGGAACAAGGGCTTATGGAGGTCATGTGATACATGGATTCTTGGCCTCAGTCCATCACTGGACAGTGGGTCCAATGAATCTAGTTATTTCCCTTGTTCCTGCATATATAGTTAAAATAGACATACTTAGTCATTGACTGAACCCCTTCCATTGGCTGCATGATTCACCATTGTTTAGTGTCTCTCCTTCACCCACTCCTATGGCCTCTGTGGCTTCATGACATGGATGACCTGGAGAAGAGATACGTAGATGGGCCTCTTGGAATGGGCATAGAGTATGAAGGCAATCATGTCCCACAAAAATACCCAACAGAGGTCATCCACTGCAGATGAGTCACTCAGTGATCAGGTGGACAAGATGACTGGATGTGCAGATGTCAGTTGGCCTCCTTCCCCAGCCCCTCCAGTTGTTGCTCAATGGACCAGGTACAAAGTGTCAAGATGGAAGAGATGGAAGCTGCACACAAGCTTAACAACATCTATATCCTCTCACCAAAGCTTATTTGGCTACCACCACTAGTGAGTGCCCAGCTGCCAACTGCAGAAGCCAAGGATGAGTCCCCAGTATGGCACCATTCCCCAGAGAAACTAGCCAGGAATCTCTGGTGGTAACTGATTTAATAGGAACCCTTCCTTCATTGAGGACAGAAAGTGCTCTCATGGGAATAGATATGTTTCCAGAGTTTTTTTCCTTGTTCCTAATGCTTCTACCAGAACCATGTCATTTTTTTTTTTTTTTTTTGAGACAGGGTTTTGCTCTATCACCCAGGCTAGAGTGAAATGTTGTAATCATAGCTCACTGTAGCTTCCAATATGAGCCCTCCTGGCCTCAAGATATTCTCCCACCTTAGCCTCCAGAGTAGCGGGGACTACAGGCACATGCCACAATGCCTGGCTAACTTTTTAAATTTTTTATAGAGACAGGATCTTGCTGTGTTGCCCAGGCTGGTTCAAACTCCTTTCTTTTCATGGTTAGTGGTCAGAATGAGTAGAGACTAGCATTGAAGCTGGAAAAGCTGGAAAGCACGTGTGGATTGCCTCAAGCAATCCTCCTGCCTAGGCCTCTCACAGCCGTGGGATTACAGGCAGGAGCCACTGTACCCAGCCAAGAATGTCATCTTTACCAACATGGTATCCCATACATCTGACCAAGAGGCTAATTTTATAGTGGAAGAGGTGTGGCAACAGGCTCATACCATGAGATTTATGTTAACCTTAGGATATATGTTATCACCCAGAAACAGCTGGCTTGAGAGAATCACCTATGAAGGTCATGGTTACTGAGAGAATGACCTGCTGAAGGTCAGTTATGGTGCCAGCAGAAATACAGCACCCTAACAAATGGAAGAGCAGTACATTCTTTACATCAGCAACCAATATATGACATTATTTTCTCTACAGCAGGGACACACAAGCATAGAAAGGAGGAGGGTGGAGTAAGAGAGGCCCCTCTCATGAATGCATCTAATAATCCAGTTAAAGAATATTTGCTTCTTGTCCCCACTGTCTTATTCCTTGCAGGTTTAGAAGCCTTAGTTGCTAAGGGAGAAAATGCTTCCAATAGGGAACATAGTTGCAGACTCGTTAAGTTGGAAGCTAAGACTGCTCAGTTGCCATTTTGTTTTCCTCATGCCGCTGAGCCAATAGGCAGAGATGTGGGTTACTCTATCGGCTGGGATAACTAATTCTAATTATTAAGGGGAAAGTGAATTACTGGATGTTTTAGAACAACATAATTCCTAGAAACATTAAGGAGAAACTCTAATTTTTAGTCATCTTCAGTATATCAATTATTTTATTTTAAACTTTTTTTTGTGTGTGTGGAGACTGCGTCTTGCCATCTTGCCCAGGCTGGTCTCAAACTCCTGGCCTCAAGCTATCCTCCTGCTTCAGCCTCCCAAAGTGCTAAAATTACAGGCATGGACCACCATACCTGGCCCAGTTATTTTATTTTAAGTATGACTTGACAATCTAGGGACATGTGGTTTAACATGAAATGTGAGAAGTTGGAATTCTTTTCTAACCTTTGGTCTGGGGAAGGACCTTGAAAGGTTAGTCTAGCCTAGGGATAAAAGCAGAAAACTCAACCTTTTTATGGGTTACATGGGAAAGGTATCAGGGGAGTGGACAGGCTCAGTTTATGATCACTCTCTGAAATGACGAAGACTTCTCAAATAAAAGAAGTTCAAAAATGGAGTCACAGCTGGGCTTGGTGGCTCACGCCTCTAATTCCAATAACTGAAGAGGCTGAAGGAGGGCGGGTTGCTTGAGGCCCGGAGATTGAGGCCAGTTTGGGCAACATAGCAAAACCCCACCTCGCTTAAATCTCTCTTAAAAAAAAATTCCAGCCACTTAGCCAGGCTTGATGGTGCGTGCCTGTAGTTCCAGCTACTCAGAAGTCTGAGGTGGGAGGATTGCTTGAGCCCAGGAGTTCAAGGCTACCGTGAACCATGATCGGACCACTGCACTCCAGTCTGGGTGACAGAGCAAGACCCCGACTCTAAAAATAACAAAATAAAAATTTAAAAATGGAGTCAGATCAAGGAGAACTCAAAGACAGCAAAGAGGCTTACTACAGATACTCACTCTTATCCTGCTGGCCCTGTCGACCATTCTCAGGTTCTGCCGTGCTCCAGATTCTGGCAGAATTAGGTCAGACGGCGGTGGAATATAGGACTGCAGACTTAAAGATGATAATAACATTCCATCGTTTAATAAAAATAGCTCCATGCTGGAAGAAATGGAAAACACGCACCATTGAGAAATTTTCTGTTGGAACTTACCTAAGATGGAAGGTGTCCAGGATGCAGACGTAAATGCAAGTCTGGAGTTCTGGACCCTACACTGGTGGTTGATGGTCGTTAGCACAGAAATAAGGCAACAACAATGAAGTTAGTGCTCAGGCCTCACTTTCACGGTCTTATGTGAAGTCTTTGTTCAACTACTAGATGACATCAATTTTAGACATGACAGATCACCTTTTGACTCCAATTTGGTGGCTAATAGTACAGGTAATATTTACTACCTCTGGACCCTCATCCTACTGACAGCTACTCCTTCATATTTTATAAAACAAGAAGACCCTGGAGTGGAGCTATGATGAGGGTCTGTTAGAGATGGTGGATTATAAATAAGAATCACAATTTTTCAGCCAGGCACGGTGGCTCACACCTGTAATCCCAGCACTTTGAGAGGCTGAAGTGGGTGGATCCTTTGAGCTCCGGATTTAAGACCAGCCTGGGCAACATGGCAAAACCCGTTGCTACCAAAAATACAAAAATTAGCTGGGCGTGGTGGCACGCCTGTGGTCTCAGCTACATGGGACACTGAGGCAGGAGGATTGATTGAGCCCGGGAGGTTGAGGCTGCAGTGAGCTGAGATCACACCACTGCACTCCAGCCTGGGCAACAGAGCAAGACCCTGTCTCAAATTAAAAAAACAAAAAAGAGAGAGAGAAACTGAAAGCAAACAAAAAATTTAAAACTGAATGTGAAAGGGCAGAGGGGAAACAAACAAACCAAACCAAAATAAACAATTCAACGATTTCCACAGAACAGCTCTAGTGGCCTGTACTGGGTATACAGTGCCAGGGTTATTAGCAGGACTGTAAGAGAATTCCTCCAAATTTTACAAAACTTTCAGTTTAAAGCTTTCTCTTATTATTTGACAAGAGCTCTTCAACTTCTCACTACAGGGCAGTGTTACATCATTTATAGAGGCTGTTGCACCAAGTTTCATTACCATGGGAGAGGCAATGCAATTTTGGCCAATTTTCCTTGTATTTTTTTCCCTCAACAAATAGCTACTCATACACACCATATTTTAATAGAAAGCCTCAGTCCTTGTCATCAGAACCTTCTTAGAAGTTTCTATTAGAGATATGCTTTTGGCCCACGTGAAGATGAAGTGCTGATTCCAAGCTCTAAGGTGTTTCAGAATGTCACCCTTAAAAACAATAATAATGTTAACTTTGAAAAAATAAAGCCAGTAATTTCTACTGCTTCTCAGTTCAAGTGAGTCTGGGTCTGCTGATGTCCTGGAATAGGGAGCAGGGCACCGGCACAGAGCCATGAGGCAATTTAGCAGTCCAGTAAAGCTCCCAACCTCTGCTATGCAGAAAGGCCAGAAGGATCTGTTGGGCACCAGGCAGAACGAGTTATGAAAACTACTGCCACGTTGGGGGACACATCAGAGGGCCAGGAGAATGGGCAGACCTGGTTCCGGGCAGAAGGCTGTGGCTGCTGCAGAAATTGGGGCAAGAGATGAGGGTGCCTGAACTCAGCAGGTGGCCATGGTGATGGAGGCAGGCTTGGGAACTGGTGCTCTCTATGAGGTGCTCTAGGAGGTAGAGAGTGGAAGCTGGGCAGACTGAGAGGGGTGGTCAGAAAACAGATTGATGGGCCTTGAGATTTCAAAGGTGGAGTAATTTCAAGTTCTGATTAGATTGTAGAATACGTCCATGGAAGTTTGTTCTAAAATTTCTCTGGAAAATATAGGAGCATTCCATACACAGAAAAACAAAAACTTAAGGTGTGATTCCAGGGGAACTTTGAGCTTTCGAAAGGAACTTTTGTAGGCTTGCAAAATTCCTATCGGGCCTTACTGGAAACAGGATGGTCAGGTAAATAGGCCAGCAGAGGAAAGATGCCACCTCACATCTGGAGCAAATGATTCCCACCAGATCCTGGTAGCTTCACCAAGAGTAAGTACACCAGTCAACCTGTGAGTAGAACACATATTTTGCAAAGCCATGTTGGGTGGAGAATGTCACAAAAAATAGCGTTTCCAGAGCCAGAGATACTTTCAGGGGTGGAGAAAGACAAGCACAGAGGGTTCCCCTAATGGCCAGAGGACCGCCAGGCCCAGATAGGAAAGGTCTTTCTCACATAAGGAGCAGCACCCGGGGTGCCAAGGTCATTCAGAGCTGAGGACTTGCAGCCCTAAGCACAAAGGCCTACAGGTGGAGGAACTGAGTTGTTCATCAGGCTTGACAGCTGCAGCAGTTTGAGACTTTCTTGGGTTGGAATTTCCAGTGGAGAGGAAAGGAACTAAAAGATAATATCCTTGGAATCTTTGGAGTGTCACAGGAATTCCCGGTGGTGAGAGTGGATTTCATATGAGAATGTAGAGGAGTGGGCCCGAAAGTCCCTCTGTCTGGTTTGTTTTTGATTTTTTTATTATTATTATTATAGAGACAGGGTTTCACTATGTTGCCTAGGCTGGTCTTGAACTCCTGACCTCAAGTAATTCCCCTTCCTTGGCTTCCCAAAGTGCTGTGATTACAGGTGTGAGCCACCAGGCCAGGCCTGGTTTATTGTCAGAAGGGTGGAGCTGGAAAGGTCTCATATGTCCATGTTCTGAGACATTTCTTCCCTTCACAGACACAAGAGAAGGCCTTGTGCTCCTGGTTCTCCTGCCTGATCTCCTGGTCTTGTTGCTTCCCACTAAGTGGAGCCCTTAACCTGCTTTCTGACTGCACATTTTCTATAGCGTAGAGCAGATATTAAAGGAAGGGTAAGGATCTGACTGCTTCCCAAGTTTGTTATAGCAAATACTAGGAAGCACGAGAAGTGGAATCTTTTCCTTGGTTCACAGTTACTGCTTTTTTTCTGCAAGGAAATCCAAAGGATCTCCTAATTGAATTCTAAGATTGTGTGACCTATTTCGAGATTTTTTTTTTTTTTTTTTTTTTTTGAGATGGAGTCTCGCTCTGTCGCCCAGGCTAGAGTGCAGTGGCACGATCTGGCTCACTGCAAGCTCCGCCTCCCGGGTGCAGGCCATTCTCCTGCATCAGCCTCCCAAGTAGCTGAGACTACAGGCACCCGCCACCATGCCTGCCTAATTTTTTTGTATTTTTTAGTAGAGACGGGGTTTCACCGTGTTAGCCAGGATGGTCTCGATCTCCTAACCTCATGATCCACCCACCTCGGCCTCCCAAAGTGCTGGGATTACAGGTGTAAGCCACTGCATCCTGCCCCCCTCCTTTTTTTTTTTTTTTGTGACAGAGTCTTATTCTGTCACCCAGGCTGGATAGCAGTGGCACAAACATGGTTCACAGCATCTTTGACCTCCTGGGCTCAGGTGATCCTCTCGCCTCAGCCTTTTGAGTAGGTGGACTACAGGTGTGTGCCAACATGCCTGGCTAATTAAAAAAATTTTTTTTTTGGAGATAGGGTCTCTATGCTGCCCAGGCTGGTCTCGACCTCCTGGGCTCAAGGAGTCTTCCTGCCTTGGCCTCCCAAAGTGCTGGGGTTACAGGTGTGAGCCACTGCGCCAGGCCTACTTTGAGAATTTCTAGTTAACATGACTTGTATTCTGTGTTTAAGTCCTTCAGTGTGATTAATAACCACGTACACTGTCAGCAATAGTTTAAATATATGTATTGTGATCATAAATGTTGTAAGTTGAAGAAATAAATGATCTGTAATAATGTTTCCCCTTCCTTGACTTGAGAGAATTCCATAGGCTGTGCTAGCTCCTGGCTAGGATTGTCCTCAGACCTACCTGATCCTTGAACTGGACACAGTAGTGATAGCTCATGTGACAGGTTTTTCACAGCTTTTCTTGATGCAGTGAATGCCCAGGTTAGACTGTCTAGACCAGGTTATTTTGACCTTGGCACTTTGGCATTTTGGATTAGATAATTCTTTTTTTTTTTTCCTTTTTGTGGAGAACAGGGTCTCACTATATTGTTCAGGCAGGTCTTGAACTCCTGGGCTCAAGCTATCCTCCCGCCTCTGCCTCCCTAAGAGCTGGGATTATAGGCGTGAGCCACTGTGCCCAGTGGGACTGGATTATTCTTTATCGAGGGGCTGTCATGTGCATTGTAGGATATTTGGCAGCATCCTTGGTCTATCCCCACTAGACTGCAATAGCATTCCTCCTTCCAAGTTGTGACAACCAAAAATGTCTCCAGACATTGCCAGATGTCCCCTTTTTGGCAAAATCACCCCTACTTAAGAACCACTATTTTAGACAAATCCATCTTCCTTCCCCACTGGATATATAATTGATCACAAAGTCTGTTGAATCCACATTCTTGAATTATCTTTCAAATCCATTTCCTCTTCTCTGTCGCCAGTGTTCCCAGTTTTCCAAGGGAATGCACAAGGCTCTTCTTAAGGTTTGGACGGAGTCCAGGTTTGGAAGAGTAACCCTGGAGCAAGGTATTAGCCAAGGCTGGGATTACAGTAGCCCATGCTGGCCACTGGGTGGTGTCAGTACAGCACCAAACCTGGAACCAAGAGGCGCGCTCAGAGCCAGGACCCTGCATTGCCCTAGAAGCAGCCGGACATGACACCACCCAGGCTAAGTCAGTAACATTTGGCACCATCTATCTACAGAGTGCCTACTGTGCACTGGGCACTCCAGAAGGTGCTTTACCCATAATAATAAGAAGCATAGTTAACCGTTATTGAACATTTCCTCCATGCTAGACCCTGGGTTCTGTGCTTTGCGTGGATTATATTCTTGAATTCTCACAACAATCCTAAGAAATAGGCAAGGCATATTTTGCCGGGCGCTGTGGCTCATGCCCGTAATCCCAGCACTTTGGGAGGGTGAGGCGGGCGGATCACGAGGTCAGGAGATCGAGACCATCCTGGCTAACATAGTGAAACCCCATCTCTACTAAAAATACAAAAAAATTAGCCGGGCGTGGTGGCAGGTGCCTGTAGTCCCAGCTACTCGGGAGGCTGAGGCAGGAGAATGGCGTGAACCCGGGAGGCAGAGCTTGCAGTGAGCCAAGATTGCGCCACTGCACCCCCAGCCTGGGTGACAGAACGAGACTCCCTTTCAAAAAAAAAAAAAAGAAACAGGCAAGTTCATTTATTTATTATCTCATTTCACAGATAAGAAAACAGAGGTACAGAGAAGTTAAGAAACTGGAAAAAAATCATATTTAATTCTTTCAAAAACGTTCAATAAATTCATTTAACTATTGGACATCTACTGTGTGCCATGTACTCTTGTAGATATGAGGGGTTTTTTTTTGTTTGTTTGTTTTTTTGAGACTGAGTCTCACTCTGTCACCAGGCTGGAGTGCAGTGGCGTGGTCTCGGTTCACTGCAACCTCCGCCTCCCTGGTTCTAGCGATTCTCCTGCCTCAGCCTCCCGAGTAGCTGGGACTACAGGCGCAGCCACCACGCCCGGCTAATTTTTTGTATTTTTAGTAGAGATGGGGTTTCGCCATGTGAGCCAGGATGGTCTCGATCTTTTGACCTCGTGATCCACCTGCCTTAGCCTCCCAAAGTGGTGGGATTACAGGAGTGAGCCATCACGCCCGGCCACGAAGTGATATTTTTAACCCCATATTATATGAGAGGAAGTAGATCTCAGAACATGAGTGTTATAGTCCAGGTTTGCACAGCTTGCTGAGTCAGTATTTTAACTCAGGGCTATGTGTCTGATTCCAGCACCTCCCTCTGCACCCGTATTAGAACACATTGAGAAGGCTCCCCAAGCCATGCCTCCTGTTGGCCTATCTCTCGCTGATCTGCTCCACAGTGGAACCCTCACATGCATCTACATGTTTCAGACAAGGCTCTGGGCACCCAAAGATTAACAAGACAGACCCAGAGCTTGCTTTCATAGAGCCCACAGTTAGGGGGTGCTCAGGGAAGACAGCTGTTCAAACAACTCATTCCAGAAGTTGTTATGTACAATTGTGCTGACTGCTAGAAAGGAAAAGCACGGGACAGGAAGTTGTGAAATAGTTTCAGGGAAGCCATACTTGTGTAGGAAGTCAGGTCGAACTTCATGGGAAAGGGGAATTTAGGCTGAGAGTTCAAAATTGAATAGCAGTTGATTGAGCAGTGAGTCATGGAGGAACTGTCTATACTAGAAATGAAAAGGCTTTGAGGCTGGGAAAGAACTTGGCCCTAATGGTCAGAAGGGTGAAGGGCAGTGAGCAAGGGATAAATAATAAAAATCATAATTCATAGAGGTAAGTGCAACTAATGTTTCCACGTGTCTTATTCTAACCAATTCTGGTTAAGAATATGGGTTCTGGAGCCAGACAGGCTGGGTTTGAATCCTAGCTCCACCATATTGGTTGTATGGCACTGGGCAAGTTCCACCTTCTCTGTGTCTCTATTTCATCATCTGTAAAATGGGAGCAAAATTGTCCCTATCTTTTCAGGCTGCTGTGAGAATTAAATGAGTTAATATACGTAAAGCACTTAGTAAAGCACCTGGCACATGGTAAGTGCTATTTTTTATTACTACTCTTATACAGTTTGATACATAGAAATTTACATTCGATACATACAAATTTATATTCTACTCTCGTTGTTTTACAAGAAAGCATCTCCCCATGTGGTTAAAAACTTCTTTGTAAATGCACACTGTGTATGATTACATATGTTTGTAAGAGCATGGAGGAAAGCTAAATGCCTCTCAGAGTGGTAACGTGGTTACTTCAAAGAGAAGAGGGTGGGAGGACTTCATCCACTTTTTCTTTATGCAACTCTTTATTGCTCCTCTGGGAACAAAAAAAAAGAGAAAAAACCACCTAAAGAATAGAACAGAGAGCCCAGAAACAGACCCACACATATATTTATGTGTGGGATTCATGACAAAGGTTCCATTCCAATTTATCAGTTATTTAAATAAATGGGTTGATGGGATAACTAAGCTGAAAAATTGAACCTTGACTCCTTCCTCGCAACTACCAGAAATTAATTTAGAATGGATCGTAGACTTAAATGTGGAAGCTAAAATAAAGCAATCAAGCCTCTAGGAGAATATGGGTGGAAAAGAGTTCCTAGACAGAACATAAGATTGATAAATTGGATTTTACCAAAATTAAGAACTTCTGTTCACCAAAAGACACCATTAAGAGAGCAAAAAGGGGCCAGGTATGGTGGCTCACGCCTGTAATCCTAGCACTTTGGGAGGCTAAGGTGGGTAGATCACCTAAGGTCAAGAGTTCGAGACCACCCTGGCCAACATGGAGATACCCCATCTCTATTAAAAACACAAAAATTAGCCAGGCATGTGGTGCATGCCTGTAATCCCAGCTACTCGGGAGGCTGAGGTGGGAGAATTGCTTGAATCCAGGAGGTGGATGTTGCAGTGAGCTGAGATCATACCACTGCACTCCAGCCTGGGAAACAGTGAGTCTGTTTCAAAAAAAAAAAAAAAAAGCGAAAAGGCAACTCATAGACTGGGAGCAAATATTTGCAGTACATATATCTGACAAAGGAATCATACTAGATATTTAAATAATATGTATGAAATATCATATGTAATATTCACGACATCAGTAGGAATATATATAAATATAGCATACATGTGAAAAATTAAACAGCAATGAGAATAGTGAACTACTAACATGATACATGAAAAATATGGATGAATCTCAAAGACAATGTTAAATGAAAGAAGCCAGACATACAAAAAGTGTATATTATGTGATTCCATTTATATGACATTTTAAAATAGGATAAACTAATATATGGTGGTAGAGATCAGAATAGCAGTTACTGTTGGAGTGGGTACTGATTAGTAGGAGGCACAAGGATGTCTTTTGGGGTGCCAGAAATGTTCTGTATTTTTTTGGTGGAGGGTGATGGAGTTTTGCCCTTTTTGCCCAGGCTGGAGTGCAATGGTGCAATCTCGGCTCACTGCAACCTCTGCCTCCCGGGTTCAAGCAATTCTCCTGCCTCAGTCTCCTGAGTAGCCGGGACTACAGGCACACACCAACATGCCCA
The DNA here is from genome assembly GCF_000001405.40 of Homo sapiens. Classification (NCBI taxonomy): domain Eukaryota; kingdom Metazoa; phylum Chordata; class Mammalia; order Primates; family Hominidae; genus Homo; species Homo sapiens. The sequence continues at coordinate 72,485,940 of NC_000011.10, forward strand.
GCTAATTTTTGTATTTTTAGTAGAAATGGGTTTTCACCATGTTGGCCAGGCTGGTCTCAAACTCCTGGCCTCCCAAAGTGCTGGGATTACAGGCGTGAGTCACCAGGCTTTGCCAACGTTCTGCATCTTGATCTGGGTGATAGTTCCACAGGTGCACACATAAGTAAAACGTTATTAACCTTAGGATTTCTACACTTTGCTGATGTAAGTTGTATTTCAATAAAAAGCCTTTTTGTTTTGAGGCGGAGTCTCGCTCTGTCGCCTAGCCTGGAGTGCAGTGGTGCGATCTTGGCTCACTGCGAGATCTGCCTCCCGGGTTCACGCCATTCTCCTGCCTCAGCTTCCCAAGTAGCTCGGACTACAGGCGCCTGCCACCACGCCCAGCTAATTTTTTTTGTATTTTTAGTACAGACGGGGTTTTACTGTGTTAGCCAGGATGGTCTCGATCTCCTGACCTTGTGATCTGCCCACCTCGGCCTCCCAAAGTGGTGAGATTACAAGCGTGAGCCATTGCGCCCAGCCTAAAAAGTCTTTTTAAAGTCTTAGAAATAAAATTCAAAGGTGAATAATTTAGTGTAAATCATAATTAACCACACAAAGAAATAAGGTATCATGGGCAAGGACTAGTAGAAATGAAAACAGAGAGATTCAGAAGACAAAAAATCCAGTAATGGAATTATCAGAGTTTATATAATAACATGCTCCATAAGTATAAATAAACGACAGAAATGCTTGAGAAGCATGTGTAGGAAATGAGAAACTATAAAGAATTGCAAAGCAGACTTGAAAAAGAGAAAAATAGACTTTCTAGACATAAAGTCATAAAATAATTATAATTGAAAACTCAGTATATAGAACTCCCTTTTCCCTGAAGATGAAATAGGTGTACTTTTCCCTATTCTTCCTGCCAAGTACAGCTAAAGTCCCTGTACATTATATGTAAAATAAACATTAGACTTTGGAAGATGTGCAGAAGAAGGGAGACCAGATAGGGACTTTGGGACTGAAGGAGTGACACAGTAATGAGTTCTCTACATTTTCTTCCTGCCTCATATATCCCAGACTTGGAAGTGAAGAAGCGAGCAGTTTGCAAATGCCAACATGCACAGACAAGGAAAGGCCCAACAAAGGCTTGCTCTTTCCAGCCAGAAGACCAGGAAAGGAGAACGCAGAAAGACAGAAAACTTCTAAACAGTAACTGCTATACTCTAGCCAAACACCAAAGAAAAACTGTGATTCCTCCACCACCCATGTCTGCAAAGGCCAAGTGGGGAGTGTAGATTTACACTACTCGACACTAATGAAGCACCCCAACCCCTGCGGGGTAATGTCAGAGAAGACTGAGTAGGGAGCTGGGACTCTCATCCCTGCTAGATAGTAACAAGTTTCCCTCCCCACTGCAGTGTCAGTGAGGACCACGTTGGGAGTCATACCTGGCAGTCATGAGGAGCTCTTCTCCTTATGTGTCAATGGAGGCTGGGTGGAGAACTTGCACTTCTAGCCCTGACTGGTAATAATCAGGTGGTGCCACCCTGTTATCCCCTGCTGGAGTGGTTATTTAAAAAACAGCTAAAACAGATAATTTAAATACAATTCAGATTCTTATAACATAATATCTAAAATGTACAGGTTTAATAGAAAGCCACTTGCTGTACTATGTTAGTCTGCTCAGGCAGCCGTAACAAAATACTATAGACTGGATGGTATTTATTTATTTCTCAGAGTTCTGGAGGCTGAAAAGTCTCCAGATCAAGGTGCCAGCCCAATCAGTTCCTAGTGAGGGCTGTCTTCCTGGCTTTCAGACGACAGCCTTCTCACTCGGTCCTCATGTGGCCTTTCCTCTCTGCTCACAAGAGGAAACAGACAGCAAGTTCTCTGCTGTCTCTTGTTATAAGGGCACTAATCTCATCAGACAAAGGGCCCATCCTCATGACTACATCTAACCCTAATTATCTCCCAAAGGCCCCATTTTAAAATACCAGCACATTGGGGGTTAGGGGTTCAACATGTTAATTTGTAGGACTCAAACATTTAGTCCATGACACAAACCAAAAACCAGAAAGATCCTAAACTTAATCAAAATGGACAATGCATAGATGCCATCAGCAAGATGACAGAAATGTCAGAATTATCTGATAAAGATTTTAAAGCAGTATTGTAAAAATCACTTAATGAGAAATTATGAACACACTTGAAACAAATGAAAAAATGGACTGTCTAAGCAGACAGATAAAAGGGGAAGGAACAAATGGAAATTTTAAAATGGAAAAGTACAATGACTGAAATAAAAACACTCAGTGGATAGACTCAACAACAGAATAGAGGAGACAGAAAAAAAACCAGTGAACTGGAAAATAGAACATCAAAAATTGCCCAATTGTAACAACAGTGAGAAAATAGACTGAAAAAAACATTAACATGGCCTTAGAGACCTGTGAGACCCTAGCAAAAGATGGAACATTGCTGTCATACAGCCCCAGGAGAGGAGAAAGAGAGTGAGGCTAAAATGGTATTGAAGACATAATGGCTGAAAATTCCCCGAATTTGGCAAGAGACATAAACCTACAGAGTTAAAAAGCTGAGAAAAACCCACACAGGATAAATCTAAAGAAATCCACATCATGGCACATTAAAGCCAAATTTCTGAAAACTGAAGACAAAGAAAAAATCTTGCAAGGTACAGTGGCTCATGCCTGTAATCTCAGCACTTAGGGAGGCCAAGGTGGGAGGACGGCTTGAGACCAAGAGTTTGAGACCAGCCTGGGCAGCATAGCGAGACCCTGTCTCAATTTAAAAAAGAATATATATATAAAATATATATGTGTGTGTGTGTGTGTGTATGAATAAAAAAAGTAAAAACAATCTTGAAAGCAGCAAGAGAGAAATAACATCTTGTATATAGGGCAAAAATAATTCAAATGACTGCCAATTTCTCATCAGAAACAATGGAGGCCAGAAGAAAATGGCACAACCTTTTTCAAGTGCTGAAAGAAAAGAACTGTTGACCTAGAATCTTATATCCAGTGAAAATATCATTCAGGAATGAAGTAGAAATCAAGACATTTATGAACAAAGGAAAATAAAGGAAGCAAAGGAGAATTTGTTTCCCGTAGACCACTAAAAGAACAGTTAAAAGAAGTTCTCTAAACGTAAAGGAAACAATAAAAGAGGAAATCGTATAACATCAAAATGGAAGAATAAATGTGGTATGGGAAAATTTGGGCAAATAAATACAAACACTTATTCTCCTTTTGAATTTTCTAAAGTGTGTTAGATAGTTGCAGCGAAAATTGTAACACTGCCTGATACGGTCCTAAATGCAGAGAAAGGAAATTTTTAAGACAATTGTATCATAAATGGGGGATTAAATGAATTTAAAGGGAGGTAAGATTTCCAGTTTCATTCAAACTAGTGAATGATAACCTAGTAGACCGTGATAATGTACATATGTATAATATCTACAGCAATAACTTAAAAAGCCATACAAAGACATACAGTAAAAATACTACAGACAAATAAAAACAGAGCTCTAAAAAATGTTCAAGTAACACACAGGAAAGCAGGAAAAACAAAACAGAGAGAAAAAATAGAAAACAAGAAACAAAATAGCAGAATGAAGCCTTAACATACCAAGAAATGCATTAAATGTAAATGATTTAACTCACAAATCACCACTAAAGAACTTGTTCATGTAACCAAATACCACCTGTTCCCCAAAAACCTATGGAAATAAAAAAAATATTATTAAAAATAAATAAGTACATTTCACCAAAAATGTAAATGATTTAAATATAGCAATTAAAATACAGAAATTGGCAGACTAAATTAAGAAACATGACCTAACTATATGTTACCTACAAAAACTTCACTTCAAATATAAAACACAGGCAGGTTGAAAATGAAAGGATGGGAAAAAGAGATAGCATGAAAACACTTATCAAAAGAAAGTAGGAATAACTACTAATATCAGATAAAGATGACCTCAGAGCAAAGAAAATTACCAGAGACTGAGAGGAACGGGGTACCCTACAACACGGCTGATCAGTATTTTTCAATGCTCGCAAGATAATCAAAAAACAAAGACAGTCTGAGAAACTGTCACAGCCAACAGGAGCCTAAGAAGCTATGACAACTAAATGTATTGTGATATTCTGGGTGGGATCCTGAAACAGGAAAAGGTCATCAGGTAAAAATTACTGAAATCTGAATAAACTATGGACTTTAGTTCACAATCATGTATCAATATTGGTTCATTAATTGTGGCAAATGTATCATACTAACAAAGATGTTCATAATAAGACAACTTTTGTGCAGAGGACGTGTGGGAACTCTTTGTACTATCTGCTCAATTTTTCTGTAAATCAAAAACTGTTATATTTAAAAAAAAAGTATTTGGCTGGGCACAGGGGCTCACATCTGTAATCCCAGCACTTTGGGAGGCTGAGGCAGGCAAATCACTTGAGGTTGGGAGTTCGAGACCAGCCCGGCCAACATGGTGAAACCCAGTCTCTACTAAAAATACAAAAAATTAGCCAGGCGTGGTGGGGCATGCCTGTGATCCCAGCTACTTGGGAGGCTGAGGCACGAGAATCACTTGAACCCAGGAGGCGGAAGTTGCAGTGAGCCGAGATCTAGCCACTACACTCCAGCCTGGGCAACAGAGCAAGATTCTGTCAATAAATAAATAAATAATAAATAAGAATTAATTTTTTAAAAATAACAAGTGATCTCTTAGATATTAAGAAAAATGATGGCCAATATAAAAGTAATCAAAGTAGAAAATGCTGAAATACTGCCATTAGCTTATTAAGTTTAATGTTCACATACCTTCTGCTAAAGCAATTGTGATCCTAGATATTTTCTAGGATTCAGGTACTGGAATGTTATAGCAGCAAAACCCTGGAAATAAGCAAATGCCCATCAACAGGAGAATGGATAAATATGCCATTGTGATGTTTAATGTTATGTATTCTCCTGACTGGGCCATGGGGAGCCCAGATATTTGGTCAAATATTATTTTGAGTATTTCTATAAGGGTGTTTCTGGATGAGATTAGCATTCAAATCAGTAGACTGAGTAAAGCAGACTGTCTTCCCTAATGTGGGTGGGCCTCAAACACAAAGGCTGATTCTCCCCCAGTCAGAGAGAATTCTTTCCTGCCTGGCTGCCTTTCAGCTGAGATATCAGGTTTTCCATGTATTTGGACTTAAAGTGAAACATCAGCCATTCCTAGGTCTTGAGCCCGCCAGCTCAGACAGGAATGACAACATCAGTGCTCCTGGTTCTCAGGCCATTGGACTCAGACTGAAACAAAACCATTGGCCCACCTCCATAATCACATGAGCCAAATTCCTTATAATAAATCTATCTATTTATACTTACACATTCTATTGGTTGTGTTTCTCTGGAAACCCTGACTAATACAGTCACATTATATCAAATCAGATGGAGACGTTTCAAAAAAGGAAAATTACAGGACCACTCCATTCATGAATATGGATATAAAAAGTCCTTAAAATATTAGCAAATCTAAGCCAAAGGGAGTAAAAAAGCAATCATACCATTGCTTAATTGAATTTAACCCAGCTATGCAAAACTGGTTTAATATTAGAAAATCCACATATGTAAATCATTTTATAAACTGATTAAAAGAAAAAACCATATTATAATGTCAATTGATTCAGAAAAATCCTTTGATAAAATCCAACTCTCGATCATTATAAGTAGTTATGGAAAATTAAGAAGAGAAGAGAAAATCTGCAACCTAATAAAGAACAGCTATTAAACACACACACACACACACACACACACACACACACACACACACACCCCTAGAGAAATCTGATACTAAATGGTGAAACATTAGAAGCATTCCTTTGAAGTCAGCATGTCTACTAATGCCACTTTTATTCAATGTGGTATTGGAGATTTACACTGGAGAGTCGAGCCTGTACAATACAACAAAGAAAAACGATATTAGAGGCTGAGCACAGAAGCTCATGCCTGTAATCCAGTACTTTGGGAGATTGAGGCCAGAGAATGACTTGAGCCCATGAATTTGAGACCAGCCAGTAATATCTTTTTTTTTCTTTTCTTTTCTTTTCTCTTTTTTTTGAGATGGAGTCTCCCTTTGTCACCTAGGCTGGAGTGCAGTGGCATGATTTCGGCTCACTGCAACCTTGACCTCCCAGGTTCAAGCAATTCTCCTGCCTCAGCCTCCCGAGTAGCGGGATTACAGGCACCTACCGCCACACCCAGCTAATTTTTTGTATTTTTAGTAGAGACAGGGTTTCACCATGTTGGCCAGGCTGGTCTCGAACTCCTGATCTCAAGTGATCTGCCTGCCTCAGCCTCCCAAAGTGCTGGGATTACAAGCATGAGCCACCATGCCTGGCCAACATAGTGAGATCTTATTTTTACAAAAAGTAAAAAAATTAGTGGGGCATGGTGGAACACACTCTTAGCTACTAGGGAGGCTGAGGTAGGAGGATCACTTGAACCCGGGAGGTCAAGGCTGCAGTGAGCTGTGATTGCACCACTGCATGCCAGTCTGGGTGATAGGGCAAGACCCTGTCTCAAAAAGAAAAAAAATGATTGGCTGGGCGTGGTGGCTCACGCCTGTAATCCCAGCATTTTGGGAGGCTGAGGCAGGCATGTCACTTGAAGTCAGGAGTCTGAGACCAGCCTGGCCAACATGGTGAAACCCCGTCTCTACTAAAAATACAAAAATTAGCCAGGTGTGGTGGTGGGCATCTGTAGTCCCAGCTACTTCGGAGGCTGAGGCAGGAGAATCACTTGAACCTGGGAGGCAGAGGTTGCAGTGAGCCGAGATCACACCAGCCTGGGCAACAGAGCAAGACTCCATCTAAAAAAAAAAGATATTAGGGACAAAGTATTGGAAATGAGACATAAAATGTCATTGTTGAAAAATAACAAATCCAAACAAATATACAGATAAATTATTAGAAATATTTATAGCTGGTTATAGATTACCAAGCCAGTTGTATTTCTATATAACAGCAGCAAACGACTAAGAATACAATTAAAACTAAAAATAGGTCAGGTGCGGTGGCTCATGCCTGTAATTCCAGCACTTTGGGAGGCCAAAGCGGGCAGATCACAAGGTCAAGAGAACGAGACCATCCTGGCCAACATAGTGAAACCTCATCTCTACTAAAAATACAAAAATTAGCTGGGTGTGGTGGCGTGTGCCTGTAGTCCCAGCTACTTGGGAGGCTGAGGCAGGAGAATAGCTTGAACCCAGGAGGCGGAGGTTGCAGCGAGCAAAGATCACGCCACTGCACTCCAGCCTGGCAACAGAGCGAGACTCTGTCTCAAAGTAATAATAATAATAATGATGATGATGATGATATAGGTGTATCAGAGAATATCAAGTCCCTAGGAATAAATCTACCAGGTCTTCAAGATCTCTACAGACAAAATTTTAAGGATGTCAGTTCTCCCCAGATTGATCTGTAAGTTCGATGTGATTCCAGTAAATATCCCAACAGAGTTTTCATGGAACTTGGTAAGGTGCTTTTAAAATTGCTGTGGAAGAGTAAGGGCCAAGAATTGCCAGGGAATTTCTGTAGCTCAAAGAAGGGAGATGGTGCTTGGGACGAGAGAACCAGCTGGGGGCAGTGGCTCAATCCTGTAGTCTAAGCTATTCAGGGGGCTGAGGCCAGAGAATCCCTTGAGCCTAGGGGATCAAGGCTGCAGTGAGCTATGATTGCGTCACTGCACTCCAGCCTGGGCTGACAGAGCAAGACCCTGTCTCTAAAATAAAATTTAATTTTTAAAACAGAAGAGAACCAGAGGTCCACAACAGGTCCATTCCCAAATCCCCTGAGGGACTTCTTTCAGCTGACAAATTTTTGGACTTCTGGATTGCAAACCAGGATAGCATCTCCCTTTGTAGTGTGGAAGTACTCAATACTAATTTCACCTTATTAGAGAAATGAAGTTGGAAAAGGAGAGGAGAAGATCAAAAGAAATGTCATCCTACCCACAGCTCTGAGCATACAGCAAAACCTCAAATGAGCCAAAATCTCCTGCTTGTGGTTTCCATCTGCTGTGTGGAGTTAAGGCTTGCTGGCTATGTATCTGTCAAAAAGTTTGCACAAGTGTGGGAGAGAGATAAAGGCAATGCTGTCAGTATTTATAAAAGAATCAACTCAGAACATCATAAAAAAAGAAAATAATTTAAATTTCACTCATAAGTTCAAGCATCCCAGCAAAAAAAACTATTTTTTATATTCTCATGTTTCTTTATAGTCTAAATTTCTATATATAAATATAGACACATAATTTTTTGCATAGTCATCACTTTAAAGACTACATAATATTCATCCACTGTTTCTCTGGCTTTGGACATTTCTGCTGTTTTTGATTTTTTTTCACTGTTATAAAGAATGCTCTATAAACATTTTGTGCAGTCACGTTCTCTATCATTTCAGAACCATTTCAGGGTCAGAGACATTGAGAAGTATGCTAGGTTTCTAGTAATTACTTTTTCTCTTTTCCAAATATTCAGCAAGAAGCTCTACCTATTTCTCAACCTTTATAGATACCCTCTTCTATGGTTTACTTAATGTTATCTGCATAATAAATACAATTCCAGTTTCTAGAATCAATTCTGATCATTGAGAAGGGTTATTTAGCTAGCTCCAGTTCAACAGCCATTGATAGCACAAACATTAACTATCAACTATGAGATAAGCAAAATACCGAAGGCCGCCCTCCCAGGCAAATCTCCGAATTACTTAAGGTGGAGAATATTTTGTAAACTTTCATCTGTGATTATGTGCATTGAACTTATGACACACCTTTATTTTAAAGACTAAATCTTGGAGAAATAAGCCCAAATCTGGTAAGCCACCCTCTTCTGATGGAATGGTGTTGAGAGAGCAAGACCAGAGATTAAGATTCTTTTTCAATGGATGAGAGTAGTGGAAGTGATACGATAGAGTGTGGTGCAGAGGATTCCCCCAAAACATTTGAGCCCTGGTCACATGCTAGGCCTCATATGACTGAAATTACCTCTATTCCATTTGAAGAAGTCACTCTTTGACCAGACCCTCCTCCTTTAGCTTTCTCCAGGATAAGGAAATTGAGGCCCAGGCAGCTAAGCCTGGATCAGGAATAACCATTAACATGTATTGACCTTAGGGAAAAGATGTCTGCACTGGCTAGCTAGCTATTGGTTCACATCGAAGTAAAGTGCAAATAAGTAAGCCCAGTACATCTACCCAGAGCTCCCAAGTCAGTTCCTTATGGCCTTCTTCTTCTTTTTTTTTGTTTTTTTGTTTTTTTGTTTTTTTGAAACAGGATCTCACTATGTTGCCCAGGCTGATCTTAAACTCCTGGGCTGAAGCGATCCCCCTGTCTCAGCCTCCTGAGTAGCTGGGACTATAGGCATGCACCACCACACCCACTTTATTCTTTTTTTTTTTTTTTTTTCGAGACAGAGTCTTGCTCTGTCACCCAGGCTGGAGGCAGTGGCGTGATCTCGGCTCACTGCAAGCTCCGCCTCCCGGGTTCATGCCATTCTCCTGCCTCAGCCTCCCGAGTAGCTGGGACTACAGGTGCCCCCCACTGCACCCGGCTAATTTTTTGTATTTTTAGTAGAGACGGGGTTTCACCGTGTTAGCCAGGATGGTCTCGATCTCCTGACCCTGTGATCCGCCCGCCTCGGCCTCCCAAAGTGCTGGGACCGAGACCGGCCCGCTTTGTTCTTAAATATAAACAGATGACAAAGATCAGACATTTCTGGAATCAACATAAGCGTCTATCAACAGATGAATGGATAAAGAAAATGTGGTATATATATATATAACGGAAAATTATTCATCCTTAAAAAAGAATGCAATTTTGTCACTTGCAGCAACATGGATGGAACAGGAGATCATTATGTTAAGTGAAATAAGCCAGGCACAAAAAGACAAATATCACATGTTCTCATTTATATTTGGGAGGTCAAAAAGAGGGTCCCATGGAGATAGAGAGTAGAATGGTGGGGCCAGTCGTGGTGGCTCACACCTGTAATCCCAGCCCTTTGGGTGGCCAAGGTGGGTGGATCACGAGGTCAAGAGATCAAGACCATCCCGGCCAACCTGGTGAAACCTCATCTCTACTAAAAATACAAAAATTAGCTGGGCGTGGTAGCGCGTACCTGTAGTCTCACCTACTTGGGAGGCTGAGGCAGGGGAATCGCTTGAACCTGGGAGGCAGAGGTTGCAGTGAGCTGAGATCGTGCCACTGCACTCCAACCTGGCGACAGAGCAAGACTCTGTCTCAAAAAAAAAAAAAAAGAATGGTGGTTACCAGAGTACCAGAGGCTGGGAAGGGAAGGGGGAAGGGCAGACAAAGAGAAGTTGGTTACAGAGTACAAAAATACAGTTAAAATAAAGAAATAAGTTCCAGCATTTGAGAGCATAGTAGGGAAGTTATAGTTAACAATAATTTATTATATATTTCAAAACAGCTAGAAGAGAAGAATAGTCATGTTTACAACACAAAGATAAATATTTGAGGTGATGGATATGCTAATTACCCTGATTTGATCATTACACATTGTATACATCTATCAAAATATCACATGTACCCCCCAAATATGCACAACAATTATACATAAATTAAAAAAAAAATTTTAAGAGAATGACCAAGATCATATAAGAATAAGAGGTTATATAAAACAAAGGAAGTGGTGGGGGATGGTATTAATGGAAGAGGCAATGCATGTGTGGGATATGGGGTACACCGGCTATCTGTGCACCTTCCTCTCAATTTTTCTGCGAACTTAAAACTGCTCTGAAAAATAAGTCTTGGCCGGGCGCGGTGGCTCACGCCTGTAATCCCAACACTTTGGGAGGCCGAGGTGGGCGGATCACGAGGTCAGGAGATTGAGACCATCCTGGCTAACATGGTGAAACCCTGTCTCTACTAAAAATACAAAAAATTAGCGGGGCATGGTGGCAGGCGCCTGTAGTCCCAGCTACTTGGGAGGCTGAGGCAGGAGAATGGCATGAACTCGGGAGGCGGAGCTTGCAGTGAGCCTAGATCGCGCCACTGCACTCCAGCCTGGGCGACAGAGCAAGACTCTGTCTCAGAAAAAAATAAAAAATAAAAATAAAAATAAGTCTTTAAAATGTTGAGGGACAGGGAGCAGCAGAAAGGAACAATCAGAAGCCAAGATGAGTTATTGGATATTAAAAATATTTGCCAAGTTTTTAATGAGTTTAATAGAAGAGCAGAAGATAAATGCATATCAGTCTCCTTGAAGGTAGAACAAAGACAAGGAATCAGAAAATATGAGAGAAGGAAAATAGAAATAAAGATCAATCCAGAAGGTACAACCTCTAATAAAAAGAACTTCTTTTTTTTTTTTTTCTTTTTTGAGACGGAATCTCGCTCTGTTGCCCAGGCTGGAGTGCAATGGCACGATCTTGGCTTACTGCAACCTTCGCCTCCCGGGTTCAAGTGATTCTCCTGCCTCAGCCTCCCAAGTAGCTGGGATTACAGGCGCCCGCCACCGTGCCCAGCTGATTTTCGTATTTTTAGTAGAGATGGGGTTTCACCAGGTTGGCCAGGCTGGTCTCAAACTCCTGACCTCAGGTGATTCACCCTCCTCGGCCTCCCAAAATGCTAGGATTACAGGCATGAACCACCACGCCTGGCCAAAAGAACTTCATAAAAGAGAAAACTAAAGACAAGAAATCATCAAAGGATAAAGACAAGAAATTTTCCTAGATGTTAAAAACCAAGTCTCCAGATTAAAAAGGTCCACCAATTTCCCAGGACAAAGATAAAAGACCCATATCTAGATATATCATTGTGAAATTTCAGAAACCCAAGGATAAAGACAATAGTTTGGAAGCTTCCAGTGGGGAACAAGAGTGGGGAAAACAGATGACTTTCAGAGTCATGGGCTGGACGTAGAGTGCTTCAGATCTTCTCACACTCTCCGTTAAATCCAATCCATCACAGGGTCTTTGCAGCTGTCTTCTCTGCAAAGATTTGGTACAAGAGGATTAGGGAAAGAGCTACAATTCCTGCTGCTGCAGCTGGTCTCAAAGCCGTAATTGATATTTATCATCTCCCTATAATGCCCAACAATACAGTGTTATAATTATTGCTTTATACAATCATGTCTTTTAGAGAAGCTAAAAGGAGGAGGAAATATATAGGATTTTATATTAAGCTACATGTTTACCATTTATAGTACTCTTCATTTTTCTCTCTTTGAATTTGAGTTACCATCTAGAGTCATCTCCTTGCTCAAATGTTGCTTCATTCCCTCCCTCCTGCTTTGTGCTATTATTGTTACATATATTACATTTTAATGTTATAAGTCTAATAATACAACTTTATATTTATTGCTTTATGCAGTTGTCTTTTTTTTTTTTTTTTTTTTTTTTTTTTTTGAGATAGAGTCTCACTCTGTTGCCCAGGCTGGAGTTGGAGTGCAGTGGCGCCATCTTGGCTCACTGCAACCTCTGCCTCCTAGATTCCAACGATTCTCATGCCTCAGCCTCCTGTGTAGCTGGGATTACAGGCGTGTGCCAGCATGCTTGGCTAATTTTTTGTATCTTTAGTAAAGACAGGGTTTTGCTATGTTGGCCAGGCTGGTCTCAAACTCGTGGCCTCAAGTGATCTGCCCACCCCAGCCTCCCAAAGTGTTGGGATTAAAGGCGTGAGCCACTGCACCCGGCTGCAATTGTCTTTCAAATCATTACGGGAAGAAAAGAGAAAAATATGTTTATAACACCTTTGGTAATTACCTATATAATAAACTTTATTGGTGTTCTTTGTTTCTTCTCCTTTTGCTTTTGGTTCACAGCAAAATTGAGTGGAAGGTCCGGAGATTTCCCATATACCCCTCACTCTCCATGTATAGCCTCCCCCATTATCAACATCCCCCACCAGAGTGGTACATTTGTTTTAATTGATGAACCTATATTGACACATCTTTATCATCCACAGTCCATAGTTTACATTCCAGTTCACTCTTGATGTACATTCTATGGGTTTGGACAAATGTATAATGACATGTAACCACCATAAGTACCATACAGATAGTTTCGCTCTCCTAAATGTCCCTGTGCTTCACCTGTTCATCTCTGCCTCCCTCTCACCCTTGGCACATACTGATCATTTTACTGTCTCCATAGTTTTGCCTTTTCCCAAATGTCATATAATTGAAATCCTACACTATGTAGCCTTTTCAGATTGGCTTCTTTCACTTAGTAATATGCACTTAAGTTTCCTCCATGTCTTTTTATGGCTTTATAGCTCATTTCTTTTTTGCTGAATAACATTTCATGGTCTGAAATATCACAGTTTCTATCATGTGGCCTGAAATATCACAGTTTCCATTCACCTACTGAAGGACATCTTCATTGCTTCCAGGTTTTGGCAATTGTGAGAAAAGCTACCATAAATATCCACGTGCAGGTTTTTTTGTGGATGCAAATGTTCAATTACTTTGGGTAAATAGTAAGGTGCACAATTGCTGGATCATATGGTTAGAGTATGTTTACTTTTAGAAGAAACCATCAAGCTGTCTTCCAAAGTGGGTATACCATTTTGAATTCCCACAAGCAATGAAACAGAGTTCCTGTTACACCACATCCTTGCCAGCGATTGGTGCTGTCAGTATTTTGGATCTGAGCCATTCTAGTAGGTGTGTAGTGCTCTTTGTTTCTTCATGGGGATTGACATTATCATCTGAAGTCACTTCCTTTCATCTTCAAGACTTCTTTTAGTATTTCTTATCAGGTAAGTCTCCTAACAACAAATTATCTCAATTTTTGTTTATCTGGGAATTTATTCTTCATTTATTAACAAAGGATAGCTATTCTTTGTATGGAATGCTTGTTTGACAGTTTTTTTTCTTTTAGTACTTTTATTTTATTTTATTTTATTTTATTTTATTTTATTTTATTTTATTTTATTCTATTCTATTTTATTTTCAGATGGAGTCTCACTCTGCCTCCCAGGCTGGAGTGCAATGGCGCAATCTCCACTCACTGCAACCTCCACCTCCCAGATTCAAGCAATTCTCCTGCCTCAGCCTCCCGAGTAGCTGGGATTATAGGCACCTACCACCATGACCAGCTGATTTTTGTATTTTTAGTAGAGATGGGGTTTCACCATGTTGGTCAGGCTGGTCTTGAACTCCTGACCTCAGGTGATCCACCCACCTCGGCCTCCCCAAAGTACTGGGATTACAGGTGTGAGGCACTGCAGCTGGCCTCTTTCAGTACTTTTAATATGTCACATGTCATCCCACTGTAGTATAGTTTGAAGTTGGGTAATGTGATGCCTCAGCTTTGTTCTTTCTGCTTAGGATTGCTTTGGCTATTCAGGATCTTTTTTTGTTCCATCAATGTTTTAGAATTTTTTTTCTAAATCTGTAAAGAATGTCATTGGTATTTTAATAAGAATAGCATTGAATTTGTAAATTGCTTTGGGTAGTATGGCCTTTTTTTTTTTTTTCTTTTTCTTTTTGAGACAGAGTTTCACTCTTGTTGCCCAGGCTGGAGCACAATGGCGCAATCTTGGCTCACTGCAACCTCCACCTCCTGGATTCTCCTGTCTCAGCCTCCTGAGTAGCTGGGATTACAGGTGCCTGCCACCACACCCAGATAATTTTTGTATTTTTAGTAGAGATGGGGTTTTGCCATCTTGGCCAGGCTGGTCTCAAACTCCTGACCTCAGATGATGCACATGCCTCGGCCTTCCAATGTGCTGGGATTACAGATGTGAGCCACCACATCTGGCCAGTATGGCCATTTTAACAATATTGGTTGTTCTGATCCATGAGCATGGAATGTTTTTCCATTTGTTTGTGTTGCCTCTGATTTCTTTCAGTAGTGTTTTGTAATTCTCATTGTAGAGATCTTTCACCTCCCTGGTTAGCTGTTTTCCTAGGCATTTTATTCTTTTTGTGGCTATTGTGAATGGGATTGTGTTCCTGATTTGGCTGTCATCTTGGATGTCATTGGCCTATAGAAATGCTACTGATTTTTGCACATTGCTTTTGTATCCTGAAACTTTGCTGAAGTTGATTATCACATCTAGGCACTTTTGGACAGAGACTATGGGGTTTTCTAGGTGTAGAATCATATCATTTGCAAAAAGAAATAGTTTGACTTTTTGTCTTCTTATTTGGATGGCTTTTATTTCTTTTTCTTGTCTAATTGCTTTGGCTAGGACTTCAAGTACTATGTTGAATAGGACTGATGAGAGTGGGCATCCTTGTCTTGTTCCAGTTCTCAAGGGGAATACTTCTAGGTTTTGCTCATTCAGTATGATGTTGCCTGTGGGTTTGTCATAGATGGCTCTTATTATTTTGAACTATGTTTCTTCAATGCCTAGTTTGTTCAGGGTTTTTAACATAAAGGAATGTTGAATTTTATCAAAAGCCTTTTCTGCATCTATTAAGATGATCATGTGTGTTTTGTTTTTGTTTCTGTTTATGTCATGAATTACATATAATGATTTGCATATGTTGAACCAACCTTGCATCCCAGAGATAAAGCCTGCTTGATTGTGGTGGATTAGCTTTTTTTTTTTTTTTCATTTATTTTTTTATTGATAATTCTTGGGTGTTTCTCACAGAGGGGGATTTGGCAGGGTCATGGGACAATAGTGGAGGGAAGGTCAGCAGATAAACAAGTGAACAAAGGTCTCTGGTTTTCCTAGGCAGAGGACCCTGCGGCCTTCCGCAGTGTTTGTGTCCCTGATTACTTGAGATTAGGGAGTGGTGATGACTCTTAATGAGCATGCTGCCTTCAAGCATCTGTTTAACAAAGCACATCTTGCACCGCCCTTAATCCATTTAACCCTGAGTGGACACAGCACATGTTTCAGAGAGCACAGGGTTGGGGGTAAGGTCACAGATCAACAAGATCCCAAGGCAGAAGAATTTTTCTTAGTGCAGAACAAAATGAAAAGTCTCCCATGTCTACTTCTTTCTACACAGACACGGCAACCATCCGATTTCTCAATTTTTTCCCCACCCTTCCCGCCTTTCTATTCCACAAAGCCGCCATTGTCATCCTGGCCCATTCTCAATGAGCTGTTGGGCACACCTCCCAGACGGGGTGGTGGCCGGGCAGAGGGGCTCCTCACTTCCCAGTAGGGGCGGCCCGGCAGAGGCGCCCCTCACCTCCCGGACGGGGCGGCTGGCCGGGCGGGGGGCTGACCCCCCACCTCCCTCCGGGACGGGGCGGCTGGCCGGGCAGGGGGGCTGACCCCCCCACCTCCCTCCCGGACGGGGCGGCTGGCCGGGCGGGGGGCTGACCCCCCCACCTCCCTCCCGGATGGGGCGGCTGGCCGGGCAGAGGGGCTCCTCACTTCCCAGTAGGGGCGGCCGGGCAGAGGTGCCCCTCACCTCCCGGACGGGGCAGCTGGCCGGGCGGGGGGCTGACCCCCCACCTCCCTCCCGGACGGGGCAGCTGGCCGGGCAGAGGGTCTCCTCACTTCCCAGTAGGGGCGGCCGGGCAGAGGCGCCCCTCACCTCCCAGACGGGGCGGCTGGCTGGGCGGGGGGGCTGACCCCCCACCTCCCTCCCTGACGGGGCGGCTGGCCTGGCGGGGGGCTGACCCCCCACCTCCCTCCCGGACGGGGCGGCTGGCCGGGCGGGGGGCTGACCCCCCACCTCCCTCCCGGACTGGGCGGCTGGCCGGGCGGGGGGCTGACCCCCGCCACCTCCCTCCCGGACGGGGTGGCTGCCGGGCGGAGACGCTCCTCACTTCCCAGATGGGGTGGCTGCCGGGCAGAGAGGCTCCTCACTTCTCAGATGGGGCAGCTGCCGGGCGGAGGGGCTCCTCACTTCTCAGACGGGGTGGCTGCCAGGCGGAGGGTCTCCTCACTTCTCAGATGGGGCGGCCGGGCAGAGACGCTCCTCACCTCCCAGACGGGGTCGCGGCTGGGCAGAGGCGCTCCTCACATCCCAGATGGGGCGGTGGGGCAGAGGCGCTCCCCACATCTCAGACGATGGGCGGCGGGCAGAGACGCTCCTCACTTCCTAGATGTGATGGTGACCGGGAAGAGGCGCTCCTCACTTCCTAGATGGGATGGCGGCCGGGCTGAGACGCTCCTCACTTTCCAGACTAGGCAGCCAGGCAGAGGGGCTCCTCACATCCCAGACGATGGGCGGCCAGGCAGAGACACTCCTCACTTCCCAGACGGGGTGGTGGCCGGGCAGAGGCTGCAATCTCGGCACTTTGGGAGGCCAAGGCAGGCGGCTGGGAGGTGGAGGTTGTAGCGAGCCGAGATCACGCCACTGCACTCCAGCCTGGGCACCATTGAGCACTGAGTGAACGACATTCCGTCTGCAATCCCGGCACCTCGGGAGGCCGAGGCTGGCGGATCACTCGCGGTTAGGGGCTGGAGACCCGCCCGGCCAACACAGCGAAACCCCATCTCCACCAAAACCAGTCAGGCATGGCGGCGCGTGCCTGCAATCGCAGGCACTGGGCAGGCTGAGGCAGGAGAATCAGGCAGGGAGGTTGCAGTGAGCCGAGATGGCAGCAGTACAGTCCAGCTTCGGCTCCGCATGAGAGGGAGACCGTGGAAAGAGAGGGAGACCGTGGAAAGAGAGGGAGACCATGGAAAGAGAGGGAGACTGTGGGGAGGGGGAGGGGGAGAGGGAGAGGGAGAGGGAGAGGGAGAGCAGAGATGAGGTCTTGAGTGGTGGATTAGCTTTTTGATGTGTTGCTGGATTCAGGTTGCTAGTACTTTGTTGAGGATTTTTACATCTATGTTCATCAAGGATATTGGCCTGAAGTTTTCTTTTTTTGTGTGTCTTTGCCAGGTTTTGGTATCAGAATGATGTTGGCCTCAAAGAAAGAGTTAAGGCGGAGTCCTTCCTTCTCAGTTTTTTGGAATAGCTTCAGTAGGAATGGTACCAGCTCTTCTTCATACATTTGGTAGAATTTGGCTGTGAATTTCTTTGGTCCTGGGCTTTTTCTTGTTGGTAAGCTTTTTATTACTGATTCACTTTTGGAACTCATTACTGGTCTCCAAGGATTCAATTTATTCCTTGTTCAATCTTGGCAGGTTGCATGTTTCTAGGAATTTAACCATTTCTTCTAGGTTTTCTAGTTTGTGTGCACAGAGGAGTTCATTGCAGTCTCTGAGGGTTTTTTGTATTTCTGTGGGGTTTTTGGTAATGTCCCCATTGTCATTTCTGATTGTGTTTATTTGGATCTTCTCTTTTTTTCTTTATTAATCTAGCTAGTGGTCTATCAATCTTATTTATTCTTTCAGAAACCCAAGTCCTGGATTTATTGATCTTTTGAATGGTTTTCCACATCTCAATTTCATTCAGTTCAATGTCATTCAGTTCAGCTCTGATTTGGGTTATTTCTTGTTTTCTGCTAGCGTTGGGGTTGGTTTGCTCTTGTTTTTCTAGTTCCTCTAGGTGTGATATTAAGTTGTTAATTTGAGTTCTTTCTAGCTTTTTGATGTGGACATTTAGCACTATAAACTTTTCTCTTAACACTGCTTTAGCTGTGTCCCAGAGATTCTGATACGTTGTATCTTTGTTGTCACTAGTTTCAAATAATGTCTTTATGTCTGCCTTAATTTTATTTCTTACCCAAAAGTCATTCAGGAGCAGGTTGATTAATTTTCATGTAGTTTATGGTTTTGAGTGATCTTCTTAGTATTGATTTCTATTTTTATTGTGCTGTGGTCTGAGAGTGGTTGGTATGATTTCAGTTTTTTTGAATTTGCTGATAATTGTCTTATGGTTGATTATGTGAGCAGTTTTAGAGTATGTGCCATGTGCAAATGAGAAGAATGTATATTCTGTTGTTTTTGTGTGGAGAGTTCTGTAGATGCCTGTTAGGTCTATTTGATCAAGTGTTGAGTTCAGGTCCTGAATATCTTTGTTAGATTTCTGCCTCAATTATCTGTCTAATACTGTCAGTGGGATTTTGAAGTCTCCCACTATTATTGTGCGATTATCTAAGCTTTTTCCTAGGTCTCTAAGAACTTGTTTTATGAATCTGGGTACTCCTGAGTTGGGTGCATATATATTTATGATAGTTAGGTCTTCTTGTTAAATTGAACCCTTTACAATTATGCAATGCCCTTCTTTATCTTTTTGATTATTGTTTGTTTAAAATCTGTTTTATTTGAAATTAAAATAACAACCCCCACTTTTTTCTGTTTTCCATTTGCTTGGTAGATTTTTCTCCATCTCTTTACTTTGAGCCTATGTGTGTCATTGCATGTGAGATGGGTGTCTTGAAAACAGCATACCATTGGGTCTTCCTTCTTCATCCAACTTGCCACACCATGCCTTTTAACTGGGGCATTTAGCCTGTTTACATTCAAAATTAATATTGATATATGTGGGTTGGATCCTGTCATCATGTTGTTAGCTGGTTATTATGCAAACCTGATTGTGTAATTGCTTTATAGTGTCAATAGTCTATGTACTTATGTGTGTTTTTGTGTTAGCTGGTAACAGTCTTTCCTTTCTATATTTAGGACTTCCTTAAGGAACCTCTTGTTAGGCAGGTCTGGTGGTAACAAATTCCCTTAGCATTTGCTTGTCTGAAAAAGATCTTATTTCTCCTTCACTTAGAAACCTTAGTTTAGCTTGTGTATTAGGCCGTTCTTGCATTGCTATAAAGAAATATCTGAGACTGGGTAATTTATAAAGAAAAGCGTTTAATTCCCTCATAGTTCTGCAGGCTTTACAGGAAGCATGGTGCTGGCATCTGCTTGGCTTCTGGTGAAGTGTCAGAGAACTTTCCTTTTTTTTTTTTTTTTTTTTGGAGACAGAGTCTCACTCTGTCACCAGGCTGGAGTGCAGTGGCACAATCTCGGCTCACTGCAACCTCTGCCTCCCTGGTTCAAGCAATTCTCCTGCCTCAGCTTCCAAGTAGCTGGGACTTCAGGCACATACCACCATGCCCAGCTAATTTTTGTATTTTTAGTAGAGATGGAGTTTCACCATGTTGGCCAGGATGGTCTTGATCTCTTGACCTCGTGATTCACCCACCTCAGCCTCCCAAAGTGCTGGGATTACAGGCGTGAGCCACCGCACCCGGCCACCTCAGAGAACTTTCAATCATGGTGGAAGGCAAAGAAGGAACAAACATGTCACATGATAAAAGCAAGAGCAAATAAGGGGCAGGGCACACATTTTTAAATGACCAGATCTCCTGTGAACTCTGAGAAAGAGCTCACTTACCACCATGCAGATGGCCCAAGCCATTCATGAGGGATCAACCCTTGCAAACACCTCCCACCAGTTCACACCTTCAGCAGTGGGGATTACAATTCAACATGAGACTTGGTGGGGGGACACACATCCAAACTATATTAATCCACCCCTGGTCTCTTCCAAGTCTCATGTCCTTCTCACATTGGGAAATACAATCATGCCTTCCCAACAGTCCCCCAAAGTCTTAACTCATTCCAGCATCAATTCAGAAGTCCAAAGTCCAAAGTCTCATCTGAGACAAGGCAAGCCTCTCCCACCTATAAGCCCGTAAAATCAAACACAAATTAGTGACTTCCAAAATACAGCGGGTGTATGGGCATTGTGTAAACATTCCTATTTCAAAAAGGAGCAATTGGTTAAAAGAAAGGAGTAACAGGCCCAATGCATATTTAAAACCCAGCAGGATAGTCATTAAATCTTAAATGTCCAAAATAATCTCCTTTGACTCTATGTCCCACAACAAGGGCACACTGCTGTGAGGGGTAGATTCCCAAAGCCTTGGACAGCTCTGCCTCTGAAGCTTTGCAGGGATCAGCCCCTGTGGCTATCCTCACAGGTTGGAGTTGAGTGCTTGTGGATTTTCTTGGGGTGCAGAGAGCAAGCTGCTGATGGATCTACTGTTCTGGGGTCTAGGAGATGGTGGCCCCCTTCCCATAGCTCCACTAGGCAGTGCCCCAGTGGGGACCCCGTGTGGGAGCTTCAACCCTACATTTTTTCTCCACACTGCCATAGTAGAGGTTTTCTGTGAGGACTCTCCACTTGCAGCAGGCTTCTGCCTAGGTGCCCAGGCTTTTCCATACATCATCCGAAATCTAGGCAGTGATGCCAAGCCTCAATCACTCTTGCACTCTGTGCATCTAAAGGCTTAACACCATATGAAAGCCACCAAGGCTTATGGCTTGCACCCTCTGAAGCAACAGCATGAGCTGTATCTGGGGCCTTTTGAGCTGAGGCTGGAGCTGGAGTGTCCTGGATGCAGGGAACAGAATCCTGAGGTTATGCAGGGAAGTGGAGCCTTGGCCCCCGAAACCATTCTTTCCTCCTAGGCCTCAGAGCCTGTGGTGAGAGGTGCTACCTCTTAGATCTCTGAAATGCCTTTGCGGTCTTTTTCCCATTGTCTTGGTTACCAGCACTTGGATCCCTTTTAGTTATGCAAATTTCTGTAGCAAATGGGTGTTCTGCTGCCTGCTACAATTCCTCTCCCAGAAAAGCTTTTTCTTTCTCTGCTACATGGCCAACCTTCAAATTTCCCAAACTTTTATGCTCTGCTTCCTGTCTAAATATAAACTCCAAACTTAAGTCTTTTCTTTTCTCTCAAATCTGAGTGTAGGTTGTTCAAAGCAGCCAGGCCACATCTTGAACACTTTGCTGCTTAGAAATTTCTTCTGCCAAATACCCTAAATCAAGTTTGTCCAACCTGCAGCCTGCTGGCCGCATGTGACCCAGAATGACTTTGAGTGAAGCCCAATACAAATTCATAAACTTTCTTAAAACATTGTGAGTTTTTTGTGATTTTTTTTTTCTAGCTCATCAGCTATCGTTAGTGTTAGTGTATTTTATGTATGGTCCAAGAACAATTCTTCTTCCACTGTGGCCCAGGGAAGCCAAAAGATTGGATACCCTTGCCCTAAATCATCACTCTTTAGTTTAAACTTCCACAGATCCTTAGGACATGGACAAAATGGAGACAAGTTTTTTGCTAAGGCATAACACACATGACCTTTGCTCCAGTTCCCAATACGTTTCTCATTTCCATCTGAGACCTCATAAGCCTGGACTTCATCATCCATATTACTATTGTTGTAAGACTTTTCCTTAATTGAGTGAAAGATGGGGTCCTTGTCCATCCCACAGCCACAAAAATTTAGGCTCGTAGATGATTTGAAGGGTGAGTGAAGCAGGGTTTTACTGGGTTAAAAGGAAGAAAAGGGGGAAACAGGGACTCTCACTAGGCCAGAGTCCCTCCACTAGAGTGCTTCCTGCCCGGGTGATTGAATCCCAGGTTCCACACAGGAAGAGGAGGCACCAGGCTCCTCCCTGCTGCAAAGGTCATGAACTTCCTGAGGCTCCACCTCAGTGGGCAGGCTGGTTGGAGTTTCTCCAGGGACTCCCTCCCACCTGGCTGTCTCACTATCAGCATTTTGGTCACAATCATTTAACCAGTCTCTAAGAAGTTCTGGACTTCCCTTGGTCTTCCTCTCTTTTTCTGAGCCCTCCAAACTCTTCCAACCTCTGCCTGTTACCCATTTCCAAAGCTGCTTCCATGTTTTCAGGTATCTTTATAGCAAGGCCTCACTCCTCAGTAACAATTTTCTGTATTAGGCCATTCTTGCATTGCTATAAAGAAATACCTGAGACTGGGTCACTTATAAAGAAAAGAGGTTTCATTGGCTCATAGTTCTGCAGGTTTTACAGAAAGGATGGTGCTGGTATCTGCTTGGCTCTGTTGAACTGTTGAGGAGCATTCAATCACGGTGGAAGGTGAAAGGGGAACAGGCAGGTCACATGGTGAAAGCAGGAACAAGTGAGAGTGTAGGGGGAGGTCCACTTTTAAATGGCCAGATCTTGGCAAGAACTCACTATTGCAAAGACACCACCAAGCCGTGAGGGATCCACCCCCATGACCAAAACCCCTCCCACCAGGCCCCACTTACAGCATTGGGGATTACAATTCAACATGAGATTTGGGCAGGGACAAATATCCAAACTACATTAGCTGGATATGAAATTCTTGGTTGGAATTTCTTTTCTTTAAGAATGCTGAATAGGCCGGGCACGATGGCTCATGCCTGTAATCCCAGCACTTTGGGAGGCCGAGGTGGGCAGATCATGACGTCAGGAGATCGAGACCATCCTGGCTAGCATGGTGAAATCCGTCTCCACTAAAAATACAAAAAATTAGCCGGGTGTGGTGGCAGGCGCCTGTAGTCCCAGCTACTTGGGAGGCTGAGGCAGGAGAATGGTGTGAACCCAGCAGGCAGAGCTTGCAGTGAGCCGAGATTACACCACTGCACTCCAGCCTGGGCAACAATGCAAGACTCCATCTCAAAAAATAAATAAATATATAAAAGAATGCTGAATATAGGCCACCAATCTCTTCTGGCTTGTAGAGTTTCTACTGACAGGTTCACTGTTAGCCTGATGAGGTTCCCTTTGTTGATGACCTGCCCTTTCTCTCTAGCTGCCTTAAACATTTTTTCTTTCATTTCAACTTTGGAGAATCTGATGACTATGTGTCTTAGGGATGGTCATCTTATACAGTACCTCACAGGGGTTCTCTGCATTTCCTGAATTTGACTGTTGGCCTCTGTAGCGAGGTTGGAAAGATTTTCAAGAATGATATCTTCAGATATGTTTTCCAAGTTGTTTGCTTTTTCTCCCTCTCTTTCAGGGATGCCAATGAGTCATAGATTTGGTCTCTTTACATAATACCATCTTTCTCAGAGATTTTGTTCATTCTTTTTTATTTCTTCACTTTTGTCTGACTGAGTTACATTGGAGGACTGGCCTTCAAGCTCTGAGATTCTTTCCTCAGCTTGGTTTATTCTGCTATCAATATTTGTAATTATGAAATTCTTGAAGTAAGGTTTTCAGCTCAATCATATCAGTTTGATTCTTTCTTCAAATGGCCATTTCATCTTTCAGTTCCTGTGTTGTTTTATTATATTCCTTAGATTCCTTGGATTGGGTTCTGACTTTCTCCTGAATCTCAATGATCTTCATTCCTATCCATGTTCTGAATTCTGTATCTGTCATTTCAGCCTAATTAAGAACCATTCCTGGGGAAGTAGTGCCATTATTTGGAGGTAAGAGGACATTTTGGCTTTTTGACTTGCCAGAGTTCTTGCACTGGTTCTTTCTCGTTTATGTGGGCTGATATTCCTTCAATCTTTGAAGTTGCTGTCCTTTGGATAGAATTTTTTGTTTTTATCTTCTTTGATCCCCTTGGGGGTTTGATTGTGGTATAAAGTGGGTTTAGTTGACTGGCTTCATTTCTGAAAGATTTTCGGAGGCCCAGTCTCAGCTCAGTAGTCCTGGGAAGCATGCTCTGGGAGGCTGGTACTGGGCTCTTGGCTTTATTCTCTGGCCTCTTGAGGTTAGGAACCTGCTGTACTGAAGGGGCCACAGTGCTCCTGATCCACTGGCCACAACACTCCAATGAGTGGTGCCAGCTAAAGAACTTTGTTGGGGCAGTGGCAGCGGGATCCATGCTCCCCTGCATGTGCCAGTAACTGTGGCAGTGTGGTGGGGGTACACGTGCATTGTCTGAGGCAGGGCATTAGCTGGAGCAGGGTGGCAGTGTTCCTGCATGTGCTTACACCAGTAGTGGGTGCAGCATGGTGGGGATGGGACACTGGTAGGGGTGGGATTGCTGGTGTCTGTGTGTGCATTTGTGCCAGCAGTGGTGGTACAGCAGGGTGCCCATGTGTTAGTGGAGGGAGGGGTGGTAGGGTGCACTAGTGTTGGCAGTGGTGACATGGTGGGGTGCATGCGCACATTCACTGACAGTGGAGTGGGGTGAGGTCCACCTATGCATGCCTGCTGGCAAAGTGGTGGAGCAGGGGCTGTAGACAAATGTGTGCTGGCAAAGTGGCAGGGGGAGTCAATGGTGGAGGGAGACTGTGTGTGGACTGATGTGCATTGGCAGGGGCCCATCTGCTGGAGCTCTCCAACAGCGAGGTGTGGTCTGACAATGAAGAAGTTATGATGAGGTTCCCTGGATATAGCAGTTGGGCATCCAAAGTTGTGCTGCAAGTGAGAATGGGCAGGCTGGGTCCCCAGGCGACGCCAGCAGACAGAGGGGTGCTCAGATAAAATTGGCCCTGTCCCACAGGCAAGACTGCCCTGCTCTGTCCAGTTCTGACAGTCACCCTAAGGCTAAAGTCTCCTGAAGGAGCATGGTGAGCCTTGGGGGATGAGAATCCCTGGCCATGCTCCACTGCAAATGTTCCCACATCAAACACTGTTGGCTCCACACAGGCTGGAGTCCTGCCCTAACTGCCTCTCTAAGTAGCTCTTGCTGCCAGCTTAAGTGTCCATGGGGGTCATGGGGTCTCCTGCTGCTAGGATTCTGGAGGTCTGTGGCAAGAATGGGCCACTCCTCAACTGTTCAATTCATCTCTTCTCCAGGAGTCACTCAGGAATGAGTCCCAGTGCACAACAGCCCCATACAGGGTTCCCAGCATCATCCCCCTTCAGCTCAGTGTCTGAGTCCTACTTCCATCCATTCTCAAAGCCTTCCCTCTGAAGATCTGCTTGGAGTGTGCCATTCTTCCTGATGTCCCAGTCTCTTGGTTGGGAGATCTTCTCCTGGCTGTGTTTAGTCAGCCATCTTGGCTCCAAACTCTCCATTGTTTCTGATGAGAAATCAGCTGCTTATCTTAATCTGGTTCACTCATATGTGATGAGTCATTTTGCTCTTGTTGCTTTCAAGACATTCTTTTTGCCTTTCAATAGTTTGACTATGGTATTTTTAGTTGACAGTCTCTTTGTGTTTATCCTACTTAGAATTCTCTGACCTTATTGGATGTGTAGATTAATGTTTTTCATCAAATTTGGACTTTTTTTTAGTATTGATTTCTTCAAATATTTTTTCTGATCTTTTCTCTCTCTTTCTCCTTCTGGGACTCCTATTATACATTTGTTGGTATGTTTTATGTGTCCATAAAACATACAAGTCTTTGAGGCAATGTTCATTTTTCTTCATTGTTTTTCCTTTCTGTTCTTCCATTTGGATGATCTCTATAGACCTGTTTTTAAGTTCACTTACCTTTTCTTCTGCTAGCACAAATATACTGTTCAATCCCTCTAGAGAAATTTTTATTTCAGCTATTATATTTTTCACCTCCAGAATTTCTAGCTGTTTTTTTTTTTTTTTTTTTTTAGACAGAGTCTCACTCTGTCACCCAGGCTGGAGTGCAGTAGCACAATCTCGGCTCACTACAAGCTACAAGCTCCGCCTCCTGGGTTCACGCCATTCTCCTGCCTCAGCCTCCTGAGTAGCTGGGACTACAGGTGCCCGCCACCATGTCCAGCTAATTTTTTTTTGTATTTTTAGTAGAGATGAGGTTTCACCGGGTTAGCCAGGATGGTCTCTCTCTCTCCTGACCTCTTGATCTGCCTGCCTCAGCCTCCCAAAGTGCTGGGATTACAGGCATGAGCCACCACGCCTGGCCTCTAGTTGGTTTTTTAAAATAACTTTATCTTTTTGTTGAATTCTATAACTGAGACGTTGTTCTCATGCTTTACTTCTTTAAACAAGGTTTCTTTAGTTCTTTAAACATATTTATAGCAGTTGCTTTCAAATTTTTGTCTGCTAAGTTCAACATCTGTATGCTCTCACAGATAGTTTCTGCTGTCTGCTTTTCCCTCGTGTGTGGTCATATCTTCCTGTTTCTCTTTGTATCTTATGATTTTATTTTATTTTATTTTATTTTTGACAGAGTCTCACTCTGTTGCCCAGGCTGGAGTGCAGTGGTGCAATATCGGCTCACTGCAAGTTCCGCCTCCTGGGTTCACGCCATTCTCCTGCCTCAGCCTCCCGAGTAGCTGGGACTACAGGCGCCTGCTGCCATGCCTGGCTAATTTTTTGTATTTTTAGTAGAGACAGGGTTTCACCATGTTAGCCAGGATGGTCTCAATCTCCTGACCTTGTGATCCGCCTGTCTTGGCCTCCCAAAGTGCTGGGATTACAGGCGTGAGCCACCACGCCCGGCCATGATTTTTTTTTGAAATTGAACATTCCTGTAATATATTTTAGCAACTATGGGTTTTGATACCTCTTCCTTGGGGTTGTTGTTGCTGTGTTTTGTTTGTTTGCCTGGACTAATTCTGTGGAACCTGTTCTCCCTGTAGTGTGCAGCCTCTGATGTTTTGGTTCAGTTCCCCCAACCCTTCTTTTATTTTTAGGTCTGGCTTCCTATGGGTTGCCCCAGGTTGGCATAGCTTAGTGGTCAGCCAATGATTAGTCAGTGGTTATGCTTAAACACTGAGCCGGTAAGACTTCCACACTTAGCAGTTGAATCTGTGTGTGGCTTAGGGAATAATTTCACAATTCAGCGACTTTACAAGTTGCTTTATATTCATCCAGAGACAAGTGTCTTGCAAGGATTTTTTCTAATCTTTCCTAAGCTACTCCAGCCTTGTACGTGGGCACAGCTTTCTGAATTGCTGGTGACAAATATGATTTTAACATGGTCCTCTTTAGCTATCGCCTTACTTAAGTATCTCTTAAATTTCTGGGTGGCCCGATTTTTTGTTTGCCTCAATTATGATTTTAGCTTTCCCTGATTGTTTGCCACTGAAAGCTCCATTGTTTTTGACAATGTCACTGGGCATGGATTTCCCCATACTCTACTCCAAATTAACTCACCCCCTTCAGACATTGAAGCAGACCTGCCAGTCCTCATGGGCTGCCCCTCCCACCTGGGATAGAATTTCTGTGCATGGAGATAAAGTGCAGGGAGTGGAAGTGACTCCCAGCTAAAATGTCACAGACTACCACTTTCTCTATTTTTACCAATATTCAGATAATTTCTAAAAATAATTTATTCTCAATTTATTGTACAGTTAGTCCTCCATTATCTGTAGTTTTGCTCTCTTCAGTTTCAGTTACCCCTGGTCAACCAGGGCTCAAAAATAGGTGAGTATCATACAATTATATATTTTGGGAGAAAAAGAGACCATAGTCACATAACTTTAATTACAATATATTGTTATAATTATCCTATTTTTATTAGTGTTGTTCATCTCTTACTGTGCCTAATTTATAAGTTAAACTTTATCATAAGTATGTATGTACAGGGAAAAAAACAGTATATATAGGGTTCAGTACTATCCATGGTTTCAGGCATCCACTTGGGGTCTTAGAATGTATCCTCCATGGATAAGTAGGGACTACTGTATGCAGACACACATGCACACACATTATATGGATTGCTTTATCCATCTTTATATGGCTTTTTTCTCTGTTTATGGCATTTTACTTTACAGAGTTTCATATTTTAAATAATCAAATAGTTGAATTTTCAATTATGGCCTTGTCAAAACAAAGCTGAGTTTAATGCTAATGGAGGTAAGAGAGAACGCTATCTCAATAGGGTCTCAATAACATCTCAGAGGAGGAAGGGCAAAGTTAGGGTGTTGAGACTTTCTGAGGTCTCGAAGTCTGATCTAAGACAGGGACTTGGTTAGTATTGAATACGAATCCTAATAAAATGGAAGTAGATTGGTGAACACAGCAAACTGAGAGTTTTGAGGCAAAGTGTTCACAGAGTCTTGGGGTATAAACTGTCATTTGATGCTTTTTTTTGAGAGCAGATGGGCCACTCAGGAAGTTCCTCAAATTGATAATACTGTATCTGTGTTTAAAACTTTTATCTTCTTGGACAAGAGTTTCCTGGAATCATACAGTTATGCTGATAAAGAGGGGAATTGTGAAGTCAATTAACGTAGACAGTAAGCTGTGTGAACATAGATGATTTTGGTTCTTAGTGTCCCCTCTTGTGGTCATTCTTCAACCTTTGCTGATTGGCAGACCATTAATATGTGGGACTGGGATCAATAAAGATTTTCACTACTCTTTGAGGTGTCTGAATTACATGCCCAATTTCCAGGAGTGGTGGTTTTGACCTCTGTTAAGTATCAGTGTTCCCTGTTCTTTTTGCTGGGTGATCATTCCTTAGATCACTTGATGAGACAGCACAGCAAAGCAGCATTTGAGTCTGGAGATCACACATCTGAACACTGCAACATATAATCAGTTTGGTTATATGCTTCAGTCAATTCATGAGCAAATTGTAGGTGGATGTTGGTTTCATACTAAAGAGTGACTAAGGACGTGAAAATTATCCCCAAAAGCTCACCCCAGAAGTCCTACCCAAAGCAATTAGGCAAAAGAAAGATGTAAAAAACATCCAAATAGGAAGACAGGAGGTCAAACTATCTCTCTTAGTGGATGATATGATTCTATACCTAGAAAACCCCATAGTCTCTGCCCAAAGGCTTCAAGGCCTGATAAACAACATCAGCAAAGTTTCAGGATACAAAACCAATGTACAAAAATCTGTAGCATTTATATACACTAATAACATCCAAGCTGAGAGCCAAATCAAGAACACAATCCCACTCACAATAGCCATAAAAAGAATAAAATACCGTCAAACTGGCCATACTACCCAAAGCAATTTACAAATGCAGTGGTATTCCTATCAAACTACCAATGATATTATTTACAGAATTAGAAAAAAGTATTCTAAAATTCATATGGAACCAAAAAAGAGCCCGAATAGCCAAAGGAATTCTAAGCAAAAGAATAAAGCTGGAGGCACCACATTACCTGACTTGAAACTATACTACAAAGCTACAGTAACCAAAACAGCATGTTACTGGTACAAAAACAGACACATAGACCAATGGAACAGCATAAAGAACCCAGAAATAAAGCTGCACACCTAAAACCATCTGATCTTCAACAAAGTCAACAATAATATGCAATGGGGAAAGGATTCCCTATTCAATAAATGCTGCTGGGATAACTGGCTAGCCACAAACAGAAGGTTGAAACTGGACCCCTTCCTTTCATGATATACAAATATCAACTCAAGATGGATTAAAGAATTAAATGTAAGACCTCAAACTCTAAGAATCCCAGAAGAAAACTTAGGAAATATCGTTCTGGACATTGGGTTTGGCAAAGATTTCATGACAAAGTCTCCAAAAGCAACAAAAACAAAAATTGACAAGTGGGACCTAATTAAACTAAAGAGCTTCTGCACAGCAAAAGAAACTATCAACAGAGTAAACAGACAACCTAAAGAATGGGCTAAAATATTTACAAACTATGCATCTGACAAAGATCTAATATTCAGAATCTATAAGAACTTAAATCAACAAGCAAAAAACAAACAACCCCATGGGAAAAAAATGGGTAAAGGACACGAACAGACACTTCTCAAAAGAAGATATACACACAACCAACAAGCATATGAAAAATTGTTCAATGTCACTAATCATTAGAGAAATGCAGCCACAATGAGATACCATCTTGCACCAGTCAGAATGGCTATTATTTTTTTAAAAATGTTGGCAAGGTGTGAAGAAAAGGGAATGCTTATACACTGCTGGTGCGCATTTAAATTAGTTCAGTCACTGGAGAATGCAGTTTGGAGATTTCTCAAAGAACCTAAAACAGAACTACCATTTGACCCAGCAATATAATAACTGGCTATACACCCAAAGGAATGTAAATTGTTTTACCAAACACATATATTCACTCTCCTGTTTACCATAGCACTATTCACAATAGCAAAGACATAGAATTAACATAGATGCCCATCAACAATGGAATGGATAAAAAAATGCAGTATAGATACACCATGGAATATTACACGGCCATTAAAAAAGAATGAGATCATGCCTTATGCAGCAACATGAATGGAGCTGGAAGAATTATCCTAAGTGAATTAACACAGGAACAGAAAATCAAATATTGCATGTTCTCACTTATAAGTGGGAGCTAAGCACCAAGTACACATGGACACAAAGATGGGAACAATAGACACTGGGGCCTACTTGAGGGGAAGAGTGGGAGGAGGATAAAGCTCAGAAAACTACCTATTGGATACATCATCATTTGTACACCAAACCCCAGTGACACACAATCTACTTATGTAACAAACCTGCACATGGACCCCCTGAACCTAAAATAAAAGTTGACAGAAAAAAAGCTCATCTGTCCTTCCTTTGCCTTGCCCTAATTCTCTCAAATTCTAACACCCTCAAATGGCTCAGGTAATCGGTTAAAACCAAGTGTATGGGGAAAGGATCTACAGCAATCTCTGCTTTTTTCAGGACCTACCTCTAAGCCACAAGCCACACACACACACACACACACACACACACACACACACACACACACATATCAATTCCATGGAAAGAAAACATAAAAGGGCGAGAGCATTTTGTTCTCAGACACTATTGTCAGAGAGGGACAGGGACCAAATCAAGGATCTGCAGGAGACCAGATATTGACAAGTCTGAACTCGGCCCTCTGAAGAGCGGAAGAAGGGTCTCTGAAGGTGAGGAAATTAGGAATGTCCCCTGAGGAGACATTGGTATTAGGATGGGGCTGGGAGACGATCTGAGGGTTGGGGTGACTGAGGTAGGGGGCTTATATGTCAAGAGGCAAAGTCTAGTTCTGTGCAAGAAATATTCCATGTAGAGAGGTGGGGTCAGATCTGGAAAAAGGAAAACAGCTAAAAGGACAGGAATCTCTGTTGGTAACAAGTTTCCCAGTTGAGTTCTTATGCACTCAAACCTTGAGAACCACTGTGAGTAGAGGATAAGGAGCTGCTAAGTGATTTTAAAGTAGATAGGATGTAAAAGCAAAGTATTTTCTCATTAGCGGTGTCTTAACTCGGGGCCAGTCAAAATCTTCCTCCGGGGGATTTTAACAATTTAAGGAGGATAGCTCTAGTCTTAGAAATACTTAAAGAAGGCTGGGCATGGTGGCTCATGCTTGTAATCTCAGCACTTTGGGAAGCTGAGGCAGGAGGATCCCTTGAGCCCAGGAGTTCAAGACCAACCTGAGCAACATAGGGAGACCCGGTCTCTATAAAAATTTAAAAAATTAGCCGGGCATGGTGGTGTATGTCTGTAGTCCCAGCTACCCAGGAGGCTGAAGTAGGGGGATCACTTCAGCCTGGGAGGTCGAAGCTGTAGTGAGCCATGACGTGCCACTGTACTCCAGCCTGGGTGACAGAGCAAGACCCTGCCTCTAAAAAATAAAAGTCCTTAAACAAGGGTATATTAAATAGAAGCTTTTACAATTTTGCCTGAAGATCAAAGATTAGAATTTACTCCATATATAGAGACATTGGATAAATACAAATATTCATTACCCTAATGCTATACAATTTAAAAATTCTAAGAATCAATTAAGAATGTTAGAATAATATAATCAAAGTATAAGATGACTAAACAATTAAATTAAAAAGTAGTTATTTGAGGTATGTGTCAGACAGCAAAACTTTAAGTGGTGCTCAGATATTTTAGGTGGAAATTTTCTCATAGAGTCATATAATTTTCAAACACAGAAGACCAGTTTTTATCATTATAGCACATTTCAATTTGCAAAAAATTTCATTTGAACAGCCATGTTTATATTAATTTTGTATAGTGCTTTAGTTGTTCAATATTAGTGAAGAAATCTAAATTTTCACATAAAATCAAAATATGCCATGCTTAAAATTCCCAATCTTGCATTCTATAAAAAAAGCACTTATTATACAGAGAAAAATATAAAATTACTTCTTTTAGAATTAAGGAGAAATTTTAAATTTTTAGTTATAATTTCATTTAAGTCATTTTTTGAGGTTTAACAGTATTTAATACAAAGGCTCCCAAATTCAGAATACAAATTTTAGAAGAAAAACATCCATAGAATTATTACTATTATTTAATAAAAGAAAGCAGGATGTGGTTGGTTCAGACTTGGCCCCCATATTTTTGATTGCCCTAGAATCATGCTGACTCTGTGACAGGATTAAATTTGATTAAAAAAAATTATTTCAAGGGTACCATTCTTGGCTGGGTGCAGCGGCTCATGCCTGTAATCCCAGCACTTTGGGAGGCCAAGAGGGTGGGGATCAACTGAGGTCAGGAGTTTGAGACCAGCCTGGCCAACATGGCGAAACCCCGTCTCTGCTAAAAATACAAAAATTAGCTGGGTGTGGTGGCACACACCTGTAATCCCAGCTACTTGGGAGGCTGAGGCAGGAGAATCACTTGAACCCAGGAGGCAGAGGCTTCAGTGAGCCGAGATTGCGCCACTGCACTCTAGCCTGGGGAACAAAGCGAGACTCCATCTCAAAAAAAATTACCATTTTTTAGAACTTGAAACATAATTTTTATTCAATGCAATATATTCCTATCAATTATGGCTCCCCAAGTGCTTTTTGTCTGAAAGAAATTCTTTACCTACCATATTCATAGAATTTTCACAATTAGACATCAATTTCAGTATATTCTTAATGCTTCCGGCTAGACTAGGATTCTTTGTCATCCCCGACTTTCTGCAGTGTAGGGAACTGGGAAAGCTGCAAACACTCAAATTGTTGTTGTGGGCTGGTTGGGGTTCTTGACTTTGCCATACAAAAGAATTTGAGAGCAAGTCCGTAGTAAGAGTAGGCAAAGAAGTTTATTGCAAAGTGAAAGTACACTCTGAGAGGCAAAGGAGGCTGCTTAAAACTAGAGACAGCAACTAGTGCCTGAGGAGCGATTCCTTTTGTACTGACAACTTTGAGAGATATTCAGAAGTATTGACTTAAATTTGAGCCCCATGTTAACACAACTTTGAGAAGAATTTTTTTAAAAGCATTTGTGAAAGGACTTGCAATATTTCTCTATGGGAAAGTAAAATGTTAGGGGTTAGGAAGTATCTGCCAAAACGTAGTCTGTTTCTCTCACTGGCAGTCTGCATGACACGTGGCTCTGCCTATTACCAGGATGGATTGTTTTAATACCAGTGCCCTACCCGGAGCCAGATGTCAGAGTCACCTCATCCCTGGTGCAGGACCCAGGCAAAGCTCTTTACAAGGACTCCTGGTTAACTGTTCAGGAAGCAGTGTACATAGGAGCCTAGACTTCCAGATTTGAAGTAGGGATTCATTAACACAGAACGGATGCATCAGCACACTCACAATGAAACTTATGTTCACACTTCACATTGTCTTATGTTTATTTGCAGTTATTTTTGAACTTGAAGATGGCATATCTTCCAGCCATAGCAGTTCACTTCTTCATGTTAATTTGGTGGCTAACACAACAGATAATATCTACCACCCACTCCCAACCTACATCCTGCTAATCTTGCTTTTCTCACATCTTGGAGACAATAGAGTTTGCAGAGTTGAGTCTGTGGCTAGAGCTGGTCAGAGAGCATGAATCTGAAAGATATTTCTAAAATAGCACCAGTAGGCCAAGCAGGGTGGCTTACGCCTATAATCCCAGCACTTGGGAGGCCAAGGCAGGCAGATCACTTGAGGTCAAGAGTTAGTGAAAATACAAAATCAGCGGGGCATAGTGGTGCACACTTGTAATCTCAGCTACTCAGGAGGCTGAGGCAGGAGAATCACTTGAACTCGGGAGGCAGAGGTTGCAGTAAGCCGAGATCATGCCACTGCACTCCAGCCTGGGGAACAAAGCAAGACTCTGTCTCAAAATAAGAAAAAAAAATAGCACTACTAAACAGAACAGTCACAAAGCTTAGCTTTTCTCTTTATACTACTAATAGTGTCATAAGATGGTTCATACATGTGCCATACATGAGTCCTATGAGGGGAACCTGTGAAATTTCATACTGAGCTAAAGCCCATGCTGTGGGCTCTGGGCAGCTTGCAACACACTTTCCCAGCAGGTCAAGGGCCTCTACTCCTTCTTTTTTTTTTTTGAGATGGAGTCTCGCTCTGTTGCTCAGGCTGGAATGCAGTGGCACAATCTGGGCTCACTGCAACCTCCACCTCCCAGGTTCAAGCGATTCTCCTGCCTCAGCCTCCTGAGTAGCTGGGATTACAGGTGCATGCCACCAGGCCTAGCTAATTTTTTTTTTGTATTTTTAGTAGAGACAGGGTTTCACCATATTGGCCAGGCTGGTCTTGAACTCCTGACCTCAGGTGATCCACCCACCACGGCCTCCCAAAGTGCCAGAATTACAGGCGGGAGCCATCACACCCGGCCTCTACTCCTTCTTAACAGGTGACCAGCCTGGGACAGCCAGCCAAGCTGGACATGGCTGACAATGTGTTTGATGACCAGTGCGTGGGTTGTGTTGAAGAAATGGAGAAAAGGGTGCCCCAGCTGTTAAAAGAAGAACTGAGAGTGAATACAAATTTAAACATTGACTAGAAAAAGTCGGAAACATGGAAGCAACTCAAAAACAAAATAAGCTATTCTGAAAAACTCAGTGATTTCCATGAAACAGCTCTAGTGGCCTATACTGGGAACACTGCAAATGATTGTAACAAAGCTGTAAGAGAATTCCTTCAAAATTCACACAACTTTCAGTTTAAAGCCTTCCATTATTATCTGACAAGTGCTCTTCAGCTTCTCACTACAGGGAATTGTAACAGAGTTTACAGAGGCTCTAAAACCAAATTTGATTACAGTGGGGAAGGGAATGTATGATTTGGGCAATTTACTTCATCATCTTCATCTCGAAATG
Source organism: Homo sapiens (assembly GCF_000001405.40). Taxonomy (NCBI): domain Eukaryota; kingdom Metazoa; phylum Chordata; class Mammalia; order Primates; family Hominidae; genus Homo; species Homo sapiens. Next base: position 72,521,408 of record NC_000011.10, read on the forward strand.
TATCTGTGTCACCACCATTTCTTGGTGAAGAGGGGACACTATTTATCATCACAACCTGCCTGGGTGTTAAAATCAAAAACTTCTCTTTCTATCCTCATGAAGAAGTGCTAATTCTTTTTTGAGAGTATAAGGTGTATCAGAAAGTTACCATTAAACAAACAAATAAAAAACACAATAAAATTTTGCTTGAAAGTTCTAAGAAAATAAGGAGTAACTTCAATTGTTTCTGCGATGGTTCTACTAAAAATCCCAGAAAACAAGACAGCAATTTCAACAGCTCAGGTGAGTCTGGGTCTGCATTGGAGGTGCGAGTGGTGGGGCCATCATGGAATGGAGGAGGGGATGCCCTCCTATCAGATGCAGCCAGGGCACAGAACCCTGGGCCTCCAATCAACTGCTGAAATGTATTAGGTTCCTGAAAGGACTGGGCTAATGTCCCAGAATAGAGAGCAGAGCCCAGGCACAGAGACACAGTGAAATGGGAAAGGTTCTTTTGTCCCCCTAACAGGGCATGTGACAGGGGAAATTGCTTGCTTCTTCAGTACTCCACTGCTCAAACCTCTAGGGGAGCATATAGATGGGCAGGTGGTGGGGCTCTGACCCCACAGCAGTGTCTAGGGGTGAATGTTTACAGCTCCTGAAGCCCCAGTGGGCCTGTGTTACAGGGTGTTCTTTTAGTTTTGCTCTTTTAGTTTAGCTGTCCATAGGCAGATTGTGTTAACCAGCTCAATTAGACTCTCTACCTTGTCACAAGGTCAGAGGTCTTTCTGTATCCTGGGTTCTTGCCTTGGTGTACCTGAAGAATCGGATCACACCTGGGTTTGGAGAATGAGTGCAAGATTTTACTGAGTGGAAGTACCTCTCTGCCCATCAGGGAGCCAGAAGGGAGATGGTTTTCCCTTGGACCTGGGCTGCTGGGAGGCCTGGGCTCCCCTCCAACTGCCCTGGCCAAACTCCCCGTTGTCCTGCCAGTCAGTGGCCTGCCATCGTGCTGGTGCCTGTCAGTGCTTTCCTCACAACATCCAGCTGCTGTGTGCTGGTGTGTTCCTCCGCTGATGTGCTCCTCTCCACGTCCAGCTGCCTCTGTGTCTTCTTCCACCCATGTGTTCCTCACGATGTCCAGCCACAGCCACTTGTGTGTCTGCCTGCTAGGGTCTGGGGGGCAGGGGATTTTTTTTTTGTTTTTTGTTTTCTTTGAGGCAGAGTCTCACTCTGTCACCCAGGCTGGAGGGCAGCGGTGCCATCTCGGCTCAACGCAGCCTCCTCCTCCTGGGTTTAGGCGATTCTCCTGCCTCAGCCTCCTGAATAGCTTGGATTACAGGCGCAGGCCACCATGTCCAGCTAATTTTTGTATTTTTAGTAGAGATGGGGTTTCACTATGTTGGTCAGGCTGGTCTTGAACTCCTGACCTCGTGATCCACTCACCTTGGCCTCCCAAAGTGCTGGGATTACAGGTGTGAGCCACTGTGCCCGGCCGAGAGTTGGTTTTATAGGCACAGGGTTGGGGGCATGGCAGGCCAGGGTGGTCTTGGGAAATGCAACATTTGGGCACGAAGGCAGGAGTGCCTGTCCTCACCTAGGTCCGTGGGGGTGGAACCCTAGCCAGGGACCACACCATTCTCTACCCAGCACTTCCCTTCCTTCCTTCCATATCATTTAAAGGATTTAAAGGGACCCTGCTCTTCCCTTCCCAGCACTTCCGTATCAACAGGGCAGCCTCTAGCCCAGTGAAGCTCCCAACCTCCCTGCATGCAGAAAGGTCGAAAAGATCTGCTGGGCAGAATGAGTTATGGAAACTACTGCTATGTTGGGGGACACATCAGAGGGCCAGGAGAGTTGGGAGACCTGGTTCCGGGCAGAAGGCTGTGGCTGCTGCAGGAATCGGGGCAAGAGATGAGGGTGCCTAAACTGAGCAGGTGGCTGCAGTGATGGAGGCAGGTCTGGGAACTGGTGCTCTCTATGAGGTGCTTTAGGAGGAAGAGAGTGAAAGCTGGGCAGACTGAGAGGGGTGCTCAGAAAACATATTGGTAGGCTTGAGATTTCCAGTGTAGCTAGTTTACAGATTCTGGGCAGGCAAGAGGACATTTCCATAGAAAAGGTTGGCTAGACAGAAGAGAGATGGATGGTGTTGGAGTGAGGAGATTGAAAAATGGAAAGGTTTTGCACAAATGGGCCACACAATAGACCAGACACATAGGGAGGATGGCTAGGCTGAGGAAGGTTAGAGGTGGTACAACCAGAGGACAGGGACCTCAGTAAGGCAGAGCAGTCATGGTTGGCAATGATAATGGAGGGCATCAGGAGAGGCTAGTACTCCTCCCAGACCCTGATGGTGAGAAGTGCCAGCATGAGCACTTTACCCACCCTTTCCTTTCCCACATGGCATGGCTTTTAGGTCTTTGTGCCTTTGCACCCGTCATTCTTTGTGGCCTGAAGTCTCGTCCCTCCTTTGACTGCACATCATATTTCATCCCATCTAAAACACCATCAATTTCAGTACGGTAATTATCTTTCAGGACCTACCTCAGATGTCTCTTCCAGTGGTAAGCCTTTCTTAACACTTTCAGGCAAAAGTAAACATTGTACCATGCTCCGTGCTGTAGGTTTGGAGTCAGACCACCTCAGTGGTAATCTGGACTCAGCCATCACCAGCTCTGTGACTCTACGCCAGTCACCTGAGCAATCTGTGCCCCAATTTCCTCATTTGAAAGATGTGGGTATGAGTAACAAATACTTCAGTAGTGTTGCTGTGAATATTAAGAGAGATATTTGTAACTTATTGCCTGGCACACAGACATTGCTCAACAAATACTACTTTTCTTTTTCCCCTGTGCACATCTCAGCCATACACTCACCATTTATATGATAACCATTTGTTTACAGTGTGGAGACTTTGCCTCCCTTTCCATCTGCACTTAGGGCTTGCCATAATGCCTGGCTGGAATGGGGGCTCCAGCACATGCTGGTGAAGTGAGTTAAGCTTTGTTGAGAGGCCAGGAGTCCATCCAGAAGTGAATCTGAGCTGCAGAGGGATTGAGTACCCAGCAAACTGAGATCAAATTAGTCCTTATTTTCTGAAGGGGTGCTGGAAACACAAGAAATCTTTGGGGTAGAAATGGGACCACAGAGAGGAATTACAGGGGAACTCTGAGCTTTTACATAGAGAGATTTTGAATTTGGATCAAGTCTAATGAAAATAGGATAGCCAGGTAGACAGTCCAGCGGAGGAAAGATGCTACTCTCCATCTGGAGCCAAATGGTTGGTGTTCAGATTCAGGAAGACTGAGAACCCCAGGTGAGGAAGCCAGATCCCACCAACTCCGGTTAACATCAGCTGTAGGGACAGGAGTACATATGTGACTGCAAAAGATTGACTTCCAAGAGATACAAATTCAAAAACCTCTTCTTGGGTGAGAAAGACAAGTGTGGAGGCCACAATGGCCAGGGGAGCTGCAGGCCCCAGATAGGGGAGGCCTTTCTCACTGAGTCACCGGTGACTGGGAGCCCAGGTCTGGAAAGTGGCCATGGAAAGATGAAGGACTCATCAGGCCTGAGAGCTCAGTCAACTTGAGGTGACCTTAAATTGAAGAACCAAAAGCAAGTGTCCTCACAGCTTCTCTCTCCCCTGTATTTCTGAGTACTTCATGAATCCTGAAAAGGCAAGGGTCTAACTAGGTCTAGTGAGCCCCTAGAGCCCACCTTTTTGGGTTTGTTTTTGTTTTTTGAGACAGCATCTTGCTCTGTCGCCAAGGCTGGAGTGCAGTGGTGTGATCATAGTTCACTGCAGCCTTGAACTCCCAGACTTAAGTGATCCTCCCACCTCAGCCTCCTGAGTAGCTGGGGCCACAGGTAGACATGACCATACCCAGCTAATTTTTAATTTTTTTGTAGTGACAAGGTCTCGCCATGTTGCCCATGCTGGTCTCAAACTCCCAGGCTCAAGCGACCCTCCCACCTCGGCCTCCCAAAGTGCTAGGATTACATGCATGAGCCACCGTGCCTGGCCCCTGTTGTTGTTGTTTTTTGTTGTTGTTGTTGTTTGTTTGTTTGTTTTACCTTAAGATGAAGCTCTAAAAGTTTGGGAGGCCCGTGTCTTGAGAATTCCCATGCAGAATCCTTTCCTTCTCTCCTTCCCATCTGCAGGAATGAGAGCAGGCCCCATGTTCCTTCTGCAGCTGCCAGATCTCCTCATCCTGCTGCTTCTCCTTGCTGAGCTGTGACTGCCCCGCCTGGTGCCTGGTTCTGCATGGAGTTTGTGGAGCAGGGGTGTGGGAGGGAGGCAAAGAGGCGGGGCCTTGATTGGCTCTCTGGCACTGGCAGTATTAGAAAGGGTAGGATAGTTTTTGTGGTCTACATTAGTGCTCACAGTACCCACAGACAAATGAGGAAACTAGTGAGTCTGGCTGCAAAAGTGAGCACTTTCTTAAAATTCACTACCTAAGATAACACCCTGGTCTCCTAACACTTCGCTATGATTAAAAAGCAATACTTCCATGCACTGTCAGCAGTAACAGTCTTAAAAATGCAATTTAATTGTGATGTTATAATCTAAAGAAATAAACCATTTATAATCATGCCTTGCTTTTCTGTGACGAGATATTTCTATAGGTTGTATTATTTGCTCAAGAAATTGTCCTAAAACATTAGACTTGATGCTGGCATTTTCACAGTTGAGAAGGCTCATGTTGTACATTTCTCTTAGGTTTCCTTGCAAGACTGGTTGATTGAGCCAGAAATACAAGGGCTGTCCTAGAAAAATCTCTCCTCCTTTACTACTCCACCAAAAATTCAGGCAGCTACCAAGCCCTGTCAATTAATTTTAATAATAGCTCCCAAATCTAGTCCTTGCCTCTGCCTACTCTGATTGTCTCTGAGGAAATGAACAGGCACGTTCTGATGTCTGGATAGAGCAGGGAAGGCTACGTGCTATACTTGCCAAGGGTGGGTTTGGCTAAGATGCACAGAACTTCACACACTCCTTATCCTCCACTCTCCATGCCTGAAGACTACACTGCCCTTGGCTTAGCAGCTATTGAGACAAATTACAAAGAAATGGTAAGTAGCACCAAATAGTAGGATGGTGCAATAATAGACAAAAACACCATCAGAGAGAATAGAGTCAAGAAAAAGACCCATGTAAACACAGGCCTTAGGTCTATGGCAGGAGGGCCTCACAAACTACAGGGGAAAGGACGAGTCACTGAATGGTTGGGACCCCTGTCTGTTAATATGAAAAAAGAAAAAGAAATTGAATTGGATTCCTGCTTTGCACCTGTTAAGTAAAATTCATGGGAGGCCATTGTTTTGGCCTAAGTTTCTTCACCAGGCCCCAACAAACCAAAGCAAACCAGAATGGACTCACTGGTGCTAGCTGCCACATAATCAAAGTGAACTTTGAAACGGGTCAGTTTCCAAAAAAAGCCCAGGAGAGTCACAGAAACCAATCAGAAAGGGCCCAGTTTACCTGAGCCTGTATGATAAGGAAGTCATTTCTGTTTTAACCCTGTGAGAAAAGAAACTTTAAATGACCAATCCATTTTCTGTTCTTTATTTCTGCTTTCTTCAGCCCTTTTCTACCCATAAAGCCCACTCCCTCTGCTCAGCTCATCACGACCCCCATTCTGTTTTCTAGAATGAGACTTTGCCCGGTTCTAGAATTGCTAATAAAAGCCAATTCGATTTTTCTTTTTTTTTTTGAGATGGAGTCTCACTCTGTTGCCCAGGCTGGAGTGCAGTGGCACAATCTGGGCTCACTGCAACATCCGCCTCCTGGGTTCAAGCAATTATCCTGCCTCAGCCTCCCAAGTAGCTGGGATTACAGGCATACGCCACCACATCTAGCTAATTTTTGTATTTTTAGTTGAAACAGAGTTTTGCCATGTTGGCCAGGCTGGTTTTGAACTCCTGACCTCAAATGATCCACCCACCTTGGCCTCCCAAAGTGTTGGGATTACAGGCGTCAGCCACCATGCCTGGCCACCAATTAGATCTTTAAATTAAATGTGTTGTTTCTCTTTTGACACGTCATACATAAAAGTAATCCCAAAGAAATTAAAGACATAAATGTAGAAAATAAACCTCTGAAATTGTTTATTATGATTATGATTATTATTTTTATTTTTTGAGACGGAGTCTCGCTCTGTTGCCCAGGCTGGAGTACAGTATCGTGATCTCAGCTCACTGCAAGCTCCGCCTCCTGGGTTCACACCATTCTCCTGCCTCAGCCTCCCAAGTAGCTGGGACTATAGGCACCTGCCACCACACCCAGCTAATTTTGTTTTTGTATTTTTAGTAGAGATGGGGTTTTACCATGTTACCCAGGATGGTCTCGATCTCCTGACCTTGTGATCTGCCCGACCCAGCCTCCCAAAGTGCTGGGATTACAGGCGTGAGCCACCGTGCCTGGCCTCTAAAGCTATTATTAAAAATGTAGGCCAGGTGTGGTGGCTCATGCCTGTAATCCCAGCACTTTGGGAGGCCAAGGTGGGTGGATCACAAGGTCAGGAGTTCGAGACCATCCTGGCCAACATGGTGAAATCCCGTCTCTACTAAAAATACAAAAGTTAGCCACGCATGGTGGCTGGCACCTGTAGTCCCAGCTACTTGGGAGGCTGAGGCAGGAGAATCACTTGAACTGGGAGGCGGAGCTTGCAGTGAGCCGAGATTGCACGACTGCAGTCCAGCCTGGGCGACAGAGTGAAACTCCATCTCAAAAAAAAAAAAAAAAAGTAGAAGAATATTTTTTAACATTAGGAATGGAAGATATTTTTTACCCGTCCAAAAAATGTATTTATTGTCCCTGCCTAATTCAGGCAACAACATCACAGAACATCCTTTTACAATTACCAAGGCAGGAAATGAGAATGCAGGGAGTGGGTGGGTGGCCTGTCGGATTCCTGGATCTCACCACTTCTGCCCAGAAGCGACACCATCAATTTGCTCACATTTCACTGATTCAAGAAAGCCACATGGCTACACCCAACTTCCAAAGGGGCTTTCCAGAGGCCTGGAAGGTAAAGAGAGGAGGAAGATTTGTAATATGCCCCATTGATTGGGGAAGTCTTTCTTAAATAAGACCAAAAAGCACAAACAAATAAAGAAAAATAAATAAATTTGACATATAATAATAACACAAATACCTAAAATGTATTGGGTGATTGCTGTATATCAGGCACTCATTGTTCTAAGCACTTTACGTGTTTACTCATCTAATCCTCATCATGACCCAATGAGGTAAGTTCTGTTATTTTCCAATTTTACAGTTGAGGTACTGAGAGGTTATATGATTGACTGTCAAAGAATAGAATAGAGGTAAGAAACAAAGGAAGGGAACACACCAGGGAAAGACCAGGGATTCTTAAGTATTAGTAGGAGTTGTACTAATTAAGCAGTAAAAAATGGCATTCCAGATAGGATAGATTGAGTTCATAAGTCTGCATATAATTGGCTAAAAGAAATCCTATTGTTGGCCAGTCACGGTGGCTCACACCTGTAATCCCAGCAGTTTGGGAGGCCGAGGTGGGCAGATCACCTGAGGTCAGGAGTTCGAGACCAGCCTGACCAGGATGGAGAAACCCTGTCTCTACTAAAAATAGAAAATTAGCCGGGCGTGGTGGCGCATGCCTGTAATCCAGCTACTCGGGAGGCTGAGGCAGGAGAATTGCTTGAACCTGGGAGGCGGAGGTTGCAGTGAGCTGAGATCGTGCCATTGCACTCAAGCCTGGGCAACAAGAGCAAAACTCTATCTCAAAAGAAAAAAAAAAAGAAATCCTATTGTTTCTTGTTCAGGAAAGAGTCCTCGTTTACCATCTGGCATGCAAGAGTCATTAAAAGTTCATGATTATTTATCAACTTCAACAGGGAAAACCCACTTGTAATGAGATAAAACATGCAGTTTTTATATCTCCTAGGCAAGTGCTTCTGTAAGTCAAAAATTTTCCTTTTACACAGCAAGTAAATTAAGTCAGAATCAAACATTTAAACTTCTGAGTGTCAGAAGACACCACAAACAAGCTTACAATGCAGAAGTAGATTGGGAAAGAATCTTTCCAAGATGTTTAACATGTAGAGAATATCTACAAATACATTAAAAAAAGAAAAGAAAAAAACAATAGGGCCGGGCACGGTGACTCAGGCCTGTAATCCCAGCACTTTGGGAGGCTGAGGCGGGCGGATCACAAGGTCAGGAGATCGAGACCATCCTGGCTAACACGGTGAAACCCCATCTCTACTAAAAAATACAAAAAAATTAGCCAGGCGTGGTAGCAGGCGCCTGTAGTCCCAGCTACTCGGGAGGCTGAGGCAGGAAAATGGTGTGAACCAGGGAAGTGGAGCTTGCAGTGAGCCAAGATCACGCCACTGCACTCCAGCCTGGGTGACAGAGCGAGACTCCATCTCAAAAAAAAGAAAAATTGGAAAAACAAATGAACTAGCAATTTAACATGATAAAAACATTTTTAAATGCTCATTTTATGCAAATTGCCATGGAAATGTAAATGGAAACAATAACATATTATTTCACCTGTAAGATTGGCCACTAGACCTTATTAAGTTTCTGCTATTTAAGCAACATTTTATCCTAGCTTTGAATCTGCATGAGATTCTGTACCCCTTGTTCCTATATTTTCATTACATTATTTGTTTAATATCCAGGTGAGAAAGGTTTTGATGCATCCTTTAAGGTTGCAACTTAGGTAACATATTATAAGCGATACTGTGACATAAACTATTATTGCCAGACCATGCAATATTTTGTACAATTTTTATTCAATTCAAGAAGGCACAAGATTCCAGAGTATGTGAGGGCTCTTTCCTTTGGTGTTTATTTTTCTTCTGTCTCCAAACATCTACAACCCTTCCATTTTCACTTTCCATCTTGTCCTTGTGAGCTTCATCAAACATCTCTTTTTGCTCCTCTACTTCTCCCTTTCCACAATTTGACAGCACTTCTCTAAGTTTCTTCTCTTTCAAGTCATCACACACATACCCAACAGACATCAACTTGTAGAAGAGATCAGCGGCATGCTTAGCCTCGGGCCTCCTTAGGACATCCACCTCAGGTGGGAATGAGCAAACTGGGCTTCAGAGTCTCTCCTCGTGGTTGAAGGACTTGTTTCTCCTCGGTCCAGTCAATAAATGATGACTGGAATTAAACAATGGCTGAAAATAACAGAGCGTGATCTCTAAAGACCAGGTCCTTGGTTTAGGCTTCTTCCATTCTCCTGGGCATCAGGTGTCTTGACCACTTCGGCTCTACCCAAAGTCTCTAGCCTTTCTAGTAGTTTCCACTATAATTGTGCAACATCAAGATTCTGGGAAGGTTTCAAGAATTTTCAGGCGAAACATTTCAGCTGATTGGAAAGCCAGAAAGTTTTTAGAGATTATGTGCTGGAAGCTTAAAGGGCAAAAGAGAAATAAAAGGAAATCAAGGTGGCAAAGTTAAAGAATAGCCATAGTTTAGCAGTTGGAGGCTGTTCTATGAAATAGAGTTGTGATATTCTTTTTTTTTTTTCTTTCTTTTTGAGACGGAGTCTCACTCTGTCGCCCAGGCTGGAGTGCAGTGGTGCAATCTCCACTCACTGCAAGCTCCACCTCCCAGGTTCATGCCATTCTCCTGCCTCAGCCTCCCAAGTAGCTGGGACTACAGGCACCTGCCACCACGCTGGCTAATTTTTTTGTATTTTTTTTTAGTAGAGACGGGGTTTCACCGTGTTAGCCAGGATGGTCTCGATCTCCTGACCTTGTGATCCACCCGCCTCAGCCTCCCAAAGTGCTGGGATTACAGGCATGAGCCACCGTGCCGGGCCATTTCTGGGTTCTTTATTCTGCTTCATTGGTCTATGTGTCTGTTTTTGTATCAGTACCATGGTGTTTTGGTTACTGTAGCCTTATAGTATAGTGTGAAGTTGGGTAATGTGATGCCTCTGGCTTTGTTCTTTTTGCTTAGAATTGCATTGGCTATTTAGACTCTTTTTTTGTTCCATATGAATTCTGGAATAGTTTTTTTCTAGTTTTGTGAAAAATTACATTGGTATCTCGATAGGAATACCATTGAATCTGTAGGTTGCTTTGGGCAATATGGCCATTTTAACAATATTGATTCTCCCAATCCATGAACATGGAATGTTTTTCCATTGTCTGTGTCATCTATAATTTATTTCAGCAGTGTTTTGTAGTTCTTCTTGTATAGGTCTTTCACCTCCTTGGTTAGATGTATTCCTAAGTATTTTATTCTTTTTGTGACTATTGTAAATGGGATTGTATTCTTGATTTGACTCTCAGCTTGAACAGTTTTGGTGTATAGGAATGCTACTAATTTTTCTATGTTGATTTTGTATTCCAAAACTTTACTGAAGTGGTTTATCAGTTTCAGGAGCTTTTTGGTAAAGTCTTTAGAGTTTTCTAGTTATAAAATCATGTCGTCTGCAAACAGAAATAGTTTGACTTCTTTGCCTATTGGGATGCCTTTTTTTTTTTTTTTTTTTTGAGATGGAGTCTTGCTCTGTTGCCCAGGCTGGAGTGCAGTGGCGTGATCTCGGCTCACTGCAAGCTCCACCTCCCGGGTTCAAGTGATTCTCCTGCCTCAGCCTCCTGAGTAGCTGGGAGTACAGGTGCCCGCCACCACGCCCAGCTAATTTTTTGTATTTTTAGTGGAGACCAGGTTTCACCATGTTAGCCAGGATGGTCTTGATCTCCTGACCTTGTGATCTGCCTGCCTCAGCCTCCCAAAGTGCTGGGATTACAGGCGTGAGCCACCGCACCTGGCCGTGGGATGCCTTTTATTTCTTTCTCTTGCCTGATTGCTCTGGCTAGGACTTCCAGTACTATGTTGAAAGGAGTGGTGAAAGTTAAGTATGCTTGTCTTGTTCCAGCTCTCAAGGGGAATGCTCCAAGTTTTTGTCCATTCAGTATGATATAGGTTGTGGGTTTGTCATAGATGGCCCATATTATTTTGTGGTACGTTCCTTTGATGCCTAGTTTCTTGAGAGTTTTCATCATGATGGGATGTTAAATTTTATCAAAAGCTTTTCTGTGTCTATTGGGATGATCATATGGATTCTGCTTTTAATTTTGTTTGTCTGGTGAATCACGCTTATTGGTTCATGTATGTTGAACCAGCCTTTCGTCCCAGGAATGAAGCCTACTTGATCATAGCGAATTAGCTGGTTTCAGTTTGCTAGTACTTTGTTGAAGATTTTTGTGTCCATGTTCATCAGGGATATTGGCCTGAAGTATTCTTTTTTCATTGTATCTTTGCCAGGTTTTGGAATCAGGGTGATGCTGGCTTCATAGGGCAGGAGGAGGAGTTAGGGAGGAGTACCTCTTCCTCAATTTTTTGGAACGGTTTCCATAGGATTAGTACCAGTTCTTCTTTTTATGTCTGGTACAATCCAGCTGTGACTTCATCTGGTCCAGGGCTTTTTGGGATTAGCAGGTTTTTAAAAGTACTGATTCAATTCTGGAACCCTATAGTGGTCTGTTCAGAATTTCAATTTCTTCCTGATTAAATCTTGGGAGATTTTGTGTTTCCAGGAATTTTTCAACTTCCTCTAGATTTTCTAGTTTGTGTGCCTACAGGTGTTTATAATAGTCTGAGAATAATTTGTATTTCTGTGGGATTGGTTGTAATGTCACTTTTGTCATTTCTGATTGTGCTTATTTGGATCTTCTCTGTTTTTTTCCTTGTTATCTAGCTAGCAGTCTATGGATCTTGTTTATCCTTTCAAAGAATCAATTTTTGGTTTCATTGATTCTTTGTATGGATTTTGGGTCTCCATTTCATTCAGTGATACTCTGATTTTAGTTATTTCTCTTCTTCTGCTAGCTTTGGGGTTAGTTTTTCTAGTTCCTCCAGGTGTGAGGTTGGACTGTTAATTTGAGATCTGTCTAACTTTTTGAGGTAGGCATTTAGCATAATAAACTTTCCTCTTAATACCACTTCTGCTGAATCCCAGAGATTTTGGTATGTTGTGTCTCTGTTTTCATTTAGTTCAAAGAATTTTTTGATTTCTACCTTAATTTCATTGTTTAGCCAACAGTTTTTCAGGAACAAGTTGTTTAATTTGTATGTAATTGTGTGGTTTTGACAGATCTTCTTTGTATTGATGTCTGTTTCTGTTCCACTCTGATCTGAGACTACGGTTGGTGGTATTTCTTTTTTTTCTAATTGGGACTTACCTTATGGTCAAGCATGTGGTTGATCTTGGAGTATGTTCCGTGTACAGATGAGAAGAATATATATTCTATGGTTGATGGGTAAATGATCGTCTATGATCAGAATCATTTACAGATTTAAAAATATATTGTTAACATTAAACACTGATAGGCCGGGCATGGCAGCTCACGCTTATAATCCCAACACTTTGGGATGCCAAGGCAGGTGGATCATGAGGTCAGGAGATCGAGACCATCCTGGCTAACACGGTGAAACCCCGTCTCTACTAAAAATACAAAAAATTAGCTGGGCTTGGTGGCAGGCGCCTGTAGTCCCAGCTACTCGGGAGGCTGAGGCAGGAGAATGGCGTGAACCCAGGAGGCAGAGCTTGCAGTGAGCCGAGATTGTGCCACCGTACTCCAGCCTGGGCGACAGAGCAAGACTCCATCTCAAAAAAAAAACAAAAAACAAAAAACAAAAAACTGATGATAAGAATTCATAAGAGAAATATGGTAACAAAGCATTATCCACTTTAACTGGATTAACTATAAATTTACACAATTTTGCAATATTATATGAATTCCACCAATACAATAACCAATTTATAGAATACTTGTTCTTTTAAATAATTCAACTAGTTGAATACTCACATTTACATTGACATACTCTTAAATATTAGTGCAAGTAATGATAATCAGGAAATTTGGAAAGTTTACTTCATTTGGCTTTTGCAGGGATTAAAAAACTAATTTCAAAGTCTTTCAGGAACTGAAATCCAAAATTTGCATTTTTGTTTCTCACTGTGGTAAAATCAGGGAGAAGACCTACAGTCATCTTTAAACTAAAATTCACAATACAATTTATTTTATCAAAGGATTTGCCTTCACAGATAATATCAAGGGCACAGGCATTAGCATTTAATTTCCTTGTATTTATTTACTTTTCTACTTTGTATATTATTTGAGAGCTTTGCCTGTAAAATCCCTAACTGATAAAGGCACATTGTTGCAAGATACCTGGAGGACAAATAAGGAGAACTCCTGATAAAGGATGTACACAGGCCAGATTAGATGGCTTTTACTTCCTTGTTTTCCCTTTCCTCCCAAACCACAAATCACAGCAAACTCCAAAACAGCAGCTAATTTCAAAGCTAATTTGCTCCCCTCAGCTGCACTCTTGCCATGAGGGCTTCTGTTATGCGTTTTAAAAATGAATTGCTAAGCTGAGAAGGATCACACAAGATACACATTCATACACAGAACACGTTCATCCTCCTGAATACAAGGATTCTCAGGGACCCATGCAGATTTAGGATTCTGGCAAGATTCTTGGTCAAACAAAACCAATATCCAGAAGTAATCCCTGAGAGTGAGGGTGAGAGTTACCTGAGCAGAATCAGTAGTCAGTGACATTGGGTCCATACCAGAGAGCTGGGCTGTGAAAGTCCTTCACTCCAGGAAGGCACACCCTTGGCCTGAGCCGCAGGGAAAGCTAAGCTAGTTAAAATACCAGATACTGACTCAGCAGAAACCAACATTTTTCTCTTAGGATTAAAACAACTAAATTGTGCCTGGTATTTCCCTCAAAAATGATCAAGTGAGAACTATTTGAGCACACTGACTGAAGTGGTTGTGTGCAGGAGAGGGTAGTAGGGTTCCCATCCACAGAGCAGATTTGTGTACAGGTTAGAAAATGCTCTGGTGTTCTTTTGAATCAGCAGAGTGAAGACTCCAGCTCTAGGATGGATCAGCAACTGGAGTTTGCTCCATTAGCATTTAGTAGTCTGCGGTAGGCAAGTGCAGCCACCAGGGGCCCGGGTGCACATTTAACCCTGGCCTTTCTGAAACCCAGAGCACCCAAGTCTCTTCAGGTGGATCTGGAACTGTTTTCACCAAGCCAGTATATTGTTTTCATTGACTTGTGAAAGCGGTGGGTCATCAAGATAAAATAAAGAGAAAACACCCTTAAAGAAACTAAGAAGTTGAAAAACAATGTCAGTAGGCTAGGCATGGTGGCTCACACTTATAATCTCAGCACTTTGGAAGGCCATGGTGGGAGGATTGCTTGAGGCCAGGAGTTCAAGACGAGCCTGGGCAACATAGTGAGAACCCTGCCTCTACTAAAAACTAGCTGAGTGTGATGGTGTGCACCTATAGTCTTACCTAATCAGGAGGCTGAGGCGGGAGGATTGCTTAAGCCCAGGAGTTTGAGGCTGCAGTGAAGTAATGACTGTGGCATTGAACTCCAGCCTGCGTAACGGAGTGAGGTCCTGTCTCTAAAAAAAAAAAAGAAAGGAAGGAAGGAAGGGAGGAAGGGAGAGAGGGAAGGAGGGAGGGAAGGAGGGATGGAGGGAGGGAGGAAGGGGAGGGGAGGGGTGGGAAGGGAAGGAGGGTGGAAGGGAGGAAGGGAGGGAAGGAGGGAGGAATGTTGGGAAAAAGGAAGGAAGGAAGGAGAAAAATAAAGAGAATGTCTGTTATATGTGCACACATTGTCATTTACCCATCAGTCTCCATATTACTTTAGAAAAATGGAACTCTAGAGAAAAAATGAGGTATGTAGGGGTTCCCAACCAGAGAATTCAAATGAAGACTATGCTGGATCTCTGTCTTCAGTCATTTATAAGCTGGATGGGGCTGTCATGTCCCTGAGCCACAGAAGGCAGTTGCACAATCCACAGACTGCAAGGAGGCACTGGGCCAAGGCCACATGCTGGCCACCTGACGAATGGCTCAAGGGCTTCCTTGTATTTATTTTATAGAGTAATAAGACTCTCTAAGTATTGATTAGAAGTCTTAGGACTGGGCTGGGCACGGTGGCTCACGCGTGTAATCCCAGCACTTTGGGAGGCTGAGGCGGGTGGATCACGAGGTCAGGAGATCGAGACCATCCTGGCTAACATGGTGAAACCCCATCTCTACTAAAAGTACAAAAAATTAGCTGGGCGTGGTGGCGGGCACCTGTAGTCCCAGCTACTCGGGAGGCTGAGGCAGGAGAATGGCGTGAACCTGGGAGGCGGAGCTTGGAGCTTGCAGAGAGATTGCGCCACTGCACTCCAGTCTGGGCGACAGAGCAAGACTCCGTCTCAAAAAAGAAAAAGAAAAAAAAAGTCTTAGGACAGAAGGGTTTCTTAAAGTGTTTATGACTACCAATTTTTGGCCTGATGTGAATTTGCATATTAGTGGGCCTGATCTGCATACTTATTTTGTAACTCAGCAGGAAGCTTGAAGCCATTGAACCAAAGTTAGAGTTTACTGTTTTCCTATCCAAAAACATTTTGAAGAAAGGGCTTAGATTTGAAAACAGGAATAGTGTTTAAATTTGTATTAACAACCTAGTGTATTTTCCAAGGTAATTTTCACGTATTTCATTTTATTCTTATAGGAATATAAAACTCACCTCTTACATAGAGTTTTTAATACTCAGTTGAGTACTTTATTTTGTTTTCACTCGGAAGTCATTTTTTCTAAGTAGAATGTTAAAAGATTCATCCTTTTGAAGACTAATTTCTTTAGTCTATTTAAATGTATTAGCATAAATTACAGAGTGCAAGTTACAGCTCAAGTCTCTTTGCAAACATGGTGTTCTGCGGTTTGGAAGGTTTTCTATTATTTTTCTGTCAGCCTGGAGGGCTTTTCATAAAGGGCTGGCACATTTAAAGTATTGGAGGTGAGGCTTAATTTCTTAATTTTTCCCCCGGGAGACATTGAATCCCTTTATCTTAGATTTATATAAGCTCTCAGTGGTCTATTGAAGCCAGTATGAATAGGAAATCCACTAGAGATACATTTTAGCTATATTTCCTATAAACCTACAGAGGAGGCCTAATTATTTAATAATTCAAAGTATCTTTGATATCAAGCTCATTTCTTTGTCATCCATGGTGTGTCCAGACCAATCCTCCAGAAACAAGCAAGCTGAAAAATCTGTTGGGGTTCAGAATTCCCTTAGACTCCCCACTCTCAATCCCTCAATTCCTATCAATGCAAACCCAACACAGCTGGGCTTTTGCATGGGGGAGCAAATCTCTCAAACAACAGAATACATTATTAAATTATTGGACAATCTGAAGATTGAGCAGTAGCATTTTTCTCCCAAAGAAAAGAAAGAAGAAACCATTCAGAAAAACACAAAGCCACCTGAGCTTCCCTGAATGTCATACACATATTTATCTTCTAAGGACATGAATTCCTTGTTTCTGGTGCAAAACAACCTTGTCTAGTTCAGAGTTTTGCCTCTTGGAACCTCTAGGGTAACTTCACTTAGCTGGAACTTAATTCCAACAGAAAGAAAGCACTCTACCTTCCAATCAGATAAAATTCTATTTTAAAATTTTATTTATTTATTTTGAGACAAGGTCTGTCACCCAGGCTAGAGTGCTGTGGCTCAATCATAGCTCACTGCAACCTCCAACTCTTGGGCTCAAGCAGTCCTCCTGGCTCAGCCTCTAAGTAGCTGAAACTACAGGTGTGCACTACCGCACCTGGCTAATTATTTTTTCTTTCTTCTTCTCTGTCTTTTTTTTTTTTTTTTTTCAGTAGAGATGAGGTCTCCCTGTGTCATCAAGGCTGGTCTCAAGCTCCTGGCCTCAAAAGACCCTCCCGCCTTGGGCTCCCAAAGCGCTGGAATTGCAGGCGTGAGCCACTGTGCCTGGCCCAGATAAAATTCCAACCCAGAATTGGAATTTTACAAATCCAACCTAGAAGCATTCATTCCAAGAGTCAGGGGCACAAGAGCTCTTCCAATCTGCTCAGCTGGCAGGTTCACAGATTGGACTCTACCTGTATTCTGTGGATTCATACCTAAGAATACCTGGGAAAATCCACAAGACAATTTCTATCCACAAGAGAAAACAGAAACTGCAGTTTTTGCTTCCTGACGCTATGTAGATGTTCTTGGCCCACTGCTCCCTAGTGCTTCTGTTTCATGAGCTAGTTAGAAACAAATCGAGACAGGCACGTGCTCAGTCAAGACCCAAATGCATTGTCATTGCCTGAGTTCCCTTCCAAAAACAGAGCCTGAGACAAGGAGTTGCTTGAAGAGGGTTTATTTGGGAGGTGACTTCAGGGTGCAAGGGTGAGGAACTGGTAGGGTGACCAGCTGTCCCTGTTTTCTGTAGACTGCAGGGTTTCCTAATATGTGAGATTTTCCATGCTAAAATCAGAGAAGTCACAAGCAAACTGGGATGAGTTGGTCACTACAGGAAATGGGAAGCTAGACCCAGAGAAGGAGGGAAAGCCAGTTCAAGGCGGGCCTAATGAGTTGGTTTGATCCCATCGGACACCCAAAAATTGTCTGCCAGAAGGATGGAAGTGGGCAGCGTTTATCCACTGGTTCCCATCTCCTCTTAGCAAATGTTGTCCCTTGTTAATTCCTCCCACACTCAGGGCTCATATCCATGAGTGCCTGTGAGTTCCCACAGGCATTTCCCACTGAGGCTTCAGAGAAATGCTGGGCAGAAGTGAAAGAAACACACTGCAGCTGAGGCATGATGCTGTTGGGTTACGCCTACATAAATCTGGTGGCTGCAGCAATGGCTAGGTTCAAAACTGGACTGACAAGGTGTGAGGTGATGCACAAGAAGCATCCAGTACATGAGGGTGAGTTTTGCTTCCCTCTGCTTGCCTCATACTTGAGTTCAGCATGAGTTAACCAAGCTCTGCTCTTAACTTCCCATTAGTTTATCAATTTAAATGAAACAAAACTCTCAAACTCTTTGTTTAAACCAGAAATCCAGCAGAGTAGTTTTATTTCACCTTGTGTATATAGAAGAAGATGCATGCCAGTGGTCCCTTCCTGGCTAAAAAGAAAATTCATAGATATTTTTACTTCCCCCCACCCCACTGCAAAAAAAAAAAAAAAAAAAGGATCCCAATTTAAATGTCATCAGCAGTGCAAATTGTTATTAACTGAGACAACCAATCAAGATCACAGACTTTTTAGAAGTTAGGGCTTACTGTCACCAGACATAGCAACAACCTCTGAAGCCCAGGTGTGTTGCAAAACTCCTTTTTGGAAATCATATTTGCAAGGATGATTTATATGTATTTTTTATTTCCCTAGTTCTTTTAAACGTTTTCTTATGGAAAATTTTAGAAATAAACAAAAGTAGAGAGACTAGTATAATGAATACTCCTGTACAATTAACAACTATCAACTTTCAGCCATTCATTTTCCATTGCCCTCAGTAAAGAAGACATGCAGCCCCAAGAAACAGAAAACCTACTTATATGATCTGAAACAAATGAAAGCACTATTAGTCTCAGATAATATCCCATCTAGAGATCTGCAGTTCTGGGCTAGTGTAAAATTGAATAATGCCTTCAAAAATTCGCTCCTCCTATTATTTTGTTCCTCCATGTTTAGAATGTGGTTGCAATATAGCTGCTAAGCCTCCAGAAATCACATCCTTCTTCCAGGAAGAAAGAATACAGAAGGATGAAAAAGACCAAATGATGTGCCAACTGCCTCAAGTTTCCTTTGAAACTTTCCCTGAAGCTCCATCCAGCAACTTTGACTTACATCTCTTTAGCTAGGACAGGATCACATGGTCTCTCCTTGGTCCAAGGGAGTGTGGGAAGTGAGTAATTTTAGCTGGGGACATAGCTGCCCTGAATTAAATCAGGGTCCTGTTTGTCGGGAAGAATGGGCCTCTGTTCTTTTATCTCTGCTTTCCTCTCTGCTTTGAATGCCTTCCCCTCCCTTGCCCACTCAGGTTATTACTTTATTTAACAAGTTTTTTAACATTCATTCCCTGCCAGTCCCAAGGCCAGGTCCTGGGGCTCTAAAGGTAGTAGGGGCTCTAAAGAAGTAGTTTTTGCTCTTGAAGAGATCCTATTGAAACCAACCCAATAATTCCATAGGATTTTTTTTTAATAAACATAAACATTGACCCTCCTGGTCTTAAAGTTTGAAACATATTTGCTTTATCTGAGTTCCTTCCTCAGGGAAAGACCTTAAGGGCTCTCAAAAAAAAAAAAAAAAAGTATCAAAGAGAATTGAAACTCATCAGATCAGGCATCCAAGGCAGTAAGATAGATGCTTGACCCCTCAGATTGCTTCCCTGCCCCTTTCTAGTTCCTGTTTTCTTATGCATTGTTACATTTCTTCCCTGATACGTAAACCCCTAGTTTTAGCAGGTCAGGAAGATGGATTTGAGAGTGAGCTCCCATCTCCTAGGCTACAGTACCCAAGTAAAGCTTTCTTCCTTGGCAATACTCGCTGTCTCAGTCATTGGCTTTCTGTACAGTGAGCACAGGACCTAGACCAAACCCCTGGTGTTTTAGTAGCAGGAAGCCAATACCAATATCTAACTTGATAAATCCAGAGTCACACAGACACTTTATTTAAAGATATAAAAGTAACCCCTCTAAGATATAAAACCAGGAATGGTTCAAAGGGGTTGGTTGTCTCTGGAGACCAGATTGGGGACAGGGAAGTGGAGAACTGGGGATTGTTGAGACCATTATACATGATAAGCTCTTCTATACTGCTTGGTGCTTTTTTTTTAAACCATGTGCCCGTATAATTTTGATAAAATATTTTAAAAATTTTAAAAAAATACAGCAGGAAACATGTTTGTGCATAAAGAATTGTTGCCACTTTTTGTTATGTTCTCATGCTGTATTCTTATAATTTCTGTGTTAAAGATTGCTGATACAAATTTGTTTCCAGAAAGTGCAGGTTGCTAAATAGAGTGACATGTAAACTATCAATCACATAGCAGGTACTCAGTACATATTAGCTAGAAACAAATCACTCAGTGCTATGTCCAGATTCTAACCCCTTCCCAGTAGTTGCCACAAAGAAGTGCAGCTCTCTGGATGATATCCCTCTGGGCTTTTGCTAATACAAATACTACTGCAGCAAGCAGCCTGTGCTAATATCAATTCCAGTTTTTGGCAGTGTGTACTTGGGATAGATTCCTAGAAATGGGTAAATGCACATGTAATTTGGCTAGATAATGTCATGTTCCCCTCCACAGGGACTGTAGCATTTTCCACTTCCTCAGTAATGTGTGAGCAGGCTTTTTCCCCACATCTTCACCAAGAGAAATTATTATCCAACTATGAAATTTATGCAGTGAGAAATAATCTCTCAGTGTAGTTTGAATTTACATTTCTGTAACTGCCACTGCCCATTCCAAGCTTCCTTTGCCCTTTGCCAGCACTTCAGCTGGTCTAGCTGCTTGTTAAGTGGTGACGCAGATCTTTGTCCCTGAAGGCTCTGGGCTCTTGGCCACCTTGCCCTTGTCAAGCCATGGGTCCCTCATTGCCCATTCAGTGTTATTACAGCACATAGATGCACCAAGATGCATCTTAGGGAATCCCCTGAGCTCCAGACATTCTCCTTTTTATCCACGTTAAGTGTCCGCAACCGAACCTCTTTGTGAAAATCAGTGTTGATTACACTCTGCCAGCATAGTAAATCCATTTTTGCTTTCTGAACCACTGATCCCAGAGTGGCCAGGTAGCAGCTGTATCTTCAGGTCAAGTGGAACCCTCCTGTGTCTCTTGATGGAAGAGCTCACCTCTTCCTGCAAACTAGGACTTCTATCCAGCAGAGCCTAAAGCTGTAGGAGCACAAGGCAAAATTTCTGCAAGTGGGTCACTGGAAATGACGGTAAGAGGAGCCACTCCTCCTCCTGCCCTTTGGTTCCTGAACCTCTGTATTCCAACAAATGAAGACAGAGCGCCACATAACAGCCATTGGTTCCGTGTATATTTCGCACCCTCCAGGTGCCCTCACCCTACGGGATGTCATCTCCAGGCTAGCGCCTTTGCTAAGCCTTTCCGACCAGGTAATTCCAGGTGACATTCTAAGTAGGACCAATGGATCCTGTGGGAATGTGCCCACTGTCATACCTTCTTCACCATAAAATGAGGGCCCTTAGGCTGAGGCAATGTGAGGCAGGGTTCTGTCTCAGGAAATCAGAAACACCGGCAGCTCTGCATTGGTTCTGGCAGAGCTGCTGTAGGCAGGGAAGGCAAACCCACAGCCAGAGATAGTTTACGTTTATATTTTTCTTTCACACTGGACATAGAGGTTTTTAATTAAATCATCTCTTACAGAAACCTCAATACAACTCTTAAAAAATGTAGTCAAACCCAAATGGCTGCAGTAAAACTTATTTTTATAGCATTAACATATGAAAGCTAGTTAACAAAATACATCCCCCAGCAAAGAGCAAACTAAGCCAGATTTGCTCCACAAGTTGTTCATGGAAGCAGTTATTTTTGGCTATTTAACAGACTTCTATATCATGATACACAGCCTGATGTGTCACATCAGGCTGTCTAGATAACAGGACAGACTACAATATTTCCAAAAACAAAAAAGGGAGGGTCGGACGGGCATGGTGGCTCATGCCTGTAATCCCAGCACTTTGTGAGGCGGAGGCTGGTGGATCACCTGAGGTCAGGAGTTCGAGACCAGCCTGGCCAACATGATGAAACCCCGTCTGTACTAAAAATACAAAAAATTAGCTGGGTGTGGTGGCACACGCCTGTAATCCCAGCTACTTGGGAGGCTGAGGCAGGAGAATCACTTGAACCTGGGAGGCAGAGGTTGCAGTGAGCTGAGATCACGCCATTGTACTCCAGCCTGGGCGAAAGAGCGAGACTCTGAAACAAACAAACAAACAACAAACAAACAAACAAATGGAGGATCATTTAAGCCTATCGCAGCAATCGTGGCTGCAGCTCAAAATGGCACAACCGGCCTGAACCCAGAAATAGTTTGTTTCTTTAAGGAAAAATCACTTCCCCTTCCAGGATAGAAGGGGTCTGATATAATCAACTTATTTGATCTTCTCCAGAGATGGAGCCTTCCTGGGGACTCCTTTGTTGGCCCATTAGATAATTGGCAGAGGCAGTGGCTAGAGCAGCCTTGGTGAACAGGAGCCATGCCACTGAGCCAGTGCTTGGCCTCCATCCCCACCACTGTCACTGCTCCATTCATGGGTCCGTTACTCAAGCACAGGAATGGCTAAGGACAGAGGCTGGCTGACATCCACCAAAGAAATCACCCTGTCCAGTGACTTGCTGAGTTCTTCTTCTGAGGTAGAGGCTTCCAAGTAAACACTGATGTGAGACACAGACATCTTCACTCTCGGTGTCCACCTCTGTAGGTCCATCCATGTGCCTCTTCCCAGTCTTCAGATGATGCATCTTTCAGTGGCCAGCCAGTGATTCACCGCTGCTCAGGAGTAGGTGTATGTCTCTACCTCAGGCCACTTCTCATTCCACAAAATGCTTACAACCAAGTGCACTGCTCTTTGCCCACTAGGAGGATTTTCCTTTGACACTGCCTTTAGGGACCCCCTGCCTAGGGGTATCGTGTGGCAGCAGTTCATTTTCAGCTCACACCAGCCTACATGTGAGCCTACCCATACAGAAACCAGGCCTGGATGTTTTCTTCCTCTATCATCTGATCATAGGGAAGCCCCATGAGGCCCTAAGTGTGAGCTGCAGGAGAGACATCAGTGCAACAGGTTACGTGACAGAGGCTCTGAGCCACCTGCTTGTGTGACTAATTTGTGCCTTCTAGAGCTCCTCAGGCCTGGATGTACCACTTCCATCAGACAGTGGATTGCTGCAATGCCTGCCTAATCTTATCATGACTTGATGAATCTAACAATACCCAGTTTATGACAGGCAGCTCCTGTCTCGAAATCGCTTGGTGTCTGTGCCATGGTCAGTGACCACTAGGGCCTAGAAGTACACCAGAAGCTTCTTTTTGAATGCATAGTTCTCTAATGCAGAAGGGATGGCCTAGCTAGAGGTCTGTGTCATCATCTCCTACTGGGACCTGCCAGAAACTGCACCCAGCAACTCTATCTCCATGGATACCTCTAACACTATAGCCAAGTAGCAGACCAGCTTGCACGCAACCTGGTCCTAATGCAGAGCCCTCTCTTCCTCTGGGCCCCGCTTGAAATTGTTAAACCTCTGATTACTTGGTAAATAGATTGGGATAGTATTCTCAATGTAGCATATGCTGCATCCAAAATCCAAAGTACCCATCAAACGCATGCGTCTTGCTTAGTGATAAGGAGTATAAGGTGCAATAACTTGTTCTTTATCTCAGAAGGGATGTCTCAGCGTGTCTCAGAGCTGGACCCTCTACAACCTTCACCCTGAATCTTTGTAGGGTTTATCGCCTATCCTCTGACACATATGTTTCTCATTAGGACATTCAGAGTAATGCCATATTCCTATCTTCCAGGTCCAATTAGCATGATGTCACCAATATAGTGGATCACAGTGCTGTTCTGCAGCAAGTCAAGATGAGCAAAGTCTTAGCAGATTACATTGTGACAGAGAGGAGAGTTAACATAGGCTTGGGGCATGGCTGTGAATGAGTATTATTACTCTTTCCATATACATGCGAACTGCTCTTGATTACTAATTGATTACTAAGGGAGATTGAAAAAGAACACATTAACAGAGTTAAAGCCAAGATGCCAGAGGCTGTGCTGATCTAGTCCAATAAAAATACTGCATTCATCATAAGCGCAGCATTTCTGACAACCACGTGGATCCTGTAGTTACTACATCATCTGTTGGATGATCTGCATGGATTTTGCAGATATTAATACAAGTGAATTAAGTGGGAAATGTCATGGGGACCATCACCCCTGCATCCTTTATGTTTTTAAGGGTGACATTAATTTTTGAGCCCAAACAAATTTCCAACCTGCAGATTCAGGACTAAATAAATAGTTTTAGTTTTAAGCTACTATTTGAGACATGGTGCCATGCAGCAAAAACTGCACTGGATATGCATATTGGGAATACAGAAGCAAAATCTGGACAGGGAGAATAGACTTCAGAGCCACAAGATGAAGTCAAGGAAGTGGGCGAGACCACCCTGGAAACTCATGTAAAGTAAAAACAGCTTGAGATTCCAAAACTCCACATTCCCAACTGAGTTCAGTATTCCCATCTCAGAAAATGTCACCAGCATCTACCCTAGCAGCCAAGTGGGAGACTGAGCGTTTCGCAGCACACATCATGTCTTTGGTGGTCTGGCCCTGCCAGCTTCATCTCCCTCCTTCAGGCACCCTACACTCCAGCAAAATGGAACTCTCTGATGCTCCCAAAATTTACTATGCTTGCTTCCCAGCACCATGCTATTGCCCATGCACCTTCTTCTATCTGGAATGCTCTTCCCAGCTCCTTCTTCGTATATTTTACTGCCATTTCCATCTCATATGTCTCTACCTCTGGGTAGATTTCCATGACCACCTTCCACCAAGAGTTAGCTTCTCCTCCTTCCACATCTTTTTTTTCTTTTTTTTTTTAGACAAAGTCTCACTCTGCTGCCCAAGCTGGAGTGCAGTGGTGCAATCTCAGCTCACTGCAACCTCCACCTCCTGTGTTCAAGCAATTCTCCTGCCTCAGCTTCCCGAGTAGCTGGGACTACAGGCATGTGCCAAATTACAGGCATGCGCCCGGCTAATTTTTGTATTTTTAGTAGAGACGGGGTGTCATTAGTTGGCCAGGCTGATCTTGAACTCCTGACCTTGTGATCTGCCCGCCTTGGCCTCCAAAAGTGCGTGAGCCACTGTGCCCAGCCACCTCCTTCCTCATCTTTCTGTTCACAGACCACCATAGCACACAATATTGAGACAATTGCTTTATTTCTGCCAGCCCTTTCCATCCTCCCCACCAGACTGAGGCGGCCTGAAAGACAAGGACTGCGCCTTTTATATCTCTAGGCATCTGTGCTTACATATAATCAAGAACTTAGAGTGTCTCCCTGGAAACAAATAAATCTAAGCTGGGTCCTACTTGAGATGGGGAGATTTCAGAATGGCCAGTCTGAGTTAATGTCAAGTCTGGTTTCTTTTTCCTGTCTTCCTTCTACAGAGTGTATAGTGATCACTGTTGATGGACTGATGTAACACTCATTCATTCATTGTCAAGCCACTTTTCCTTTGTCTCCTTAACTACAAAGGCGGAAAACCTACCCAGTTGATTTCCCAGGCTCTCCTGCATTTAGGTGTGGCCACGTGACAACATGTGGCCAACAAGGTGAAGCAGAAGTTTGCTAGAGGCTCCTGGGAAAGCTTTTGCTTTTCTGATCAAAATGACATTGGGGCTGACCTTAGAGATACAAAGCCTGAAACTTCACCAGCTGTCTTGCACCTTGAGGCAACAAGCAAACACACTAAGGGTAGTCTGAGTCCCTGAGGGCTTTCAGAAGCTCTGCCCCAGCCTCAGGGGCCTGTCTCCAGACCACTCCTGATGTGAAGTATCTAAGTGCTCTGATTGTTGAAGCCATTCCTGAGACAGAGCACCCGGAGCCGCAGGAACAAGCTGCCGGAAGAGTATTCAAGTCAAGGTCATGCTGGAACGGTGTTAAATAAAAATCTATCAATTAACAAATCCATAGGGGCCTGTTTCCCTTCTGCTCTTGGTACTGTGGAGGAGACCTGGAAACATGTACCCTTTGTTCTGAAAGTGTTGACAGTGGAGTGGGAAGCGGTCTGATGAAAGAACACACTCAGCAGCACACAGTTAATTGCTGGATACCATAAAGCTCGGGGGCTTTGCAAAGGGGAAGCGCCTTCGATGGGGAAGTCTTCCTGGAGGACAAGAGGCTGGACCAGGGCTTCAGAAGTCGAGTGGGATGTGTTGAGCTGTCATTAGCCCATCTGTGATTTCTGCCTGGAGAGGCGGGTGAGCTGAGGGAGGCAAGCTGCCTCGTGAGCCTCCAGAACACAATAGAGGCTCGGTGAGTGTTAACGCCCTGCTGATCCTCTGCACAAGGTGGTTTAGAAAAATGTTTTTCTCCTCAGATTCATTCACTCAACAAATATATTTATTAGGCCTTTACTACAGATGAGGAACTGCTGTAGATGCTATAAATATACCTATGGACAGAACACACACAGTTCCTGACCTCAAAGAGCTTCTATTCTAATGAGGGAGACAGGTGTTAAATTAAAAAAAAAAAAAACCCCAAAGCTGGAGGGGGCAGCATTAACAAACTCAGGACTGGGCAGCTTTCTTTTTTCCTCAAGGTTTCTGTCTTCCCTGATGGGTTGCACATGTGTTATGTTGCCCAAGCAACTCATCAGACAGCCCTGCTTCCTGGGGCACATAGAAAATAGTGGCCTGGCGAGGGTACCAGCTGTGGGTGCTTGTGCAGCCTCCACACTGCAGGCCAGTCCTGTGTCTCTTCATCCAGAAGGGTCCTTTTCTTCTTCCTCTACCTGGGGAATCCTTCCTCCTTGGCCAGAACTGAGCTGATTGCAGTTGATCATCCCAAACTGTGACACTCTGCAAGGTGAAAGGGGGCACTATTATAATCACACCAAACAACAGGCAAACCAAGACACGTGGTCTCCTATCCAGAGCCCAGTTCTGACATCTCATCCTCTAGACACCATTCCCTATGTTAGATCATTATTTCCTAAACTGTGTTCTGTGGAACATCTGGGAGACCTCAATAGGTGTTTCAGAAAAACAAAAACAAACTGAAAATCCCACATTGAAATTATTTTGAGAAAGTCTGAGTTAACCCAAGGCGAACAGATTTCCTTACTGCAGGACTCCCAAAATGAATATGTATTGGTAAGAGTATAGCATGTCATGTTTCCCAAACTCATTTGACCATGAAGTCCTTTGTGCAGAGAGCATCTCATGGAAGTAACACACTTTGAGAAATACTGTCCTAGACAAATAGAATTGTTCCCAGAGTTTAGACTTATCCCTGTCCTGATGTTTAGTATGAATGTATGAATATTAGGACGAAGATGGGCTCATGTCCAGCTCTGCCTCTTTCCAGCTGGTTACCATTTTGCATCAGGATGCTTTTGGCTGCAAGTAACAATTATTAGTAGGTATTATGGTTTATTACCCTTGACAACTAATAAGAAATAAAACCAACACTGTGGAGTGGCAAACACAAGAGAAGCCTTTTTAATCAGGGTCTTAAGGATTGCAATTTGGGAGTCACAAATTTAGCAAGCAGCTAAATCGTGTTCTGTCCAGGCGAGGTTGGGCAGGAGCTTATGAAAGTTTACTGTAAGTCTACACAGGGGGAAGAATTTGGCACAGTCTACGTCAATGTGGCTTGCTGACAGTTTAGAATGCCTCTTCGGTGACGATTAGCTGAATTTGATGCCACTGTCTCCCCAGGAGATTTATGATCAGTCCTAATATAAAGAGTTCAAATCAAATGCAGCTGCTTCTTAAGAATGTTGGTGACTTAGCCCAGTTGAACAGGTGAAATTCCAGCTGAGTGTGTATGTGATTGGGTCCCAACTCCTCATGCTCATGCCCTCCCGGCTCCTTCTTAGAGGCCTCTGACATAACCATCTCCATTTTGGATTTCATTTTACACTCTTACAACAAGAACTTCTGAGCATAGCACAGAATTTTCCTCAAGGGCCCGGATGTCCATTTATTTTTTATTTATTTATTTTTTTTGAGACGGAGTCTCGCTCTGTCGCCCAGGCTGGAGTGCAGTTGTGCGATCTTGGCTCACTGCAAGCTCCGCCTCACGTGTTCACGCCATTCTCCTGCCTCAGCCTCCCGAGTAGCTGGGACTACAGGCACCCACCACCATGCCCAGCTAATTTTTGGTATTTTTAGTAGACACAACATCTCTCTGTGTTAGCCAGGATGGTCTCGATCTCCTGACCTCGTGATCCACCAGCCTCGGCCTCCCAAAGTGCGGGGATTATAGGCATGAGCCACTGTGCCTGGCCCAGATGTCCATTTCTTCACGCTGCCATCTTTAGCCTGTTGCTTGTCTCCAATCATGGTGCAGGATGACTACAGCAGCTCCAAAAATAACCCACAGAAGACATCCAGTCAAAGGGGGCATTTCCTGCCACGTATGTCTTTACCATTTATTCTTAGCAAGAAAAGCGTTTTCCAGATGCCACCTCACACACACACACAGACACACAGACACAGACACAGACACACAGACACACACACACACACAGCCTACCCACACACCCCTATAGAAGTCTTTTCCTCAGGTCTCAGTGACCAACCATCCCAGTTTGCCCAGGGCTGAGGGATTTCCAGCAGGCAGCATTACTAGTACTAAACCTGGGACATTCCTAGGCAAGCTTGGACAAGTTGGTAACTGGATTGAAATGGACCACATGACTGTCTAAACCACAGTATCACCATGATTGGTTTAGACTAATCAGGAATACACCCTGAGGCTAGAAAGGGGGCCAGCTTTCCTGAATATGGAATGATGAATGCCCCAACAAAACCTACTTTCTTACAGTGAGGAAGAGGGGCAAAAGTTACTGGATAAGTAATCAACAGGGCTCCCTTCTCTGTAAAAATTCTCTCCTCATGCTCTTCTTATAAAGATTAGATGACATGATATGCAATGGTTCCTCATAGAGAAACAAAGATAGAGCATCTTTTTTTTTTTTTTTTTTTGAGACAGGGTCTTGCTCTGTTGCCCATGCTGAAGCGCAGTGGCATGATCATAGCTCACAATAGCATCTTTTTATTAGGTACTTACCATGTATATGCACTGTGCTAAAACTGTCAAATGCAGTAAAGGCATTACATGTGTTAGGTCACTACATCCATACGACACGCTAAGGAACAGGGATGTGAATCCTATTTTACAGATATTCCTGAAACATAGAGAAGTTAAGTGATTTACCCAAGGTCAAGCAGCTAGTAAGCAGTCAAGCCAGGTCTCAAACCAAAGTCTGTCTGATGCCATGATGCTCCTCTTTTTTAAGTAACTAATCTTACTTTATTACATTCTAATTTTTTTTTTTTTTTTTTTTTTTTTTGAGTGGAGTCTCGCTCTGTCACCCAGGCTGGAGTGCCGTGGCGCAATCTCGGCTCACTACAAGCACCGCCTCCCGGTTTCACACCATTCTCCTGCCTCAGTCTCCCGAGTAGCTGGGACTACAGGTGCCTGCCACCATGCCCGCCTAATTTTTTGTATTTTTAGTAGAGATGGGTTTTCACCGTGTTAGCCAGGATGGTCTGAATCTCCTGACCTCGTGATCCGCCCACCTTGGCCTCCCAAAGTGCTGGGATTACAGGCGTGAGCCACTGCACCCGGCCTACATTCTAATTCTTTTAAAAATGGTTTCTCCAACATGATGTACAAGCTAATTTCTGGTTACTCTGAATATATTTTATTCCTCAACAAGTCAAATTGCCTGAAAGCAAGGGATGCTTGTTTACTTTTATAAACACTATTACATAAAAAGAACATTATGTGAAAAAAGATACAGATACTAATAAATTAGTCACTGTATGTCTTTGCACATTGTCTATTGTAAAACTTCCCAAGATATGATGATTCTTTAATCGTAGTACCTTGAATGTGAGTATGTGGGCCTTGTGCCCTGAGCCTAAGCAGTTTCCTTATGGAAAAATTCCCTAGTTGAGTTTTCTTCTTCCAAATTACAATTGCCTTTAGTCACATGACCAAAAGGATCATGGGATGTGTCCTTGTTAATGACCAGCTTTTCACTCCTGTGTAGGAATCGTGGGCCCACTTTCCATTCCAGGTCCTTCGATATCTGAACATTCTGTGTCAACAAGCGAGATCAGATATTTCTCAGCTTTGGTTAATCTTTGCTTCAGTTTCTGCCTCATTGACTCATAGCCAGCCAGGATCCAGGCAAAACTTGTTTTCAGGAGTCTACTGACCCCTCCATTAGGATGGCCCCCTCTTCAAAATCTTCAGGCTCACTTCTGGCATCTGCAGTATTTATATCCACATTCATCTTTCATCAAGATTTGCTTCCCTTTCTCTTCCAGCAGAGCTTTGGCATCTGGGTACTCAGAGCTTCCATGAAGTCATCTTCTGAGAGACAGAACAAGTCTGAGTAGCCGACACTTTAAATATTTGCCATTCTTTGATTGCCAGTTCTGCTGCCTTTAATGATAATGCTGACCTCTCTGGGTGCGGTGGCTCACACCTGTAATCCCAACACTTTGAGAGCCCAAGGTGGGCAGATCATGTGAGCCCAGGAGTTCTAGACCAGCCTGGGCAATGAGAGGAAACCCCATCTCTACAAAAAATACAAAACAACTAGCTGGGTATGGTGGCATGCACCTGTAGTCCCAGCTACTCGGGAGGCTGAGGTGAAGAATTGCTTGAGCCCGGGAGGTGGAGGTTGCAGTAACCCAAGATCATGCCACTGTACTCCAACCTGGGCAATAGAGTGAGACTCTGTCTCAAAAAAAAAAAAAAATGCTGACCTCATCAAAGTAGCTGCCATCACTCAGTACCACAAACTGAGTGACTCCCTCATCTCATCATCTGCCACCATGACGAGTTTACCTCCTTTGATTACTTACGTCTCTCATACAATGTCCCCTTTCTCACAAATGTAATCTCCAGGCTGGGTGCGGTGGCTCCATGCCTGTAATACCAGCACTTTGGGAGGCCAAGGCAGGAGGCTCGCTTGAGGCCAGGAGTTCAAGACCAGCCTAGACATCATGGTGAAACCTCGTCTCTACAAAAAATACAAAATAATAATAATAATAATAATAACCAGGCGTGGTGTCGCATGCCTGTAGTCTCAGCTACTCAGGGGACTGAGGCAGGAGAATCGCTTGAACCCAGGAGGCAAAAGTTGTAGTGAGCCGAGATCACACCACGGCACTCCAGCCTGGGTGACAGAGCGAGACTCCCATCAAAAAAAAAAAAAAAGCCAATATTCTGGGTAATTACACTGAAGTTCATCAAAACAGGCCATCTCAGTAACCATAACCCAGGTGTACATTTAAGAGGTTCCGCCATGCAAAACAGCCAGTTGTAACATGTGTTTCCCAAGGGATCAATAAATGCAACTTCTTTCTTATCCAATTTATTATAAAGGATACAACTTAGGAATAGACAAGTGAAAGAAATGCATCATATGTAGGAATGGGGAGGAGCTTCCATGCCCTCTCCAAGTGTGCCACCCTCCGAGCACCTCGATGTGTTCACCAGCCCAGAACATCAACCATGGTGCCCTCTTAATCTCTCTACACTCTTCCCACAGTTGTGCATCCAATGTTAACTTCTTTCCTGTTAATCTCCAGCACCTGGTACAGATAGCAAGCATTCATTAAATATTTTTTAAATGAGTACATGGTAACAGCTGACATTTCTGCAACCATTATGGTTTATAAAGAACTTTTTTCTGAACTCAGGATTTTCTCCCCCAGATCTGGTCCTCTTTCATGGCTTCTTCTCCTAGCAAATGGCACCGACATCTATGCAGTCACACAAACCAGAAAACAGAGTCACCAACCCCCCTCTTTCCATTCCACACATCATATCCAGCCCATGACCAAGAGCATCTCTCACATCTGTGCATTTCTCTCTCTCCTCCATGACTTCAGGCCAAGGGATGATTATGTTCTCGCCTGGGCTGTTGCAGGAGCTTCCTGCCTGGTCTTCCCATCGCAGAGAACCTATTTCCAGACTGTTCTCTGTGCTGCAGACACCAGGTTCTGACTGGGTCACCTGCCTACTTAAAACCCTTAATGTTCACTCCTTTTGGGATAAAGCCCAAACTCCTTAACGCAGCCTGGCCTCTGCCTGCCTCCCTTGCCTCATCTTACCAACAATCCTCTCTCTTTCACACTCTACAGCCACCCCAACCATGGAAGCTCCATTCCTCTGCCTACATACCTTACCCTGCGCATTTCTTCCACTCAGCTATTCCTGAGTTGTATCCTTTATAATAAATTAGTAAAGCTTCTTTAAGTTCTTCCTTCTTGTTGGGCCTCATCCTGCCTCCAGACCTTTGCACAAACTGTTTCTTCCCCTCTTTGCCTCTTATACCTCAGGTGTTAGCCCAGGCATCTCTCCGTCTACTGTGACCCCTCTGACCACCATAATTAGGTCAAATCCCCTCATGTAGACTCTTGTGGCATCACCTACTTTTCCTTAATGGCCCAGTTGCAGTTTTATTTTTGCTTTGGTTTTATTTGATTAGTGTCTGTTTCTCGGCTAGTCTGTGTGCTTGCTGTCTGGTTTTGTTTACCTCTGCAGCCTTTCCAATCCCTGGTCAGGAACAGCGCATAATATGTTTTCAATAAACATGTGTTGAATTAATCCATTAACATTTCATTCCGGTTATTGTGAGCTCCCTCAGGGCAGGACCCCTGCCTTAATGCTCTCTCCCCTCTACCCCAGCAGTGAGCCCAGGGCTGGGGCTGGGGAAGTGTGTAATGAGCATTCTGTGAGGGACAGATGACCACATGGCTGATGGATGGGAGTGCTTGTAGAAACAACCTGTCAGGGAATTAGGCAAGCAGGCCAGGAAACGTGAAAGAGCTGCAGAAGGATGTGGTCTAAGGTGGAGGCAGCCATGGCCTGATTGGGGAAGGAGGGTCTGGAGCATAAATCATAGATGGCATGGAGCAGTTGCGCCCCCTTGAGTCAAGGGGGCCAGCTTCTTGTGTGTGCATCCCAGATGGTCTTCGGGGATTGGGCTATCCTGCCAGCTGGACCCAAGATGCCAAGCTGGAAAATGATGGTCATCAGCTAAGTCTCCTCCTCCCTCCCATCTATCTATGTCCTGTGACCTGAGGGGTCCCTCCCTGACCCACTCACCGTGTTGGTTTCCTAGGGCTGCTGGAACTAACGGTCACAAACGGGTGACTTCAAACAACAGAAATGTATGGTCTCACAGTTCTGGAGGCTGAACGGCTGAAATCACAGTGGTGTCGGCCGTGTTCTCTCTGAAGGTTCTAGGGATCTCTCCTTGCCTCTTCCAGCCTCTGGAGATTGCTAGCTTCGGTTCCTTGGTTTGTGGTAGCACAACTGCAGTCTCTGCCTCCGTCTTCATATGGGCTTCTTCCTGTGCGTCTGTGTTATTTCCCTCTTCTCATAAGTCTTCTTACACCAGATGCTGGATTACAGCTCACCACAATATGATCCATCTTAACTTGATCACACCTTCAAAAAAACACCCTATTTCACACTCATTGATAGTGGAGGTGAGGACTTGCACAGATCTAGAGACTGGAGGACGTAGTTCAACCCACAACAGCTACCAACCTGGAGTGCTATAGTTGTCTGTTTTGAACCCAAGTCTCTTCTGCTCTTCTGTGTCTGAAGCTAAAGCCCTCTTCCTGGGAGTCCCTTCTGGCCCCTCTGTCTTTGTCTGAAGACAAAATGAGGAATGAGCTCCCTCCTTCCCAGAAATGCACCTTCATGGAGCCCTGCACTTCAGAGAGCTGCAGCTTTAACAGTGGCTGAAACCTCTCATGCCTTAAATATCCTCACAGCAGCCTTAACAAGGTTTATTATTTTTTAAAAATGTCACTAGGTTTTAAAATGTCACTAGGAGAACAGGTGGTGTTTGGTTACATGAATAAGTTCTTTAGTGGTAATTTCTGAGAGTTTGGTGCACCCATCACCTGAGCAGTGTACGCTGTATCCAATGTGTAGTCTTTTATCCCTCAACCCCCTCCCACCCTTTCCCCCAAGTCCCCAAAGCCCATTGTATCATTCTTATGCCTTTGCATCCTCATAGCTTAGCTCCCACTTACAAATGAGAACATACGATGTTTGGTTTTCCATTCCTGAGTTACTTCACTTAGAATAATGGTCTCCAATTCCATCCAGATTGCTGCAAATGCCATTACTTCATTCCTATACATGCATACATACACACATACCTATATATTTCATTCCTATATATACATACATACCACAATTTCTTCATCCACTCATTGATTGATGAGCATTAGGGCTGGTTCCATATTTTTGCAATTGCAAACTGTACTGCTATAAACATGCGCATACAAATATCTTTTTTGTATAATGACTTCTTGTCCTCTGGGCAGATACCCCAGGAGTGGGATTGCTGGATCAAATGGTAGTTCTACTTTGAGTTCTTCAAGGAATCTCCACACTGTTTTCCACAATGGTTTTACTAATTTACATTCCCACCAACAATGTAAAAGTGTTCCCTTTTCACCACATCCACGCCAACATCTATAAT
The DNA here is from genome assembly GCF_000001405.40 of Homo sapiens. Classification (NCBI taxonomy): domain Eukaryota; kingdom Metazoa; phylum Chordata; class Mammalia; order Primates; family Hominidae; genus Homo; species Homo sapiens. The sequence continues at coordinate 72,555,523 of NC_000011.10, forward strand.
TTTTTGATTTTTTTTATCACGGTCATTTTTGCAGGAATAAGATTGTATCACATCGTAATTTTGATTTGCATTTCCCTGATCATTAGTGATGTTGAGCATTTTTTCAGAAGTTTGCTGGTCATTTGTTTATCTCTTAAGGTTTGTGGCCGGGGCGGTGGCTCATGCCTGTAATCCCAGCACTTTGGGAGGCCGAGGCGGGCGAATCATGAGGTCAGGAGTTTGAGACCTGCCTGGCCAACATAGTGAAACCCTGTCTCTACTAAAAATACAAAAAAATAGCCACGCATGGCAGCGTGCGCCTATAGTCCCAGCTACTTGGGAGGCTGAGGCAGGAGAATTGCTTGAACCCGGGAGGCGGAGGCTGCAGTGAGCCGAGATCATGCCACTGTACTCCAGCCTGGACGACAGAGCAAGACTCCGTCTCAAAAAAAAAAGAAAAAAAGAATGTTTATCATTATTCCCATTTTATAGATGAGGAAGCTGAGACTTGGGAAAGTTAACAGCCTTACACAAAGCCATGCAGCAAGGAAATGGCAGAGCAGGGACTTGAAGCAGTTCTGCCTGATGCTAGAGATCATGCCCTGAACCACTGCATTCTACTGTCTAGATGCTTCCCCTTGGCGGGCAGCTGCCAGCCGTCAAGAGGGTCCATGGGAAGCACATCCCACAACTTAGAAAAGTGACACGGAAAACTAAAAGCTTAAGAGAGAAAACAAAATTGGGGGCCTGTGTTTTGGTCACTAGGAAGACCCAGGGATGAGGAGTCACATGAAGAGATTAAAAACAGATGCTTAGGGGCAGTTTGGGGTGACATTTCTTTAAGGAGGATTTTTTTCCATTGGTGATATTTTAGAATTTATTTGATGGCAACATAGTATAAATTTTGTTCTTTTTCTCTGACCTACTTTTATATGCCCCACTCATAGTGAATGTCGTTTTGCATCCTGGAACCTGCCAGTGTCCTGGAAGCCAGTTTGTTTTGATCCATGTTCAGCCAGTCATGCAAGCAGGATTCCGTCGTGAACATGATTCCCATTGATGGGAGGCCTGGCTGTTTGTCATGCAGGCATGGTTTTGCTGGGCAGACTGTTTTCTTCTGTTGAATGAGGTGACTTGTGTGACCGTGATCACCACTGAGATAGTACTGAAGCTCTGCAGGCCAGCCCAGGGCTCCTGAGTAGATGAAATCGCTCAGATTGGATTTTTAATAATAAATGACTCACATGTCATTTAAGCTTTCAGTGAATTTTTGCTGAGTCCATACTCCATCTCAGGTTCTGTGTTGGGTGCTAAGGACATAAAATGAACTAGATTTAGTCTCTCCCCTCAAGGAACTCAGGCTATATTAGAAGAGAAGACAGGCAATTACAACCAATGGGATCAGTGCTTCAAGAAAGCTGCACCAGTCAGCGTTCTTAGCTGTGTACGCCATACAGGTTTAAGTAGAAGGAGAAGAGAACTAGGCTTAGTGCTACACAGCCAAAGACAACAGGGCCAGGGACAATGCAGCCAGCCAAAACGCCCAACTGTGCCACGGGAATTTCTACTGGAAACACTACCTGTAACTTGGCACCTATGTGAGGTTCTGGCTATTAGAAACTCCCCCATGGACAGCCCTGAAATACCCAGACACCTCTGTCACAGCTCCTTTCCAGATGATTCTATCCACCTGCATGCAGTCATCAATGCCTAGGATGTACTTCCACCTCCACATCTGACTGGGGCACTTTCCTGATGGAACTCAGGTCACACATGAAACCCAAGCTGCAGAGGAGCCTAGAAAATGTCATTTTAGTTTTCCAGCTTCTACAACAGGAAGGCAGTCTAGAAGGGATTGGGCAAGTAGGTAATTGTAACTGCTATTTTGGAAAAATATATGCACCAGTGAGCTGGGCCAGATCACAGAGAGTTTGCTTGGGTACAAAGATTGGTAAGAATAGCGATTCAGACCAGGGTTCAAGGGTGCTTCCACTTTGGTTCACTGCTGAGAGAGCAAATAAGCTGGTAAAGGTAGAGATACAAATATGCCCTCATACAGGGGCACTTGGAGCCAAATGGTCAAAGCACAGCAACAAATCCACCAGGGCAGGGAAGCCCTTGCTGCCCATTGGCAACCCTTTATTCTGCTGGGCTGAGGGGGAGTGTCCACATCAGCACTGTTGGCATGAAGTGGATTCCTTGTTTTGCCAGTGTCAACTTCTGTGTCCCCCTCTCTCTGCATCATCAAGCCTATCATAATGTGGCCTTGACCCACCACAGCGACATAAATATTTCAGTGATCAATATCAATATCCAATTGTGATTGGATCCCAATATTACTGGCTAAAAGTGGAGTTGGAGGAAGGATAATGTCTATATTAAAGCTTCTGGGATTTTTTTCCTTTATATCCTTTTTTCTTATATATATATGATATAGAAATAGAAACAGAATTTACCTGTGGTAACAAGTTGATCAATTATTTGGTGCAAATATTTTAAGAGACATTTTGATTACTCAGTAGTAAATCCAAAATCTTATTCTGATATGAAGGAGTTCTAAGCAATGAGATGCTAATTTGTTCTGCATTAAAGTGTAAATGTTGACTGAGAGGCATATGCTAAACTAGAGAGACAGAGGGAAACTAGTTTTCCATCTCACCAGGCATCAGATAAGAAGGTGGAATGCCCTGACTCCAGGTAGGGACACATTCTTGGTGATAGATCAGGAGCTGGAGAAAGAGACTTCCACCAGGGACCCTTCTCTTCCAAGGAAGTATGTTAAGTTTAAACCCTAAAGACAATAATATAGTGGCTAATTTAAAATGTTTTCCCTATCTCTACATTATGATTTCTTTCCTGTTATCCCAGGATTTTAGTAGAATTTTGTAGAACTTTCTTACCATGCTTTGGGAATTATGGGAAATACACTTATCTATACTTGATGAAGTTAGATTGAGGAAAGGCAAAATCATCACAGATTCAAGAAATACTATTTGCAAACCACACTGAAAAAGACATGCTATGAATCTCAAACAGAATAAATACAAAGAAAACCACATCTAAGCACATTGTGATAAAACTTCTGCAGACCAAAAATAAAGATAAATTATTCAAAGCAGCCAGAGAAAAACATGTATTACTTTCAAAGGAGAAATAATAAGACTGATGGCTGACTTTTCATCAGAAACAATAGAAGTCCAGGGGCTGGGCGCAGTGGCTCACACCTATAATCCCAGCAATTTGGGAGGCTGAGGCGGGTGGATCACAAGGTCAGGAGATCGAGACCATCCTGGCTAACACACGGTGAAACCCCGTCTCTATGAAAAATACAAAAAAATTAACTGGGCGTGGTGGTGGGCACCTGTAGTCCCAGCTACTCGGGAGGCTGAGGCAGGAGAATGGCGTGAACCCAGGAGGCAGAGCTTGCAGTGAGCGAGATCACGCAACTGCACTCCAGCCTGGGCAACAGAGCGAGACTCTGTCTCAAAAAAAAAAAAAAAAAAAAAAAAAGCAACAATAGAAGTCCAAAGAGAATAGAATGTTATCTTCAAAGGGCTAAGAGAAATACTTCCTAACCTAGAATTCAATAGCAGCAAAAATATCCTTCAAGAATAAAGAAGAAATATTTTTTTATTTTTTATTTTAATTAAAAATACAGGATGCATGCCTGCCTCTTTCTCCCAATCTCTTGAGAAAACACCCAGTTGGAAGGGGAGAGGACCTTGCCTTCAGGGCAGGAGGTAGGCTCCGTTGCAAAGACATTTAATAACAGAAATAGTAGAATTCACCAGCAGCAGGCCTGCACTAAAGGAAATACTAAAAGGGTATTTTTCATGTCAAAAGGAATGATCACCCCAGATGGAAGCTTGAAGATGTGCATTAACAATAGAAATGAAGAAATAAATTCTAATATATTCATACAATGGTATATTCAAAACATATACAAGAGTTTCCTAGGAACATTGTTCCCAACAGCCAGAAGCTTCATATCCAAATGTCTATTCACATTCAAACATGGAGTACTCTATAGCAGTACAAATTAATGAAATAGACATGCACTCCCATCCAAAATAGACTAATAAAGACTAAATTTACCCTCCTGTCTAAAATAACAAACAAAAAAGGGGCAAAAATCTATGAAATGAAGGTTTTCAAGGCATTGCATATCAGGCAATGACTTTGACTCCTAAGAAGAAGGAAACAGATGTGGTGAGCCCCACAATGCTCCACTTATTGCCTGGAGAGAGTTTCCATGCCACAGGCTAGGCGGGGGAACCGAGGGGAAGCCCAGAAGCCTCCCTGAGTTGAGGCGATGGAGTTAGGAGGCTGAGGAGGGCTTCTAAGCTGGAACACCCAGGGCAGGGTGCCAGAGAGCAAAAGTTGCCTAGAGAGAGAATTGGAGAGAGAATTTGGAGATTTTCATAGGGCCTCCTTCAGTCTTCAGTTGAGTTTGGATGACTGGGTGCGTTTAAATCCTGACTCAGCCACTTTCAGTCAATGAATATACCTGTTTGGACCACCTACTATGTCCCATACTCTGAGTAGGGATGTAGGAAACCAGAGCTGAGGCAGATCTGTTCCTGCCCTTAAGGGGCTCCCAGTCTACCTGGGAAGAGAATCTACCTGCCCCTAATAGGCACACGCTACCCAGGTGGTCTAAGCTGAGAGCCAGATAAATGGTTCAGAGGCAGGTGGGAAGAGAAAAGAGGATCGGCTGCTCTAACCCGCACCAGGCAGGTACAGGGGCACAGTGATTCATGGGAGATAAACCAGGGGCTGGTCTGTAAGGTGAGCCCAGCGTGGGGCCTGAGGCTGGACCAGAAACTGCCATTCCTGTGACAGGGCAGAGAACCTGGGCCAGGAAATGAGAGCTGGTACAGCATTCATTTTGTAAGAATTCCCATCAGCAAAAGGCTAGACGTTAAGTACATAATTTTTTTTTTTTTTTTTTTTTTTTTTTTGAGAGGGAGTCTTACTCTGTCACCCAGGCTGGAGTGCAGCGGCGTGATCTTGGCTCACTGCAAGCTCCGCCTCCCAGGTTCACGCCATTCTCCTGCCTCAGCCTCCCGAGTAGCTGGGACTACAGGTGCCCATCACCACACCCGGCTAATTTATTTGTATTTTTTAAATTTAAATTTTAATTTTTTTATTTTTTTGAGACAGAGTCTCACTCTGTTGCCCAGGCTGCAGTGCAGTGGCACCATCTCTGCTCACTGCAAGCTCCACCTCCCGGGTTCATGCCATTCTCCTGCCTCAGCCTCCTGAGTAGCTGGGACTACAGGCGCCGGCCACCACGCCCGGTTAGTTTTTTGTATTTTTCATAGAGACGGCGTTTCACCGTGTTAGCCAGGATGGTCTCGATCTCCTGACCTCGTGATCCACCCACCTCGGCCTCCCAAAGTTCTGGGATTACAGGCGTGAGCCACCGCACCCGGCCATTTTTTTTGTATTTTTAGTAGCGACAGGGTTTCACCGTGTTAGCCAGGATGGTCTCCATCTCTTGACCTCGTGATCCGCCCACCTCGGCCTCCGAAAGTGCTGAGATTACAGGCGTGAGTCACCGTGCCTGGCTTAAGTACATAATTTCTTTTGAGGAGAAGAGAGGAATGGCAGGGGAGGAGGGGGATGAAAAGGAATCCACCAATAAACCATGAGCAGGAGCTTGGAAGGACCAGTGATGGTTCCACGCTGTGAACTCAAGAGCAGGATTAGCTCAGCCCTCTGCACCAGCTCTCCCTTCGATCTTTGAGTGATCTTAGAATTTCCTACTCCTTCTAGGTCTCAGTTTCCTCATCTGACCCTGAAGGTGCTCTTTAAGCTCTATTTGCTCTGAAGGAGGGTTCACCAGCTGAACTTCTGGGCCTCAGTTTCCCTTGCCTACAAAGGGGATAATAATTCCTGACCGTCCTTGGGAGAGCCTTCCATTTAAGAGATTGTTCTTCAGCCACTGCCGAGAGGAGATGAGAAAGCCTCTGGCTGCAGATGCTGCAGGTACCTTCACCTCAACATGCCCTCCCAGACTGAGGGCTGCCCTCTCCACCTGGCCTCAGGAGCTGTTACAGGGTAGTAACTGGGTATAGGCTTCAGGCCAAAGATGGACTTTGGAGTTTGGGGACGGACAGGCGGTGGCTCCTAGGAGCTCTACACTTTGGAGTTTGAATCCAGGCTCCACCACTTCCTAGCTGGGTGGCCCTAGGCTCTTCAAGCTTCCTTTTCCACATCTGTATAAGGAGATTGCCAGTAATAAATGAAATAAACACAGGAAAGCACCCAAAATAGGCTTAGCTGATAGCCTGGCTCAGCCCAGGTTGAGGCCCCCTCCCTCCCTCCTGCCCACACTTGAGGCTTCACCATCGTGACCCTGGCTCAGGACACCTGCAATGATGCCTATGTGGGCTGTGGGAGGCCTGGAAGCACTCATGCTGAGGAACTCACCAGACCTATCCCCTCTCTGCCCTTCCCCTCCCAACCACACAACATTCCATCCCATCCACCCTGCTCCACCCCAGCTTACAAGCCCAGTCCTGGCCAACATCAACTTGTCCAACGCCCTGAACTGAGAGCTGAGCCAGGCCTTGTGGATAGGCAGAGGCTCCCGAGAGCTCTACATGAGGCACTTTCCCTTCAAGGCCCTGCATTTCTACCTGACCTGAGCCCCGCCACTGCTGCAGTGCAGAGGGATTGCTGTGGGCACCCTGGGAGGCAGTATTCCTAGGGATGGACAGCCTCCACTTTGAGCTTGGGAGGATAGGGGCCTCTGTCCAACAGGGCCTGTTCACCTCCAGCTGCCTCCAGGGGGTAGTCCTCAGTTTTGGAAATGCTGCATTTTTCTCCCTGCAGACCTGCTTCGGAGCTTCCATCCATGCCGGTCAGGCTTCCCAAGAGGTGCTACTTCCCCCCGTAAGGTTTTGTGGCTGCCAGCCTCTCCTGTGATGGGGCAGGTGTGCAGCCTAGTAACTCTTCAGAGCACCAAGCAGAATTGCAACCATCTCAACTGTGCCTGCCTGTCAGGTGAGCTCTCCTCAAGGTCTGCGCAAGCAGCCCGGCTCCCTCATTCATTCTCCATTCATTCACCCATCTATTCACTCATCATTGCATTGACTCACCCAATCCAGTCACTCTTTAACGTCTTGATTCATTCACTCAGTCATTCTGGCATGCACTCATTCATTCAATGGCCCATCCATTGCATTCACCAATTCACTTACTAATTCAATCATTAGCTCATTTCTTCTTTAACAGTTATTCATCTGCCCATTCATCCATTCACAGACTCCTTCATTCACTAAGTAAGCATTTAGCAAGGCTTTCTAAGGGCCAGGAATCAGATACTCTCTGAAAGGCTCTGCTTCCGGAGACAAATGCGTTCTCAAACAAGAACAATTAAGGAACTCAGAGGAGGCTGACTGGGGGCAGGTGTGCTTCTTGTTCCTATGATATTTGTTCCCCAGGCCTCAGGTGCAGAGGGCTGAGCTAATCCTACTCCTGAGTTCACAGCGTGGAACCATCATTGGCCCATACAGGGTCCTGCTCATGGTTTATTTACGGATTCCTTTTCATCTTCGTTCTTCCCTGCCATTCTTCTCTTCTCCTCAAAAGAATTTATGTACTTAATGTGAGCCTTTTGCCAATGGGAGTTCTTATAAATTGAATGCTGTTATTCTGAAGCCCAATATTTTAGTTTAGGTAAATTGTAGTGTATGATAGATCTCATTCTCTTTCTCTCTTTCTTCACTCAGCTGTATGTTTTTAGGATTCATGCTGCTATAGGTATGTCTATACATTATTTCTACCTGCTAAGTAGTACCCTGTAGTGTGCATACACCCTATTTTGCCCATCAACATGCTGTACATTCCGCCGGCATCTTCATTCCTGTGCCCTTTGAGCCTGTGGGAGGATTTCCCTGGGCTATATACCCAGGAGTGGCACTGCTGGTCTAGGGAATCTGGACACTTTGACGGAGTACTGCCATGTTGCTGTCCAGAAGCACAGCATCAGTCTACATTCCCATGGCCACTGTGTGAAAGTGTCCATTTCCCGGATCCCTGTCAACAATCGACATCATCTGGCTCTTTGAGTTCTGCCGCTGTAACAGGTGTAAAATATCTTCTTGTTTTCATTTCTGCTTCTCTGATAATCAAATAGTTTGAGCATCTCTTCCATAAATTGCTTATTCTGGGCTTTTCCTATTGGGGTTACTGTCCTCTTCTTGCTGGCTTGTGGGGATTTCTCATCTATTCCAGATATTAGCCTCTTGTCAATTTTAAACATTGCAAATAACATCTCTCCTTCTAGCGGCTCTCTATTAACCTTACCTTGACATCTGTCACTGAACAGAAATCCACAATTTCAATTTAATTGAATTCACAAATTGTTTTTCTTATGGTTTGTCTTCCATGCACACAAAGATGCTCTGTGTTTTCTTCTGTTGACCTGACACTCCTACCTTTCATGTTTAGTCTATAATCTGCCTGGCATCCACCTGTGTGTGTGATGGTAAGCAGGGATCCAGTCTTCTATTTCTGCATATTATGAGTGAGTTTTCCCAACAATCCATCCTTTCCCCTAGAAGTGGGAGTCCCATCTTTACTGGGTAGTATTGTAAAGTTCCTAGTTGTACATATGCTCCCCTCTGAGCTCTCTACTCTGTCCCATTAACGCTCTTGTCTCTCTGGCACCAATATCACCTTTTTTTCCTACTCTTGTGATGGATTACAATGTCACTTTTGGCTGGGTGCAGTGGCTCACACCTGTGATCCCAACACTTTGGGAGCCCGAGGCGGGAGGACCACTTGAGCCCAGGTGTTTGAGATCAGCCTGGACAACAGTGAGACCTCGTCTCTATTTTTTTTAAACTATAGTATCACTTAAAAATCATATTCTTTTTACTTTCACTTTTCAAATTTAACTTGCTGTTCACAGATTTTTATTTTTTCATGTATACTTAATAGGAGTTTATTGTGTTGCTCAAGAAACCAGCAGGAATTTGTATAGGGATTGTATTAAATATCTAAATTACTTTTAGTAAGGGAGGAGACCATCCCTTATATTGTCTTATGCCCAATTTCTGCCTCCAAAGAAAGAAGAAGTAAAAACTAAAAGGCAGAAATGAAATCCACAAGCAGACAGCCTGGCGCTACACCCGAGGCCTGGTTAAAGATCGACCCCCTGACCTAACCAGTTATGTTATCTATAAATTCCAGACATTGTATGGAAAAGCACTGTGAAAAATCCCGGTCCTGTTGTGTTCCATTGTGATTACCAGTGCATGCAGCCCCCAGTCACGTACCCCCTGCTTGCTCAATCGATCACGACCCTCTTATGTGGACCCCCTTAGAGTTGTAAGCCCTTAAAAGGGACAGGAATTGCTCACTCGGGAGCTCAGATTTTTGGAGACGTGAGTCTTGCCGAAGCTCCTGGCCGAATAAAGCCCCTCCTTCTCTAACTCGGTGTCTGAGGGTTTTTGTCTGCGGTTTGTCCTGCTACATTAAGAGAATTAACTTGTAGTAATATCAAGTCATTTCATCCAGAGCATGGAATCCTTCATTATTCAAATAATCTCCTTTTCTTATCAGATGTCTAGATATTGTCCCAAAGATAGCATTTTTATTCTTAGCTAGATTAATTTCTAAGATGTTTTATCATTTTTATTGCTTTTGTGAGTGGCATACTATTTTTGAGTTACATTTTCCAATTGGTTCTGGTTGTTGTAGAGAAATAGCATTAATTTTCATCTTATTTCCAGAAATACTGATAAACTCTCCTATTAGTTCTAATGGTTTGTCTGTTGATTCTATTTGCTTCTAGATAGACAATTGTATCATCTGTGAAAAAAGACACTCTAATCAGTTCCCTTCCAAAATGTACACCTATTTCTTTTCCTTTCATTAAAGCATTGGCCGGGACCTCTAGTACTAGGTGCAACAGGATTGGTGATAATGGGCATCCCTGTCTTATTTCTATTCACAGAGGAAATACATCAAAATTCCTCCATTGACTAAAATCTTAATTGGAGAGTTTTGGAATATTACCTCTTCCAAGTTAATTTCCCATATAATCCCAGTTCATTGAATTATTTTAAATCACAAATAGGTATCAATTTCATCAAATACTCTTTTCTACATCAATTGAAATAATCCTATAATTTTCTCCATAAGTCTATTAATATTGTGAATTATATGGATAGGTTTTCTGAGTGGAAACCATCCTTGCATCCCTTAGAAAAAAATTTCTATCTGATTATGATGCATTTTAAAATATTCATTTGCATCTGGTTAGCTAGCATTTTGAATATAGGATTTTTGCATCTAAACTCCTAGATGAAACTGAACTAATCTTGCATTATCTTATTTTGCGTTATCTGGTTTGAAAATCAAGAACAGGTTAACATCATAAAATGAACTGGGGAGTTTGCTTTGTTTTCTGGAATAACTTATATAAACCAGACACTTCCCAAAGTTTTAAAGTTTAGTGAACTTATCTGTAAAGCTATCTGGAAAATGAGTTTCTTTGAGAGGAGGTTTTTAACTGCCATTTCATTCCTTTAACATACATTGACCTATTCAAATTCTATATCGTGTGAATTTTATATTTTTCTAGAAATGTATCCATTTCATCCAAGTTTTTAAATTGTAATTTTTTTTTTTTTTTTTGAGATGGAGTCTCGCTCTGTCACCCAGGCTGGAGTGCAGTGGCCCGATCTCAGCTCACTGCAAGCTCCGCCTCCTGGGTTCACGCCATTCTCCTGCCTCAGCCTCCTGAGTAGCTGGGACTACAGGCGCCTGCCACCATGCCCGGCTAATTTTTTGTATTTTTAGTAGAGACGGGGTTTCACCATGTTAGCCAGGATGGTCTCGATCTCCTGACCTTGTGATCTGCCCGCCTCGGCCTCCCAAAGTGCTGGGATTACAGGCGTGAGCCACCACACCCAGCCTTTTAAATTGTAATTTTTAATGATACTCTTTTTTTATGTTTTTAACCCCTCTGGTATCTGTAAATATTGTCTGTCTTTTGTTCTATACTTAGTATGTCTACATCTTTCTTTTTTTATGATCAGTCTTATCAGAGGTCAGTCTTACTAATCTTTTAAAAGAACCAGCTTTTGGTTTGGGGAATCTCTAATTGCTGTTGTTGATGTTCTCTGGGTTATTTATTTCTGACCCATTTTAATTTTCCTCTTTTTGCTCTTTTGCTGTCTTTTGTCCAGCCTCTTAAGTTGAATGCTTAGTTCATTTTTAGTGTTCTGTTTCCCAATAAATGAATTTAAAGATATACATTTCACCAAGTACTGTTTTGGCTATTCCATAAATGTTGATACTGTATGTAGTGGAGATTTGTTTTTACAGTCTAGTTCTAAGTATTTCATCATTTCCTTTATAGTTTTCTTTTTAACCCAAGAGTAGTTTAATAACATACTACATCACTTCCAGATATATGGACATTTTAACCATTCTTTTGTGATTAATGTCTATTAATATCTATGTTTATTATATTATGGTCAGAAAACATTATGTCATGTTGATCCTTTGGGGCCTTTAGGCTTCTGTGGGGTCTCATAGTTCAGTGGTACCCAACCATTTTGGCACCAGGGATTGGTTTTGTGGAAGACAATTTTTCCACGGACGAGGAGTGGGGGATGGTTTCAGGATGATTCAAGTGCATTACATTTATTGTGCACTTTATTTCTATTATTATTACATTGTAATATATAATGAAATAATTACACAACTCACCAGAATGTAGAATCAGTGGGAGCCCTGAGCTTGTTTTCCTGCAACTAGACAGTTCCATCTAGGGGTGATGGGAGACAGTGACAGATCATCAGGCATTAGCTTCTCATAAGGAGTGTGCAACTTAGATCCCTCGCATGCCCAGTTCGCAATAGGGTTTGCGTTCCTATGAGAATCTAATGCCGCTGTTGATCCGACAGGAGATGGAGCTCAGGCGGTAATATTAGCGAGCAATGGAGAGAGGCTGTAAATACAGATGAAGCTTCGTTTGCTCGCCTGCCACTCACCTCCTGCTGTATGGCCTGGTTTCTAACAGGCCAGGGACTGGGACTGGTCCATGGCCTGGGGGTTGCGGATCCCTGTAACAGATGGTCAATTTTTCAAATACTCTGTATGTGCAGAAAATTGTATATTCTCTGTTGCATGTAGGGGATGTGTATATACAGTCTTTGACTGTCCCATCTTTATCCATTCCAACCAGCAGTGAATACTGTTAGGAACTCTGATGATAACCTGGTTCATTCTCCTTTTTAGGTGACCTGCATTTTCTCTCTGGAAGTTTTTGGAATTTTCTCTTTGCATTGGTAGTGTTAAATTTATGAAATAATGCATCTGGTTGGAAGTTTGTCCTTATCTCCCATGATTGACACTCTCAGATCCCTTTAAATTTTAGGTCTTTCAATTTTTTAATATAGTATATTTATGTCCACTGTTTCTATAAATATTTCCTCCAATTTGTTTATCCTTTCATCTGGGATATCTATTGCCTGGATGTTGGCATTTCTACTTCTATCCTCCACATCTCTTATATTTTATTTTCTCGTATACCTTCTATTTCTTGATCCCTTTCCAACCGCCTTTATCAAGAGTTTGTCCAGCTGATCCTCAAAGTTCACTATTTCTCTCTTCAGTTGAATCCTCCCTGCTCTTCTCATCTGTCCCCTTCTTTATTCCAACTATAATCTTTTCATCCCTGATACTTCTACTTGGCTCTTTTTTTGTTTGTTTTTTTGTTTTGTATTTTTGAAGACAGGATCTTGTTCTGTTACCAAAGCTGGAGTGCAGTGGCACAATCATGGCTCACTGCAGTCTCGACCTCCTGGGCTCAAGCGATCCTCCCACCTCAACCTACCGAGGAGCTGGGACTATACAGGTGTATACTACCACACCCAGCCAATTTGGGTATTTTTTTTTTGGAGAGACAGGGCCTTGCTATGTTGCCCAGGCTGGTCTCAAATGGTTCTTTTTGAATGATTTCTTGTTCTTACTTCATGTTGCTAATATCTTCCCTTATCTCTTTAGGGAAATTTAAAGCATTTATTTTACATTCTGGACCCATCTGTTAAAGTCTGCCTGATTTGTCTGTGTTGTTTGGTTTTCTTTCTTTTCTCTCTCTCTTTTTTTTTTTTTTTTAGACAGTCTCACTCTGTCGCCTAGGCTGGAGTGCAGTGGCACCATCTCTGCTCACTGCAAGCTCCGCCTCCTGGGTTCACGCCATTCTCCCGCCTCAGCCTCCTGAGTAGCTGGGACTACAGGCGCCCGCCACCACACCCGGCTAATTTTTTTTTGTATTTTTAGTAGAGACGGGGTTTCACCGTGTTAGCCAGGGTGGTCTCGATCTCCTGACCTCGTGATCCGCCCACCTCGGCCTCCCAAAGTGCTGGGATTACAGGAGTGAGCCACAGTGCCTGACCTGTTTTCTTTCTTTTAGTTGTATTCTTTTGACCTGTGGACCAATGTTTCCCTCAGGGCAGCATGACTCGGATTGGTAATATGTGCTGGGGATGAGCTGAAGGCAGCATCCTAATCTGTGCTGGGTCCTGACCAAGGCGAGGACAAGATGTGAGGCCCAGGCACCCCACAGCCACAGCTGGACACTCCCTTCTGCTGGAGCCTCCTCTGACTGGAATATCTAGAAAAGAAGCAGCCCTAGGCATCTCCCTGGATTGTGAGCCACCCATCCTAGGGACTGGGGAGAGAAAGTGCTAGGATGATGCCCACGGGGACCTGGCTGGCCCCTCCTCACTGAATCAACTCACATCAGGAGTTTGTGCACAGGTGAAATGGGAGGCAGTGACTGTCCAAGCACTCCTCTCCAACCCAGTTCTCACTTTTATCTCTCCCTGCTCCCAGCGCACCCCAGGCTGCCGTGGAAAAATTAAGTGAGAAACTGAGAATGATAGTGAGAGAAATCTGTCACAGCTGACTGCATCTTCCTTCTAACCTCACAAGCACATCGTCTGCTCATTCCTGGGCACAGGCCAAGCCAACTATGGGAGGAATTTAGTTTATAGTTTAATTTTAAAACAAAAATGAGGCTGGGTGCGGTGGCTGACACCTGTAATCCCAGCACTTTGGGAGGCCGAGGCAGGCAGATCATGAGGTCAGGAGATTGAGACCACCCTGGCTAACACGGTGAAACCCCATCTCTGCTAAAAATACAAAAAATTAGCTGGGCATGGTGACGGGCACCTGTAGTCCCAGCTACTCAGGAGGCTGAGGCAGGAGAATGGCATGAACCCGGGAGACAGAGCTTGCAGTGAGCCGAGATCGTGCCACTGCACTCCAGCCTGGGCGACAGAGCAAGACTCCGTCTCAAACAACAACAACAACAACAACAAATGATGATAGCCTCTTCCTGAAACTAACCCCCTTTTTGCAAGGGGACCAAAACTGCCTTTATAAAACTTTATAAAACTAACAAATTGTCCATAAGTTTAGAATTATGGCTTAGAAGTTATGAAGCCAAAGGTCACAAGATTTGTAACCTCCCCAATTGCTCCTATAGATAACACCACTATTGTAAAACCTAAGACCGGTATTTGAGATATTTTTCAGACCTTGCATTCTGAGGAACCAGATGTTACCACCCAGACCAGTAACCTAAGTCAGGAAACTGACTCAACCAGTCCTGTGACCCCCACCCAGGAACTGACTCAGTGCAAGAAGACAGCTTCAACTCCCTGTGATTTATTCTTCAACATTCCCCATTTCCTAGTCCCCTGCCCACCAAACTATACTTAATAAACCCTACCCTCCAAATTCTCAGGACGGCAGATTTGAGAAACATCTCCTGTCCTTGGCTGGCCCTGTGATTATTAAACTCTTTCTTTGCTGCAGCACCTGCTGTTCTCAGTGCATTAGTCTTTCTGGGCAGCAGGCAAGAAGAACTTGTTGGGCTATAACACTGTTGTCTTTTCCTAGAATCCTATGCATCCCAATCAGTTCTGTAGTTCTCCCAGGGGTGATTTAGGGATTGAGAGTGGCAGCCATCTTGGCAGGATGTTGCCACACCTCCCATTCTCACATCTGACCCACCAGTCCCCAAACTTGATGTTGTGCTTTGTTTCCTGTATGGACTGATCTTGGTATTCCCTCAGAGAAAAATCTGGCTGTGCCGTCTATCAGACTTCATTCCCACACAGCTGCCCAGACACAGGGCAGCCTTCCTCTCAGAACATCTTCTGTATCCTGAAAGCCTCCAGTGGGTTCATCCTTCAAGTTAATGGACAGGAAAACTAAGACCAGTGAGGAATCCCAACACTCATCCTGCCAGGATAGAAAGGAAAGCCCAGAGGCATTGCAAAGAGTGCTGAAGAGCAGGGATTCGCTGTAT